>NC_000005.10:80715867-81018897 GCF_000001405.40 Homo sapiens
CAGCACTGGGGATTACAATTTGATACGAGATTTGGGCAGGGACACAAATTCCAACCATATCATATATGGAAGCACTTTTCCTGATCACAGAAATGGGGAGCTATTGAAGGAGTCAGAGGGCAAGTGCAATGTCTTCATCTTTAGTGCTCTCTCTGGCAGCAGTGTGGTACAAGGGCTTGAGGGGTAACGTGCAGTAGGCACTCCATAAATGTCTGCTAAGCATTTTTAAAAGTGATCATTCTGCCATTCACTATGAGCCATAAGAGTAGCTGGTAGAAATGCCTGTGAATGTTTAAAAGCATTATATAGACTCTATTTCAGAATTGTGTTGACTAATAAAAAATGCTAGTTTTCCCTACCCCACACCTATCTTTCAACTGCTTTATATTTATTTCTTTATTAGATAGAAAATTCCTCAGTAAACTTTTATTTAGAGTAATTCCTCTTTATGATTTTTTTGTTCTAAAGGTCGATTCTTAAAAGAAAACTTGTTGAAGTGCTCTAAATGGAAGTCTTTTTTTTTATTTCTCTCCTGTGTCTTTTATGATAGTATCTGACAACTATCTTTTTTTTGTTTTTGCAGAGATTGGGTTTTGCTCTGTTGCCAGGCTTGTCTCAAACTCCTGGCCTCAAGCGATCCTCCTGCCACAGCCTCCTGAGTAGCTGTGATTACGGGTGTGAGCCACTGTGCCTAACACCTTTTTTGAGAAACTTATATTTTTTTACATATTTATTCTTGATTCATAATATTTATACATATTTATGGGGTACATGTGATATTTTCATATGTGTATACAATGTATAATTATAAAATCAGGTGTTTAGGATACCTGTCACCTCAGACACAACATTTCTTTATGTCAGACATTTAATATCTTCTAGCTATTTTGAAATATATGATAAACTATTGATAACTGTAGTCCTACCCTACTGTGCTATCAAACACTAGAACTTATTCCTTCTATCTAACTGTATGCTTGTACCCATTAACCAGCTTCTCATTACCTCCCTCCCCAAAGCTCTGGTAACCATTATTCTACCTCTATGAGATCAACTTTTTTAGCTCCCACATTTGAGTGAGAACATGTGATATTCGTCTTTTGGTACCTGGCTTATTTTACCTAACATAATGACCTCAGTTCCATCCATGTTACTGCAAAGGACAGGGTTTCATTTTTTGGGGGGGGCTGAATAGTATTCCATTGTGTGTATATTCCACATTTTCATTATCTGTTCATCCATTGATGGACACTTAGGCTGAGTCCATAACTTGGCTGTTGAGAATAGTGCTGCAGTAAATGTAAGAATGCAGATATCTTTTTGACATACTGAGTTTGTTTCCTTTGAATGTATACCCAGTAGTGAGATTGCTGGATCATGTAATAGTTCTATTTTTATTATAAAAAATTCTTTTAAGAGAGGGTGTCTTGCCCTGTCACCCAGGCTGGAATGCGATGGCATAATCATAGCTCGTTGCAGCCTGGAACTGCTTGGTTCAAGAGATCCTTCCCACCTCAGCCGCCTGAGTAGCTGGGACTACAAGTGCACTCCACCATGCCCAGCTAATTTATATTATTTTTTTTAGAGACAGGCTATGTTGCCTAGGCTGGTCTCAAACTCCTGGCCTCAAGCTTTAGCTTCCCAAGTAGTTGGGTCTATAGGTGTGAGCCATCCTGCCCAGCTAGTAGGTCTATTTTAAGTTTTTTAAGGAACCTCCATACTATTTTCTATAAGGGCTGTCTCAGTTTACATTCCCACCAACAGTTATGTAAGAGTTCACGCCTCTCTGTGTCCTGACCAACACTTTTTGTCTTTGTGACAATAGCCATTCTAACAGGAATGAGGTAAATATGTCATTGTGGTTTTGATTTGTATTTTCCTGATGATTAATGAGAGCATTTTTTTTTTCATATATTGGCCATTCTTTCAGGGCCTTTGCCCATTTTTAAATTTGGTTATTTGTGTTTTTGGTATTGGGTTGTTTGAGTTTCCTATATCAAAATACTTCTAAATTCAGCGTGATGATGGAACATTGGTAGTTGCTTATGAGATAAAACAGACTCTTGGATTAAAGTAAAAAGTAAAAGTTTCAGAAGTAATTTAATTTTCGGAGAAGCCAGTAAAATTGGAATCATTTGTGTTTTATTTGAAAAAATTAAAATATGGTACAAATATAAGAATATAATACAGATATAGAAGAAGGCTGCTGAAACCACCATCTAGTCCAGGATATAGAGTTTTGGCAGTCACTCTAGAAGCTCTCTCTGCCTCCTCACTGTCATAGCCCTCAGAGGAATCATGATCCTGACTTTGTCATTGTTATCACCTTCTTAATTTCCTTTGCAGTTTTGTCACCCAAGTATGTATCCTTATGGTTTAATTTTGCCAGTTTATTTTTTAAATGTCTTCAAAATTTTTAAAATTTATATTTTTAGAGACAAAGGTCTTGCTATGTTGCGCAGGTGAGTTGGGAACTCCTGGGCTCAAGTGATCCCCCTTCTCAGCTCCCTGAGTAGCTGGGACTACAGGTGCATACCACTGTGTCTGACTTTTTATAAAAATACGTTTTAAACCTCTTTATCTACAGGTTCCCTCTCCATCTCTTTTTATTCCTATCCTCACCTTTGGTTTTTTTTTTTTTTTTTTGAAGAAACTCAGTTGTTTTTCTTGTGGAGTTTTCCAAAGTCTGGATTTTGCTGATTACATATCCATAGAGTTTAAGATATTCCTCTGTATTTTCTGTAAATTGGTAGTTGAATTGAGAGGCTTAATAAAATTCAGGTTTTTTTTTTTTCATAGAAGAGGAAGAGAACTTTGTAGATTCTATTTTTTCATTGGGAGGCATATAATTATCTCTCTTTTTGTGAATTGAGTAGCCATTGATACTCAGTAGTGATGAACAAGTCTTGCTTTTTAAAGTATCATTATGAACCCAAGGGCCTAATGTATTTTGGCTTCATTGCAGTTGTTATTCTTCCCAGTGCTCAAAATGGCCCATTATTGGGCAAAGAGAGTCTCTCCAAGTTGACCTCTGTGCCATTTTGCCATGATGCTAGTAATCTTTAGTAGCTTTTTTGTGTAACAAGTTAGTCTAGGATCATCTTAAACATTTTCAGTCCCAGACCTGGAATTAGTCATTTCTCCAGTAATCCTTCCCTAGTTTCTTTTAGTAGGAAATGGTATTTTTTTTTTTTTTTCTGAGACGGAGTCTTACTCTGTCGCCAGGCTGGAGTACAGTGGTGCGATCTCGGCTCAGTGCAACCCCCGCCTCCCAGGTTCAAGCGATTCTCCTGCCTCAGCCGCCTGAATAGCTGGGACTACAGGCGCGTGCCACCACACCCAGCTAATTTTTATATTTTTAGTAGAGATGGGGTTTCATCGTGTTGGCCAGGAAGGTCTCAATCTCTTGACCTCGTGATCCACCCACCTCGGCCTCCCAAAGTGCTGGGATTACAGGCATGAGCCACTGTACCCGGCCAGGAAATGGTATTTCTAAACCACATTCTGTGCAACTAGGGAGGCTATTTATTGGATAGGTCAAACTATATTAAGAACTCATTAAAAAATACTTCTGATTCAAATTCAGGGCTAAAGAGTTTTTATTTAACTTTTTCAGTCTGACATCTATATCTCCTTTTCCCCACCATGTCGACAATCCTGGTTCTTATGTAAGTACTCTGATTTTATCATTCAAATATCAGGTATTTAATTTGCTTTATCCCACATTACTGAATCTATGTTATTAAAATTATATATTATAAAATGCCATTGCATTTAAAGGTCTTACGTTTCTTCCCCATTTATTTCACAGTTGTAATATATCTGCATCATCAGAGCATATAGCCATTAGGTACTATACCTTCTTTCTTATAGCCTCCATTGAGAGTCTTAGTTCTCCAAACAAATATGTATTACATGCTCACCACCAATTCTTATATCCATGTCTTTCTAGTCATTTTGGTTGTCTGAAATTTATTCTGTAGTATGGTTGTTCTTACACCTTAGTGTGCATCAGAATTACCTGGCAGGCTTGTTAAAGCGCCGAGTACTGGGCCTCACTGGCAGGTTCTCTGGCTCAGTACATGTGGGATGGGGCCTGAGAATCTGTGTTTCTAACAAGTCCCCAGGTGGTGGTGATGCTACTGGTCTGGTGACCATACTTTGGGTATAGCTCTCTGTGGCCTTTATACATGGAAGATTGGCTAAGCTTAAAATTCCTGGCTTACAGTTTATTTCTTTGAGTATCTTAAATACATTACTCTATTGTCTGTAGGGTAAAACATTGCGGTTAAAGTTTGGCAACTCTGTTTTTCTTTCTTTTATAAACAACTTGTCATTTTGGCTGGAAATAATTTTACTAGATTACTTACTGTGATGGTCATTATGGGTTGATTTCCCCAGGTATGTGATGTGTTTTTTAAATATACAGTGTCAAGTGATTTTTCTGTTTCTTTGCTTTGCCCTCTTTGCCAACTTTGTACCTTGGGGGCACCTTTTATACACGTTTTAGGTCTTCTTTGCCAACCTTTTGTATTTGTTACTTTCTTTCAATCTTTCAAATCTCCTCTTTCATTTCTTTTTGACTTTGAAAAAAATTTCCCCCTTTCATTTCCTGCTTCTTATCTTTATTATCTGTAGTATTTATTCAGTTGTGTGCCTTCTAGACTATCGTTCATTCTGAGAAGTTTTCCTTTTGTCTCTAATTCCTGAGTTCTGCCCGTTGATTTCTGAGTTTTTCTAAATCCAATTTGTTTTCTTAATAATTTTTTTAACTTGTTAGGGTTTTCATGTTTTATGGAGATATCTAACATGATTCTGTTGTCTGTAGAGATGTTATTATGTTTTTTCTTTTTTTTTCTTATCATAACTTTGGACAGGATTTGAGTTGGGTCCTTTTCTATTACTCATTTTTATGCAAATTCATTTTCCCAAACTTTTAGAAGAGGCATGGGTTCAAAATAGCTTTTCTGACTTCACAGTTCTGGTAGTGTTTTTTAACTCCAAGTATTATTTATAAACAGTTCATTTTTAAGTGTACAGTTTACACAACTGTAAGTGTAAGTGGTAGTTTTACACAATTTTGTAACCACTATCACAGTCGAGATGTGGAAGAATACTTTTACCCTAAAACTTTCCATGTGCTTTTGCAGTTGGTCCCCTCCCTTCACATCTGGCCCTAGGCAATTATTAATTTTCCACCAGTATATTTTACCTTTTACAGAATTTCAAATACAGGATATCTTACAATATATATTAAAATTTTTTGGCTTGATTTCTTTCACAAAATATGATTTTTTGAGGTTCATTTTGCTGCATATTGTCAAAGTATTTGAAAATGTGACAGCTCATTTTCTCCTGGCTCTGTTCTGTAGTACTTTTGTCTTTTTAACAATTACCCTGTTATCCTTTTCTCCCCATTTTAGATTCTGTTCATAGGAGTTTTTCCTCAGGGTAAGATTTGTCCTAAAAAAGTGCTTTGCATCACTGGTTTTGTGAATTCATAGGGCCTAGAGTTCTCAAGCCCCTTCAGGCTTTACTGTGGACTCCTTGTAGTCACTATTATCAAATATACAAACTGCACTCCCAATTTCAGCTCCTCAAAATGTCCTACTGTGCTTTCCAGTGAGTACCTCGTTGCTGTTTTGTGTTGTTTCTGTTTTCCGATTGTTAGAGTTCTGTTGCTTTTGTCTGCTTCTTCTCACATGGTTGCTGATAGCATTTGTATCTTATTGTTCATCCCACCTGCTTGCATTTTGGGGTTCTTAATATCTTGAGATGCAGTTATAGTGTAGTACATGTTATCTGTGGGTTTTAGTTTGGTTATTAAAGTCTCTTTTTATGGCAGGATTTAGGGAGACTGAAAAACTATGCTTGAATCTAACAAAAAACAACAATTATTTCAATAAAATATTATATCAAGGAAAATAGCAAAAAATTACAAATGTGTGTTACATTGATAAAATGATACATTTATTTCTACTTTTCATAATATTGAGGGAGGGAGTGTTCTGCTTTTGTGACGAGGTATAGCCATTTGTGTTTCTGTGTTTTCTGTATCTTTTACATATGTCTACCACATTACTGTCTGTTGTCTTAGATTGTAAACTAAGAAACAGTGATTGTTGTGTGGCATATGCCCATGAGAATTTGTTTAACTGTTTTTGTGAAGAAAAAAAATATATAAACTATAGATTTTCTGTCATAAATCCTTCTTTCTGAATTTTAACCTAATTGTAAAGCAAAATAGGTAATAAAGTTTCACTATTGTTTATTTATTACAAGGCATTGTAATTGAACTTTTAAATCAACTCATACGATCTCCTTGCTCAGGAAGGAAAATCATAAAAATAGAAAAAAGCTTGCTTTATTTTGGTGCTGGGGATGGTTTCAAGTCTTTTTTCAGTTTTATGTAGAGACCAAGAAAGTGTTCTGCATAGGGAGCCAAAGAAAAAAATATTGAGAAACTTTCTAAAGTATCTTAACTCAGTTGTTTATAGTATAGCTTTACTTTACAGATAACTTTTGATGTTCTTAGATCATTAGATATACCTACATCAATATACATAAGATAAGCTTCCAAAGGAAATACTCTTTGCTTTGGGAATACTCTTTCCTATCATCTACTAATTTTCATTATAGCAGCAGTCTTTTATTTGTATAGGTCAGTGGTTCTTTAACTTTAATGTGCAGTAGAGTCCCCTGATGCTGGGCCGGGCCCCACCCAACACCTGTTCCTGTTTCAGATAAAGACCAGAGAGAGGTATGTGTACGTATCTAAGAGTGAGCACAACCAAAGCTGTATAAAACCTTCATGGAGGAAATTACAGAACATTACTGTTGGATATAATAGACATGAATAGAAGAATATACCAGCTTTGATAATGTGATACCTCTATTTAAGATGTTATTTCTCTCTAAATTAATTCATTACATATCAAATTAAAATACCAATAAGGGCTGGGCGCAATGGCTCACGCCCATAATCCCAGCACTTTGGGAGGCCGAGGTGGGCAGATCGCTTGAGTCCAGGAGTTTGACACCAGCCTGGGCAACATGGCGAAACCCTGTATCTACTAAAAATACAAAAAAATTAGCTGGGCGTGGTAATGCCTATCTGTAGTCCTAGCTACTTGGGGCTGATGAAGGAGGATTGCTTCAGCCTGGGAGGTCGATGATGCTGCAATGAGCCCTGGTCCAGCCTAGGCGACGGAGTGAAACTCTGTCTAAAAATAAATAAATAAATAAATAAATAAATAAATAAATAAAGTAATCCCAGTAAGTTTCTTGTGAAGACCGAAGGTAAGTGAACCTAAAATTCACAAAGAAAATCAAAGGGCCAGGAGTAGCCAAGACAATCTTGAAGAGCAAGGTAGGGACCTTGCCACTTTAGATATAGATGCCAAGCCCTAGAAATTAAGAGACTGTGGTCGTGATACAGAGATAGACAAAAAGACCAGTGGAACAGCATGGAGAATCCAAAAACATATATAGAAATGCAATATGCAGTGAAAGTAACATTATAAATCATCAGGGACGTATGGAATGCTAATTGCTGCTTTGATCATTAATTATATGGAAAATGAAATTGTATTTATAACTTCACACTATCCACAAAGATAAATTCTGGTGAATAAATTCAGAAAGCAGATCTTAAATTTATTAGAAAATATAAGAAATAATAAAATACTTAGCTGCTGTTAAAATGTAAAAAGCACATGTATCTTCATGTATAAATCTTAGAAATAGTGTAACATTGAGGATAAAATCAATTTGTATGGTTATGATAAAGTACCACTCATACAAAATGAAAAGCATGAAATGATACAGTTTTTTATAAAACATGAAAACATGCATGGTAATATACATCACATTCAAGATAATGTTTGCTTCTTTTATTAATTTTTTTTTTTAATTTGAGACGATGTTTCACTCTTGCTCAGGCTGGAGTGCAGTGGTGTGATCACAGCTCATTGCAGCCTTGACTCCCTGGGCTCAAGTGATCCTCCCACCTCAGCCTTCCAAGTAGCTGGGACTACAGGCATGTGCTACCGTGCCTGGCTAATTTTTGTATTTTTTGTAGAGAGAGCCATGTTGCCCAGGCTGGTCTTAAACTCCTGAGCTCAGGCAGTCCTCCTGCCTCGGCCTCCCAAAGTGCTGGGATTACAGGCATTAAGCCACCGTGCCCGGCCAGCGTTTCCTTCTGGAAATCGTAGAGGGATGTGATTAGTGAGGGATATGTGCAGGCTACAACTGTAACTAAAGTTTTATATTTTTAAATAAAAATGTTTTAAAGCAACATGTGACAAAACATTAACACCAAATGAATATCAAACAACAAAGAAATAGTTGAAGAAATTGTGGCATCTATATACTATGAAATATTTTTCAGCCATTAAAAAGAAGGAGTTGTAGCTAGGTCATTTTTATGGAGGGACTTTCAAGAATTATTAAGTGAAGAGAACAAGACACAGAAATATGTTTATAAAATCATCTCAGTTTTATAATGTAGTAATATATAATGAGCATATATTATATATGCTTGTGTATGACCAAAATATGAACATGAAAAAATATGGAAAGATTCATTCTAGGCTGTTAACATGAGAGATAACAGTCATGGGAGTGAGATGATAAAGAAAGAAGAGAAGGAGGACAGAATAGGGAGTCAAAAAACATAGAAAAAGAAAATGCATTACCCAGCATGCATGCTATGATTTTGTTTATGTACTTAGGCAAATTTTTATACATATTTTTAGGAGGACTGTAGAATCACTTTAAAGAGTGAGAGTTAACCTAATTTACTATATTTGACTGGAGACTGTGATAGAAACAGATTTAGCAGAAAGTCCCTCAAAGAAAGAGTTACTCAGTGCTGTATTCTGTTGCTAGATTATTTAAACAAATAACGTAATCAAATCAAAATGATGCTTTTCAGTTTTTCTCTCTTCATATTTAGTAACATAATGGACCCTAATTTCAATGAGTTTTTCTTTTTAAATAATGATAGATATAAAATACTCACAATGTGCTAGGTGATATAAAATAGCAGTTAATAAAAAGTACTTGGCCAGGCGCAGTGGCTCACGCCTGTAATCCCAGCACTTTGGGAGGCCGAGGTGGGCGGATCACAATGTCAGGAGATCGAGACCATCCTGGCTAACACGGTGAAACCCCCTCTCTACTAAAAATACAAAAAATTAGCTGGGCGTGATGGCGGGCACCTGTAGCTTCAGCTACTCGGGAGGCTGAGGCAGGAGAATGATGTGAACCCAGGAGGTGGAGCTTGCAGTGAGCTGAGATTGCTGCCACTGCACTCCAGCCTGGGCAACAGAGCGAGACTCCATCTCAAAAAAAAAAAAAAAAAAAGATAATAAAAAAATTAAAAAGTACTCATTTTAATATTTTATGAAATAGAGCATTTTGGCAGAGAAACTTTAGCTCTTTCTTTCTCTCTCTTTCTTCAACTTGGGAAAGAATAAGGAATAAATCTTTATCTTTTTTTTTTCCTCTTCTGGCCAAGACCTAAATACCAGCATTTCATGATAATGGATAAGTTATCTTTGAAATTTTCCTTTTTTCTTTCAGTGTGCAGGATGACAGAATTCGAGTCGAAAGGATGGATAACATTTATTTTGAATACAGCCATGCTTTCCAGGCAGTTACAGAGTTTTATGCAAAAGATACAGTTGACATCAAAGGTAAATATTTTCCCTGTATGTCCTCAAGTTGAACTGATTTGAAATTTGGATAAAGGTATTAGTATGATTCTCAATTTAATGATGACTAGGTAGTTATTATAAATATGTGGGAGAAGAAGAGCTCACTGTTGTTGTGCTCATCAGAAACACTATTGTACTGCAGTCCCAGCTACTGGTTAGACTGAGGTAGGGGAGGATCGCCTGAGCCCAGGAGTTCGAGGCAGCAATGAGCTATTATCATGCCATTGCAGTCCAGCCGGGGCAACAAAGCGAGATCCTGTCTGTTAAAAAACAAAAAGAACCATTGCAGCCTCTTTTGAAATTATGACCAGCTAGTAAGTTGATGGTTTTGACATATTCATCAGAGTGGAAGGAGTTTTGACCATCTTTCCTTTTTGCTTATCTTTAAAGATGGCTCATTAGTATCTTTGTATTTTATAGACTGTTTGGATGATAAATATTCTGATGAAGACTAGCATTTTGAAAGGTTGGTTGCCAAAATTAAAACACCAGAATCTAGTGACAGGTCGAAATATTTTAGGTAATCATTATTTGTCTAATTCACATGTCCACAATCAGGCATTAATGTTTACTTTCATTTGTACCTCACATTCCTGCCAGTCCAGCTTATGTTAGGGTCCATTTTGTGGATGGTGAGGTGAATAGACATTTTCCCTCTTGGCATAAACTTGGCTTCACTCTAATCTTCATCCTACTCCATATGGAGGAAATTTATCTCTGTCACATGCTAGAGAGTGTTCATCATCAGCTCCCCATCACTGCTCCATTTAAGCATCAGTGTCTAGTTAGCATTTCCTTGCATCTAGGCATCAGTGTCTTGTTAGCATGTCTCTTTAATTTCATGATGCCTTGGTCAAATAAAGTGTCTGAGCGTGTATCCCACTTCTTTTTATTTTTTTCTGTAAGGTCTCACTCTGTCACCCAGGCCGGAGTACAGTGGTGCAATCTTAGCCCACTGCAACCTCTGTCTCTTGGACTCAAGCAGTCCTCCCACGTCAGCCTCCCAAGTAGCTGAGACTACAGGCGTGCGCCACCACACCCAGCTAATTTTTGTATTTTTTTTGTAGAGGTGGGGTTTTGCCATGTTGCCTAGGCTGGTCTTGAACTCCTGGGCTCAAACGATCCTCCCACCTCAGTCTGCCAAAGTTGCTGGGATTACAGGCATGAGCCACTGCGCCCAGCCAAGTGTATCCCACTTCTAACACCAGTGTTCAGTATTACCGAGAGGTCATCTTATGTTCAACTAAAGACCTGATAAATCTTAAGACTACCATGACCTATCCGTGGTACCAGATTTACTTAAAAGATATGGGCCAGAAAACACACCTTACAAGCAGAGCATGTGTTGCTCTTAGTGGGATAGTCCTCACAGCAGACTTTGTGGCAGTGCCCGGGAGAGTGTATGAAGGAAGGAGACTCACATCAAGTGAGCGTAAGCGCCACCCTGGCTTAGAAGCTCCAGGCCCTTGAGGAGCCTGTATTTCTTGCTGCAGTCTCTACAAAAGACACGCCAGTTGACAAAAGTCAACGCACTAAGGGAAGGCCAAAACTCTGTAGTCAGGTATTTATAATTCTTCTCAGTCCAGATGTAATTTACTGATATTTGGTCATTTTTACCACAGGCAGTGCTACTTCTAACACATTGATACACCATCTTTGTCATGTTTTCTGGGGAAGAAAGCTAGAAAGTTAAAAGAAAATCAATTTCTCAGTGGAACGGAAAGGTGTTGTTAGCACTTCATTTACACTCTGGTTTTATAAACACCTATAGTTAAAATTAATAAGATATTTTACTGATTTGTAGAGAACATCTTGTAATATATGTTTTTTTACTTCTAAAAGTAATTAATGCTTATTGCAAGAAAGTCAAACAGTGTAGTCGTATATAAGGAAAAAAGTAAAGTGCCTGCCCTCAAACTTGTCCTCTGCCCTTGCAGCTTATATGTCGGAGGGGTTATCATTAACAATTTGGCATATATCCTTGTGTAAAACTCCACACATACACACATAAACATACACATATAGTTCTCTGTATTTGTTTAACATAACTGGGATTTATTCGTTCAGCTAATTTTTTGAATGCCTATTATATGCCAGGCATTGGGCATACAATAAGGAATAAAACAGACAAAAATTCCTGCTCTTTTGGAGTTTACATTCTAATGGTGAGAGATGTACAATAAAGTAAACTAGTGTGTTAGAAGGTGATAAGTGCTATGAAAAAAATAAGGCAGGGGAGTGGGTTGAACTTTTAAATAGGATGGTAAAGGAAGGCCTCACTGAGAAACAGCACTTGAACGAAGATTTGAATAGAGACTGAAGGAGTTAAGGAAAAGAGCCATATAGACATATGAAGGAACAGTATTTCAAGCAGAGACAACAGTAAGTACAAAATATCTTAAGTAGGAGAGTGCTTGGCATGTTTAAGGAATAGCAAGTAGTCTGTGTGCTGGAACAGAGTAACTGATGGGGAGAACATTAGGTGAGCTCAGAAATAAAGAGGAGATGGCAGGCAGTATAGGGTCACTTTAAGGGCTTTGACCTCTACTCTTAATGAGTTGGGGGATGTTGGAGGACTTTTGAGCAAAATAGTCTAATGATCTGATATACATTTTAAAAAGAATTCCTCTGGCTGCTCTGTTAAGAATACCCTGTAGGGTGCAAGGATGAAGCAGTGAGACCAGATGGAAAGCTGTTGCAGTGTTTGTGGTGAGACATGAAATTGATCAGACAACTTTTTTCCCTCACTTAGCAACATGTTATAGATGGCCTTCCATATCAGTGCAGATAATTGGAAGTCATTCCATTTAGTTGGTACATAATAACCAGGATTTACCCAACTTTATTTAAGTACTACGCTGTTAATGTTTATTTAGGTGGTCTCTAGTTTTTTTTTAATACTCCAAAAGATGTTTTAAGTCACCTTCTGGTACACACATCCTTGACATGCAGTTTGGAGTATTTCTAGACAAAGGGGATGGGCATTTTACATTTTGAAAAAACAACCTGTTCTTCAAAAAAGGTTCATTCCACCATCAGAAAAATGCCCTTTTTTTCCATGCCCTGGGTATTAGTAATGATTTACATTTTTCCAAAGGTCAATTTTAGGAGATATTGTCCAAATTATTATTTTGGTAACCATTAAGTTTTACTTAAAATTTGTGTTTAATAATGCTAACAAGTTAATGGTTCTGTTTATTACATTTTTTAATTTGATTAATTTAAAAGAATTTTTATAACAAGTTAATATATTCTGTTTTCTAGGTTCTCAAATTATTTCTGGCATTGTTAACTTAGAGAAGCCTGTGATTTGCTCTTTGGCTGCCATCATAAAATACCTCAAAGAATTCAACTTGGAAAAGATGCTCTCCAAACCTGAGTAAGTGATTCCTCCAAAATTAAAAAAAGGGGGAGCTTATATTATGAACATTTCTTAAATTGAATTTGGTAGTACTATACTTAGAGAAGCTTGCCTGCTATTGATAGAATACTAGGGTGCAAGGATGAGCTGTTTGGTATTGTTGCTGAAGAATATTAAAAATATATTGGCTGGGCACGGTGGCTCATGCCTGTAATCCCAGCACTTTGGGAGGCCGAGGCGGGCAGATCATGAGGTCAGGAGATCGAGACCATCCTGGCTAACATGGTGAAACCCCGTCTCTACTAAAAATACAAAAAATTAGCCGGGCGTGGTGGTGGGCGCCTGTAGTCCCAGCTACTAGGGAGGCTGAGACAGGAGAATGGCGTGAACCCAGGGAGGTGGAGCCTGCAGTCAGCCCAGATCCCACCACTGCACTCCAGCCTGGGCGACAGCGAGACTCCGTCCCAAAAAAAAAAAAAAAAATGTGTGTGTGTGTGTGTGTGTGTGTGTGTGTATATATATATATATATATAAAGAATTCTGTCAAATAAATTGTATTCATGATAGCTATTTGATATATTATAGTTTTGACTACAAAACTGTGCTTTATACTAACTGGACCCAGAAATAGTATTAAAAAGCATTCATAAAAATTTACCACCTTTCTTATTCTTGGTTTCAGTTCTTATTTCATAGACCATGAAGTTAGAGATAAAAGGGCCAGCTGCTAACACAGCTTTTTACAAGAGTGATTAACTGTGGATTTTGGAAATTTAAAAGCTCACAATTGACATTCTAGGAAAATACTAGTTTGATAACCATTGGAATAGAAAAAAGTAGTAGGGTACTTTCCTTGTCTTTTTATATTCCGCCTTCACCAGCCCCTTGTCTTTGGGTCTGTCAAGAATCACCCTCCATTATATTGATCCAGGGTGCATCAGCTCTGTCCCATTCTGCACAAGTGGGAGGGGAGATAGGTGCTATCTCAGCAAAATGACAGAATAGAAATTAACTAGGAAACAAGGAGGTGGTGCTGGTTCAAGGTTGCTGGAGAGAGTCAAAGAAAGGCAGGTTCCTTGGGGTTCTTTTTGTAATGTCTTTGATGTGCGTTCTCCCGTGTGGTACTAGAACAGAGTATCATTTCTCTGGAAGCAACTTTATCCTATTTAAAAGCAATCTAAATGCCCATCAGGGATCCTTGTGCTATATTCATGCAATGTAATGTTATATAGCAGTGAAAATGAATGAACTAGAGCTATTAATATATGACCAATGCTTAAAATTTCATGAACAGTATATTAAGCCAAAAATAAAGTTGCTGAAGGCCACGTAGTACATACCATTATATGAAGTTAGAAACATGTGAAATCGTACTCTGTACTGCTTAAGAATATATATGTAGTTAGAGAATAAGTGAAGACATGCAGGGGAGTGATAGAAAATTCAGAAGCAGGGTTTCTTCCAGGGGGAAGAAGGGAAAGTAGTAAAGGTTGGGGATGGACGTGGCATAGTGGAGTTCTAACTGATGTTTCATTTCTGAATGTGGGTATTGTATTAATCTATACATTTTTTAGTGTGGCCAAAATGTTTTATTTTAAAAAGTGTCAGCCCGGCATTATACCCTCATTGGATTCTACTTTAAGCTCCAAAAATAAACTTATTAAAGAGATCAATCTGTATGGTTGGTTGTGTTGGGGCTTTGTAAAAAAAGGGGTGACAAGATACCTACCAGTTTGACTTGTTCATGATAGGGACCCTGTAAGTGAGGTACAATTAGTGATAAATAGCTTGCCCATTAAGACTTGTGTTTGTGTTCCTGTATCACCAAGCAAAGAAGTATTAATGTTGGGATAAGGAAACTAACTTAGAAATCAGGCCCTGATGTGTTTAGAAGCAAATGAATTTGGACCTGGAAAGATGTGTCCTCCTCATATATATATATATATATTTTTTTTTTTTTCTTTTTTTTTTTTTAGATGGAGTCTTGTTCTGTTGCCCAGGCTGGAGTATAGTGGTGCGATCTCAGCTCACTGCAACTTCCGCCTCCTGGGTTCAAGCAATTCTCCTGCCTCCACCTCCCAAGTAGCTGGGATTACAGGTGCACGCCACCGCGCCCAGCTAATTTTTTGTATTTTTAGTAGAGACAGGGTTTCACCATGTTGGCCAGGCTGGTCTTAAACTCCTGGCCTCAAGTGATCTGCCCACTTGGCCTCCCAAAGTGCTGGGATTACAGGTGTGAGCCACCGTGTCCGGCCTGTCTTCCTCATATTTAATTCGAAATAAGAATAATACCAAACAATAAAACAAGATGTCTATATATACTGAAATTAAAATAGATTCTTTTCAAATTACCTGAAGTAACCTCTTGATAAACTGAAGCTGAACTTTTTGCATCTCATAATTGATGGTGGAGGATGGTCAGGAAACTGGCTCTGCTAGTGACTTAGTGTATCATCTAATCTACCTGTTGGGTACTTCCATGGAGCCAAAGCCAAAAGACATAAAGTGCTCTGCTTTGTATATATTCCCAGCATCCAGCATAAGCCCAGCACCTAGTAGGCTTTTATTATATATTATTATATATAGTATTAATATAGGATTAATGAAAGAAGGAAGGAATTCTTCATTCTGTGAGGGTATATTTCATTGGAAATTGCCAAAAGGTCATTGGAAACCAAGATTAATAAAGATAGTGATCAAACTGGTACTCTAGTTTTGCTTAAAAACGAAATGTGGTGTTCATGAGTGGCATGTAATTTGAAGATCATTCTAAAAGAGTAATTCTGTAGTGCTTATATTTTGCAAAAATAATGTTGCTTCTTAAGGTGATTACTTTGGAAAAATGAATATTCTCCTTGTAGATGAAAAATTCAGTTGCATTATTTTATAAACATACTTTATGCTGCTGAAGTTTTGGACTTTTATTTACAAAGCTATGTTATCAAGGGGAAAATAAATTTCACTTGAGTTGACTTGTTTAGTAAATGCTTTCACAAACGTTGCTGCATATTTCATAAAAATCATGATATACGTTTATTTAAAGGTCCTTGTGCCATTAGAATAGAATTTTAGATAGTTTGAGAAAATATACCATTTCAGAAATTATTCTTAAGGATGATTTAAGTGAAGTTTTGTTAAGACACACTTGAGGTTCTAAAGTTATTTTGAGAGTTTAAGTTTGTTTCAAAGAAAAATAGTGTAACAAAATAAATAGAATGTGAGGGATATTATTTATTATAACAGAATTAACCTGATGCCTAAATTTATGAAATTCAGAGGAATCCACTTTTTGTTGTTAGAAATGAATGCTTTTGTCATTTTGGATGGTTTTTATTAAGATTGGAGTGGTCACAACTTCAAAAAGATATTGGAAATTTTAGGAAAGAGTGAGAAAATCCACCCAAGATAAACTGTAAAACCTTTTTTTTAAAAGAAAACTTCTTATGATAACAGAATGATAACATGTGGTGATTACCTTTACTTACTAGTGAAAGAAATAGCTTAATATATAAGCTACTCTCATGACATCTAATGGCTAGCAGCCAGGGATGCTGCTAAACATCCTAAAATGCACAGGATATTTCCCTAAAAAACACATTATTTGGCTCCAAATTTCAACACTCCAAAACCAAACAAATATATTACAGGAAAAGAAACTACAGACCAGTATCTTTTGATTATAGGCACAAAAATCCTCAATGAAATATAAGTACATGGAATCAGGAATATAAAAACGATTGTACTCCATGACTATTGGATTTATTTCGGGTATACTGGCTTGGTTTAAAAATCTGGAAGCCAATCAATGTAATCTACCTTATCAAAAACTACATGATAGTCTCAATAGACAGGAAAAACTCTGCATAAGATTCAACACCCCTTCATGATAAAAAACGCTCAAAAAACTACAACTAACGTGGAACTTTCTTGACCTGACAAAGGACATTTATGAAAACCTCACAGACATTAAACCTGTCTGTTGTTGTTAAGATGCAGTATTGCTCAGATCAGTCTCTAAGTTCAGTGCAATTTGTATCAAATCCCAGCTGGCTTCCTTGGAGAAATTGACAAGCTGATCCTAAAATTCATAGGATTCATATCTCTGTTTCAAAACTTACTACAAAGTGAGTAATCAAGACAGTGTGGAGGGTGGGATTAAAAAAAGACAGTGTGGAATTGGCATAAGCACAGACATGTGATCAATGTGATAGAATTCAGAGTCTGGAAATAAACTTATGGTCATTTGATTACTGACAGGGGTGTTAAGACAATTCAGTGGAGAAAGAATAGATTTTTTTCAAACAAATGGTGCCAAGATAACTGTCTGTGCAAGAGAATGAAGTTGGACCCTTACTTCATGTCATATTTGAGTTTGGAAGATAAAATGGACCAAAGACCTGATATGAGTTAACACTGTTATACTCTTAGAAGAAAACATAGGTGTAAATCTTTGTAACCTTGAATGAGGCAATGATTTCTTAACTATGACATCAAAAACACAAGTGAGAAAAGCAAAAATAGATACATTGGACTTCATCAAAGTAAAAGCTTTTATTCTTCAAAGAACACCATCAAGAAAGTGAAAAGACAATCCACTGAATAGAAGAATTTTTGTAAATCATATATCCAGTAAGGGACTTGTATCTAGAATATATATATATATATAAACTCTTACAAGTCAATGGTAAAAAGATAACTCAGAAAATGGACAAATGATCCATACAGGTTTTTCTCCAAAGGATATATGCAAACAACCAAGAAGCACGTGAAAATATGCTCAACATCATTAAGCATCAGGTAAATTCAAATCAATGCCACAGTTAGATAACACTTCATACTCACTAGGATGGCTATAACTAGGAAAAAAAAAGGTGTTGGCTGGGATGCAGACAACTTGAAATCCTCATACATTGCCAATAGGACTATAAAATGGTACAGCCATTTTGGAAAACAGTCTGGTAGTACCTCATGACATTCACTGTGTGATCCAGCAATTCCACTAGATGTTACTTAAGACAAGGAAAATATGATGTCCACATAAAAACTTATACAAATGTTCATAAGAGCATTAGTCACAATAGCCAAAAAGTAGAAACAACTCTAATGTCCATCAACTGAAGAATGGATACCTAAAATGTGTTATATGCATACAATAGAAGATTTTTCAACCATAAAAAGGAATGAAGTACAGATACATGTTGCAACATGATGAACCTTGAAAATATTATGGTAGTTGAAAGACATCAGTCACAAAAAGTCTCGTTTTGTCTGATTCCATTTATATGAAATGTCCAGAATAGGCAAATCCATAGAGAGAAAGTAGATTAGTGGTTGCCTAGGGCTCTTGGGTTGTTGGGGGGAATGGAGAGTGATTGCTAATGAGTATAGAGTTTCTTTTTGGAGTGATAGTATCTAGAATTACATGGTGGTGATGGTTGGCCAATTTTAATATACTAAATACCACTTAATTGCACACTCCAAGTGGGTGAATTGCATAGTGTGTGAATTATATCAATAAAGTTGATAGACACATACACACTTATCTTTTAAATGTCAGTAGTGCTGAGATTGAAAAATCTTTGTCTCTGTCTATTTTAATTCTGTTCTTAAGGCAATATCCTTCTGAGGCTTATAACCAATGCCTCATGTATTTTGAGGTATTTCTACTCTGGTTGGAGAGTGTTCCAAGCCCTTTGTGAACTCTGGTCACTGTTCACTACTATTTTCTGGTAGTTATTTCCATGGTCCCACAGAGGTCCCTAAACGCCTTTGAGGACTGGTACTTGGCCAAGAGTTGAGGTGACCCTTCAGCAGATCTCTGGAGCTGTATGTGCAGCTCTGTTATCTGGCATTCTGTCTCACAAATTCTAGTTTCCCTGCGCCCACCAAAGAGGCAGTCATGTTGTTTACCTCATTTGTTTTTCCTCTCTCAGGGTCACGGTTCTGCACCAAGTGTTGTCCAATACCTGAGAAGTTTTCCCCCTCATGTGTTTTGTCCAGTTTTCTTATTGTTTATGATTGGAGGACATTTCTCATGCAGTTACTTTTTTATGAATGAAAGCAGAGGTCAGGTGGCACAATTGAACACTGCACAGAAAGAAGAGAAGAGGGAGGCTGGAGAAAAACATTCTATGAAGTTTAAAACATGATTACCGGCCAGGTGTGGTGGCTTATGCCTGTAATCTCAGCACTTTGGGAGGGTGAGGTGGGCAGATCACCTGAGGTCAGGAATTCGAGACCAGCCTTGCCAACATGGCGAAACCCCGTCTCTACTGAAAATACAAAAATTAGCCGGGCATGGTGGCAGGTGCCTGTAATCCTAGCTACTTGAGAGGCTGAGGCAGGAGAATGGCATGAACCTAGGAGGCGGAGGTTCCAGTGAGCCAAGATCATGCCACTGCACTCCAGCCTCGGTGACAGTGAGACTTCATCTCAAAAAAAAAAAAAAAAAAAAAAAGTTGAGCACAGTGGCTCAACGCCTGTAATCCCAGCGCTTTGGGAGGTCAAGGCCTTCGGATTGCCTGAGATCAGGAGTCCGAGACCAGCCTGGGTAACACGATGAAACCCCATCTCTACTAAAATACAAAAAAAGCAGCCACACTGGTGGCGGGCACCTGTAGTCCCAGCCACTCACTCTGGAGGCTGAGGCAGGAGAATTGCTTGAACCCAGGAGGTGGAGGTTGCAGTGAGCCGACATCGTACCACTGCACTCAAGCCTGGGCGACAGAGCGAGACTCCATCTCCAAAAAACAAAACCAAAAAAGAACAGAAGAGCGAGATGTATGAAGTTAGAAAAACTGTCCTAAAAATTGCCCGTGTTCTAAAACTTCAGGAAAATTAATCTTCACTTAAAAATTAGCAATGGGAAAAGAACCAAATTCAAATTTCTTACAAAATTATTATGAGAAAAAAGAGAATAAGGAGTAGGATGTCATTACAGATAATGTATACATGCCAGAAAATCATGGTCACAGATTAAATAAAAATGACAATCTGGCTGGGCGCAGTGGCTCACGCCTGTAATCCCAACACTTGTGGGAGGCTGAGGTGGGCAGATCACCTGAGGTCAGGAGTTCAAGACCAGCCTGGCCAACATGGTGAAATTCCATCTTTCCAAAAATACAAAAAATTAGCTGGGCATGATGGCGGGTGCCTGTAATCCCAGCTACTCAGGAGGCTGAGGCGGGAGAATTGCTTGAAACTGGGAGGCGGAGGTTGCAGTGAGCCGAGATCGCGCCATTGCACTCCAACCTGGGTGACTGAGCGAGACTCCGTCCCTCACCCACCCACCCCCCTAAAAAAGAAAAACTACTGTTTTAAAATGAGCTAAAAGACACTAAGAAAATGATACTAGATGTGAAAGAACATAACTAAGAAGTATGAAAGATTGGAAATGAGGTGATAGGATTTAAGACAGAAGTATAAAGAAAAAGATCAATTTAGGACTGAAGCGTAAACTTGAAAGAACATAATAGCGAATAAATGTAATACATATAGTTTTAGAGTAGAATTTAAAAAGAGGGATGTGCAAAAAATTAACATAGCAGGCCTAATCACAAAGCTTTCCTTAGAAAGGCCTTCCTGCAAGCTTGGCCCTTGACTGGAGTCTGGGACCTTGAATTTCGGGAGAGTTTTCACCATTTCGTGATGAGAGTGGCTCACTGTGCCTTAACTGTTTGTGCACACAGTGTGGTTTATGCTGATCACCTACCTTCTTGGAGCTGGAATTTTGGTACATGGTAGGGAGATGGTGCCTATGGGACCAGTCCGGCATAGAAACCATGGGTGCTGAGTCTCTAATGAGTTCCCTGGTGGACAGCATTTCACACGTGTTGTTACAATTCATTGCTGGGGAAATTTAAGTGCATCCTGTGTGACTCCGCCTGGAGAGGATTCTTGGATGCCCGGTTCCCCCTGGACTTTGCCTCAGGCACCTTTTCCTTTGCCTGATTTTGCTTTGCATTCTTTCACTGTAGTAAGTCATAGCTGTTAGTATTACTCTATGTCGAGTCCTGTGTATATACCATGAGTCATTGAACCTGGCAGTGGTCTTGTAGACTCAACATACACCTTTCCCATTATTTGCCTTTCTAATGGGCTTATTGGCAGGATTTAGAAATGCAAAGTTAGTCATGTTGTTTAATTACAGATCAATTATAAGTGAATCTACAACCCTGAAGTTTTGTAATATAGTACAATTTATATTTTATAAATCAAATTAACTGCCAAAAAGTTAGACAAGTGATGAATTTATGAACTCTGAAAGCTGTACACACAGAAATGTTTTCAGCAATAGATTTCATGTGTTATATGGTAGTTTTTGTCATTGTTTCCATTTTAAAATGATATTTAAATAAGTTCTGTACCCTTGTTGCCTTTGTCTGTCTTTTTTTTAAGCAGGGTTAGAGTAATATGGAGTTGATTTCTCTGTCCAGCTTTTGACAAAGATGTTTCCCTCCCACTATTGAGGGAAAAAAAGCATCTATTGTATTTTTGGTGTCTGAAATATTGATAAAACTATTTTCCCATGTTATATATAAGATTTCTATGCAGGTTCACAAAGCATGAATTCTAGCCAGATGTTGTTGGTGAGTTTCATTTCAAAGCACATAGAATTTGTCTTCTTCTACAATGGTAAATAATTTAGAATTGCTTGAGTGTTTCAGGTCAGTGATCGGATACTATTGGATACCTTAGGATGCTGGTAGATATAACCCTTAGTTCAAAAATATATATAATTCTAATGGAAATAGGTGCTAACAGAAGGAAATTGCATTTCTATTGGGAAGGAAGACTCCAACTCCAGAATACGTATAAATTTATACTTATAAATACTTACGAAATATATGGGAACTCCAGAAGCATGGTTAGTCCTTGTAGTTGCTTGATAATTATTCTAGATGGGAATCAATCTGATTTAAGATTGCCCAGTGGTTGATCTTTTATTAAAATCAATGTAGATATCAGTTTAAAAAAACTCTTAGTGCATCTGATTTGAACTTTAGATTACTTGTTTAGTAAGGACAAAAAGAAAAAACAAAAACACACACAGCAAAAAGAAAAGACAAAAACACCCATAACCAACCAAATAAAAAACCACACACACAACACATTAATACTTACGTTAATACCATTGATTAAAATAACCTATACCTTTGCTCTCTAAAGGTCTGGGGTTGTGAGCTAACTTAAAAACCAGCTTGGTTGTTCACAGTTACTGGTTTCCTTTTGATATTGCAGATATTTGGTAATTATATGTAGATGAAGGCTGTAAGCCTTCTACCCCACCCCCTGTATACCAGGTAGTGGGTTAATTCAAACTGAATTCTGCCACTCATTTAGATACTTTTTAGCAAGCAGGCACAAAAACAGTCATGTAAACTCTTCTCTAGCTCTATGAAATTACAATTCTGTCTTTTTGGTATTCCGACAGTACCTTGTTTCAGTGGTTCACTTGAGGCATGTGCAACATTATAATAGGGACAGTTCACTTTTAGTTGGAGTCAGGGAACAAACCCTGAGATAATTGGTAGAACAGGGGATGCTTTCAGAATCCGAAGCCTAAAACACCATCCCTTAGGGTATGGACTGTTGGATTTATAGGATTATTATACCCTGTTCATATGAGGGAGGAGGCAACTGGGCAGTATTTCTGGACAGCCCACAAACTGCCATACCACCGTGAAAAATTATGTCTTACACATCTGTTGTTGACAGAAGATAAAGGCAGTGAGCTGAGATGCTTTTAGGAAAGGCTGCTAGATTGTGGTTTCTTGATTAGTCTCATGCCAACTGTTATGGCCTGGATGTTTGTGCCCTTCAAAATTCACATGTTGAAACCTAATGACTACTGTGGATATATTAAGAAGGGGCCTTTTACTAAGTGATTAGGTTATGAGGGCAGATCGTTTGTAAATGGGATTAATGCCCTTATATTAATAGAAAAGACTTAAAGGAACTGTTTGTCCCTCCTCCATGTGAAGACACACAGAAGGTGCCATCTATGGGGACTGAGCCCTCACTAGACACCAAATCTGCTGGCACCTTGATTTTGGACTTGACAGCCTCCAGAACTCTGAGCAATAAACTTCTGTTTACAAACTGCCCATTCTGAGGTATTCTGTTATAACCCAAATAAACAAAGATGCCAGCTAAGCACCGTTCTAGAGTCGACGTCTGATTAGGGCACTAACATGTTAACTAGTCACCCCTAGGATGGACTTAGTTAAACCTAATTGTCAGAACAGCGGAAGTAAGGACTCATATCTAAACACATAGGTAACTGGTTAGATACCAACTCAGAGCCCAGGCTATCAGCCAAACTTCCAACTTAGATCTTTGACCATGAATTCATGTGAACTCTTGTCAGCTACATAGCCAATCACTGCCTAATTGTTTCTTCCTGTAAATAATGTTTTACATTTTATAACTGTCTGGCTATTTCACAGACATTTCTGGAGCTTTGTGATTCAAAGGGAAAAATATAAACCCAACCTGGTTTTCCCTAGGAAGATGGCAGATATTTGTAGACCCTCTACTGTCTGCTAAGCTGTACAGGTGGTACAAAATGATTGCCTTCAGGGAGCTTAGATCTATTAAGGAGGGTAGAGGCACAACATAAATTGCTGTAATTCAAGACAAATTAAGTTAACTGCTACCAGAGGGAGAGAAAGGGCTGAACACTTGCTATCCTTTCAGTTTTGGAGTTGCTTCCCGCTGAAAATCATTAACAGATTATCGTTCTTTGGAAGCTAGATCAAACCTGTCACAGATACATTACACTACCAAAGGACAGCATTGAGTTACTAGGCAACGTTCCTAATTTGAGGTAAAGTATTTCTCTTTTCCAGGGCTTTGGGGCCTTAGTCAAAGGAGTCATCTAGAAGTGAAGGAATCTCTTTTTGGGTACTGGTTTTTCGGGCTCTGATATTAGGTTCTCTAAAGTTCTGGGTGAGGGCTTGTTTTCTTAACTCGGGAAACTGGATGTTACCTAAATTTCATTATAGCTATGAGAAGGGTGGTTAGGTTTATAGCACAAACACTTATGCCTTTCTTTTGTTAAATAATTTAGTGACCTGCTGTTATTTTCCTTGCCTTTAAAAATAAGCTCTCAAGCCTGTAAGGGCTGTTGACAGAAACATCTAAGGACTGGCTGATAAAGGATATTGAATTACTGCATTAGTACTGCATTGATTAGTACTTCTTAACACGAATTGGAATTGTACATACATTTATTAGTCATGCTGTAGCTCATTCTCAAATCTTTTTGAAATTTATTGAACTTCTAATTTTGTTTTGGATAGATACTGAGACAATAAGGAGAGTGTGAATGCTTTAACTCAGTTTAAGGAAATAACAGTGTTTTATACCCACTAAATTTGGCCATGGTAATGTGTGTTTTTTTTCTTTTCTCTTTTTTTTTTTTTTGGAGACGGAGTCACACTCTGTCACCCGGGCTGGAGTGCAGTGGCACAATCTTGGCTCACTGCAACCTCCGCCTCCCGGGTTCAAGCGATTCTCCTGCCTCAGCCTCCTGAGTTGCTGGGACTACAGGCGTGCGCCACTACACCCATCTAATTTTTGTATTTTTAGTAGAGACGGGGTTTCATCATGTTGGTTGGCCAGGATGGTCTCCATCTCTTGACCTCGTGATCCACCCACCTTGGCCTCCCAAAGTGGTGGGATTACAGGCGTGAGCCACTGTGCCTGGCCGCATGTGTGTTGTTAATTACAGAGTAAATAACACTTGTTGCATATGTTAGAATCTTTTTTTTTTTTTTTTGCCGAGGCGTAGTCTCACTCTGTTGCCCAGGTTGGAGTGCAGTGGCGTGATCTCAGCTCACTGCAATCTCCGCCTCCCTGGTTCAAGTGATTCTTGTGCTTCAGCCTCCCGAGTACCTGGGACTACAGGTTCGTGCCACCATGCCTGGCTAATTTTTATGTTTTTTAGTAGAGACGAGGTTTTGCCGTGTTGGCCAGGCTGGTTTCGAACTCCTCACCTCAGGTGATCCGCCTGCCTCAGCCTCCCAAAGTGCTGGGATTACAGGTGTGAGCCACTGCACCTGGCCTAGAATCTTGATTAAAAGTATTTATCAAGATGATCTCATGCTAAAGAATAAGGAGGACAGTTTTAAGTATCTTGACATATTTTTCTAGCTGATTACACAGCTTTTCATGAAGATGTGGCTACTGTGCTTGGCTAATGATAAAAGACCATGTTTGGTTCTATTCCTAGAGCAAAACCAAAACAAAATGTTGTTACCATTACTTCCCTTTCCTGTTCTTGTTTTTTTTTTGTTAGAGTAACTATCTTTGTCTTGCATCAATCTACTTAACAGCACCAGCGTTAATGGACTACAACAGCCTGATGAATTTTCATTTTGCTCCTTTTGTTTGATTTTCTATCAGAATGCTAATTTTTGCCATAATGTAGCTGGCATGTTTCTAGTTCCTGAATTAGTTTTTTATTTCTTTATGCACTTACATCTAGGCTAATTATATTTGATTCTTTTACAGGAATTTTAAACAGCTATCAAGTAAAATGGAATTTATGACAATTAATGGAACAACATTAAGGAATCTGGAAATCCTACAGAATCAGGTCAGGCAAATACAAGGGCTAGTTGATTATAAATCGTTTTGGGAAAAACTTCTGAGTAAGGCAGCAGTCTGTTTTTAGAGGTACAGGTGAAAATATAGTGTCTTTAGCTGACTGCAGTATTAATTGATAACTGTAGCTCTTTTTGGAGAATGAACTGTACATAATATTTCTCTGGGTTTTTTGGGGGGAATGATGGAGCTGCCCTTTTTAATGACTGAGGGGCATGCTTATCCTGACAATTTCTGTAACATCATTTCTATATCATGTAGTTTTTTGGAAAGGCATCATCACTGAAAATATGAAGCGGATTTTTTTTGTCTACTTGGTTATATTTTTCTATACACCTTTAGCTTTTTCTTGAAATGTTTGCAGTCTTATTTAATTATTCAGGTTATAGGTTTCTGGGATATTCAGTTTGACTGTAAGATGCATAACATTTCAGTTTGCAAACTTTCTTTTTTTTTTTTTCTTCTTTGAGACAGAGTCTCGCTCTGTTGCCCAGGCTGGGTTGAGTGAAGTGATGCGATATTGGCTCACTGCAACCTCTGCCTCCCAGGTTCAAGCAATTCTCCTGCCTCAGCCTCCTAAGTAGCTGGGATTACAGGCACCTGCCACCACGCCTGGCTAATTTTTGTATTTTTAGTAGAGACAGGGTTTCGCCATATTGGCCAGGCTGGTCTCGAACTGTTGACCTCAGGTGATCCACCTGCCTCGGCCTCCCAAAATCCTAGGATTACAGGCGTAAGCAAACGCACCTGGCCTCAGTTCACAAACTTTCATTGTTTATTTGTCCTTTGTTGATGAATTAGGAAGATAACGGGGAGATTAAACTTATTGCTTTCATTTATTAAATTATCACTTGGGAAGATGAGACATTATATTATAAAATTAATGTTATCCTAACAAAGTAATAGAGATAAAAAGCAACCCCACGTCATTTGATTAAGTACTGGAGAATCATCTGAACCATCTGAGTCAAAGGAGTTAAAACTCTTCAGAAATATTTATTACTATTGCAAATTAAAGTAAACACTGAATTTATTCTCCTGACTCCTGAATCTGCATATTATTAACTAGTTTCTCTCAGTTTCTTCCTGTTCCAGTCTGTTCTAGTATGCTGAATTCAGATGTATTTTTGTTCAGTAACATTTTTATCTTGTCATCATCCAAAAGCTGAGAATCTGTCCTGCCGGTCTGTCTCGTCAACTCTGTAGCCATCTCCATGATAGGAAATAAGTAGTAGGAATAAAGAGACATTTCTCGGCTGAAGGAGTGCTGATAGCCTGCAGCCAGCCCTGGCATTGTAAGCGTTCCCTGCTTCTGCCGCATCTTCCCTGTTCAAATCCTACTACAACAGAGTCAGTTCTGAAATCAAATTCCTAAGGCAGAAATCATCTGGAATCAAAATACCCTTCAAAATTCCTTCCTTTATTGGACCTTGCACCATTTTAGAAGCCGAAGCTGAGATTAACATCTTCTGCTTGTCTTTGTACTTCAACTTCACCCCCACCGCCCCTCGCCCACCTTTCCAAGGAGCAATGGAAAGAGGTGCAGGGTAGGAGTTGGGTGTCAGCAAGAACAAGGATATAATAGGACACGTATCTGTCCCTCCTCTCTTGTCTGAGCCTGCTTCTCCAGGGGTGTCAGGGAATTGGCCTCCTCACGGGACCCTTTACCCCAGTCAGGCCAGTCAAGCTGTGGTCTCAGGAGCAGTGCTGCTGCTGATCTGAACTGCCCTCCTTAGCCTGTCCAGCCATCCTCAGAGGAACCTTTGTGACCTTGTACCTTCTCTGTGCTCTCTCCATTGAACTCCTGAGGCCTGAGAGCTTATGTCACACCTTTTCTAGTTGATTCCTGGCAGGTGGCATTGTATCCTAATTACGAGTCTTTTTCCAACTTGGCTATAAGCACCCTGAGGGTGGGACCATGTCCTTGCTATGTTCAGCACATAGGAGGTACTCTGGAAGTAGCTACTTACAGAGGAGAAGGAAAAAAGAAAGGATTAAAAAAACCCGGCCGGGCGCGGTGGCTCACGCCTGTAATCCCAGCACTTTGGGAGGCCGAGGCGGGCGGATCACGAGGTCAGGAGATCGAGACCATCCTGGCTAACACGGTGAAACCCCGTCTCTACTAAAAATACAAAAAATTAGCCGGGCGTGGTGGCGGGCGCCTGTAGTCCCAGCTACTCGGGAGGCTGAGGCAGGAGAATGGCGTGAACCCGGGAGGCGGAGCTTGCAGTGAGCCGAGATCGCGCCACTGCACTCCAGCCTGGGCGACAGAGCGAGACTCCGTCTCAAAAAAAAAAAAAAAAAAAAAAAAACCCAACTCAAGTGGAAACAGCCATTTTAGGTCTCAAGATTTAAATGTCTCAGTGGGCTTTGTACTACTGTGAAACCTTGGTTAAAATTAATTATGTCTAGTTAATTGTGATTTTTTTTTAAGGACCCAAATTTTAAGTGGCAAAAGCAAACTTTTCTAAGGATTTAGTAAAACAAACTAAAATAAAATCCTTCCTGGGTAAATACCTAGAGTGCAGTGCAAGTTCATGTCTATCTCCAGCACCTTGTTCAGTGTTGTCATGAGAGCATTGGTTTATAAAATGGTAACTGTGAAATACCAAAGGAAAATTAAGTCATCTTCCTATGTTGTATTTCCCAAGGTAGGAAAGTATGCAATTATATTTTAAAGATGCTTAGATAAAGCATCTTTATCATTTCAAAAGAATTTCTGAATAATTTATTCTTTGGTAACCAAAAACTATAAACGATCCCTTTTCTGTGTAAAATGTCAGTACTTCATTCTGTATGTATGTATTCATCTGTCAAACATTAAATGAACACCTGTTATGAGCCACATTGTGCTAGGTATATATGACATTTAGAATCGGGGTATATGAAATAACAATTTGGCACAAATAATTGTCTAGTTAATAAAACTTGTTTTCTGGTCTTTCTTAGACTGATATGAAAACCAAAGGAAGTTTGCTGTGGGTTTTAGACCACACTAAAACTTCATTTGGGAGACGGAAGTTAAAGAAGTGGGTGACCCAGCCACTCCTTAAATTAAGGTAAAAGGAATTCTTTTTGGGGTGTTTAATCTGAAATTATAAAATTTTGAAATTAAAGGCATTTTAAAACCAAGGTTACCATTGTTTTTAAGAACACAGTTTTAAATTGGAGAACATTTTATTTTAGAACTGAGCAATAGACTGGCTCTCTAGTATTACAAGGATTTTTTTCCTCATTCTCGTGAATGAGCCTGCCTGCAGATTGGCAGACATAGGGCGTTGTCCCAGGAAAGTGAGGATAGATGCCTTTTGTGGAGGGTTTTGAAGGCTAGACTGAGGAGTTGATAGCCAGAGGGAGTTCATTCAGTGATTCTGAGCATGGGGCTGATATCATCAGAGCTGGGCTTGTGTGTAGGAGGGGACTAAGTGGTAGTAGTGGTGGGATCAAGTTAGCAAGTTCATGGAGAGGTGCCCAGGACCTGAGCTACAGCAGTAATAGCAAGGAGTCCAAAAGAGGGGTTAGGTGTGAAATGCTTAGAAGAGTAGAGTGAGTAAAGTTGGAGCTCCCTAAGGGAAGATACTTGAATCCAGTGCCTAACATACAGTGATTTCCAAGGTTGTCTGCACATCGGAATCACCTGGGATGCTTCACAAAATACTCATGCCTGTGTCCAGCCCCCATAGATTGTGATTTAATTGGTCTCCAGCATGACCAGGGAGTTGAGATTTAAATTTTACCCAGATGATTCTGATATGCAGATAAATTTGGAGATTCTGACCTAGAACAGTGCCTGGCACTTAGTAGAAGCCCAGTTAATGTTTATTGAATGAAAATTGTTATTTATTGCACACTTTCTATTTACTGGTGTTTAATACTCAAAATCACCTTCTGAGATAGGTTCTTGAAATGAGGAAACAGATTCAGAGAGCTTCACTAACTTGCTTAGTGTTTCATAGCTGGTAGAGATAAATATAAGATTTAAAACCAGCATTGACTCCAGAGACCTTAGCAGGAACAAGCCATTATCCTGAATAGTTATACCTCTGGCTAGACCAGAGTGAATATGGTGTGATGGTGAAGAGAACCGCTATGTGTTGGCTCTGTCAGCTGAGTGAGTCACTCCCACTAATCCTCAGTGTTCTCACCTTTGACATGGTGGAACACCTCATCACAGCATTGCTGTAAGGAATAAAATTTTGAGCTCTTTATCTCACACCACACAGTATGCTAGGAGCTTTATGAGCATTGTCTCTTTTAAACTGCACAGCAGCCTCACTAAGCAGATGCTGTTATTAGCCCTGTGTTACTCTGTGATTAATAAATAGTCACTATTTTCAATAATGGATTGCAGATGTTAATGTTGGTCATAGGCTTGAAGACACTGTTATGGGTTTTGCTGTTGTTTTCTTCTTTTTCTTTTGCAAGTTTTTTTTTTTACAATGCCAACTTTAAAAGGTCACTAAAGTTAACTGGACAATAATCTAGGCAGACATCACTTTACAAAAAAGAGGGAAAGCCCAAAATGCCACCTTCTATAGAAAACGCACAGTACAGTTTTATTCAGAGCAAAGAAAAAAGAAACTTGATCATACTATGAGAAACTCAGCCATAGGTTTGGAATCCGTATTCACACCACACATTCACTGAGGACAATATTCTGCTCATACGATTGATTTGCTACTGCATTTCACTGCTGTTTGTCTGATATTAACAATTTTAAACAGAGCAGGGCAGCTAGTATTTGGAACAATCCTTACAGTGTGACGGCGTCAAGGACGTTTCACTTCTGTTCACACCGCTGGTTCGCTTGGCATACCTGGGTTTCCTCTTCTTCAGTAAAGTCATTTTTGATATTGGAAGTCTTGCGAATCTTCTCAGGACTTTTCTCCTTGATTGTATTGGCAACAGTCTTGTGTGTAACATCAAGCAAACCTTTGATGTCTAAGTAGTTTGCAGGCAGAAGTAGTACAAAAAGTATTCCTTGATCGACTTTCAGGAATTGTTGGTCCTAAGGAGGGATCTCCTCTGTTCGTTTTCTTTGTTCGCATCATCCTCGGGAGGAGGACGGCCATTTTTGTGGTGGGTACACCACCAAATGACCTTTTAAAAATATTGCTGCATTAACTTTGGTAGAGGAGCTGGGTCGTTATCTCCATCATCCATTCTCATATCTTCCAACATGGTCTTGATAGTCACAGATTGTTTGGCAATTTCCACATCAAATATCTCCGCATCAAAACTCAGCATCTTAATTGACGGCATGGTGTTTGAGCTTAAGGAGACCACTGGCCAGAGGCTCATGAGAGCAGGGCGACATCAGCAAAGAAGAGGAAGGCAGAGGACAAGGACACTCAAGACATGGTTTGGATGATGATAATTACCAAATCTTTTCAGATTTAGTGGGTCACTCCGATTTCTTTTCTTAGCCATAAAGACCTTAAGACATGGGAAACTGATGAGGTAAAGAAGAAATCCTGAAAATGGAAATATCTTCTTTAGTTCAGCATTCTAATGAAATAAGCAGACCTTGTAGAGCAGACGCAGACAAGATGGCTTTCTGTGGACAACAGTGTAAGGGATGCAGCATTGTGGCTGCTGGAAAGGCTGCCTAAACATCTACTACAATTCTTACTGTGTTTTTGCTTACATGTTACAGCAGAAACAGACTCACTAGCAGACTTTTCCATGTAAATTAAAATTCTTCATTTCCAATGTTAAATTTCCTTTTTTTTTGTGTACCCAGGATTAATTTGAGATAAATCTAGTAGACCATGTTGTCTGTTGTTAGGCGCCGAATCATGTATCTCTGGGGATCCTACCTTCCCAGAAAGGCAGAGAGAAAATATGCCAGGCATTCAACACTGATGTTTTCAAGTATGAACTTTTCACTGACCTAACACTGATGTTAGCCAAAAACAAACACACGAACCTTTTCTTTGCCCTTTTATTTTAGGTCATGGTTTTTAAACTTTTATACTCCTAATCTATTAAAATCTATTTCAAAAGAATTCCAGTTTAATTTTAATGGCACTTGCAACGTATTCCAAACAAATACCTGGAGAGAATCTGCTGATTAGTCAGTGGCTCAGCTATATAATTAGTCATGTACCACATGACAACATTTTGGTCCTTGGGGATTGCATATACAGAGGTGTTTTCTATGTTTAGAAATGTTTAGACACACAAATACTTACCATTGTGTTACAGTAGCCTACAGTATTTAGTAGAGTAACATGCTGTCTGGGTTTTAGCGTAGGAGCAGTATACTGTACCATATAGCCTAGGTGTGCAGTGGGCTGTACTATCTAATTTTATGTAACTATATGCTCTGTAATGTCCACAGAATGACAAAATTGTCTAACGATGCATTTTCCAGAATGTATCCCCATCATTAAGTGAGGCATGATGGTGTTGTTGTTTATACTGACATAAGTGCCTTACTGATCACATCAGTGGCTCATCCAGACAAATATTCTGTCTCTGACATTGACTGCCAAAGGTTAGTTTAGGGTCTGGTTTTCTTCTACAGTGAGATCGTAGAACAAATAATGGATGACGAGGGGATTTAGCAAAATAATGCAGATCTCCCCAGGTTCTGCAAGATCCCATTGTTTGTCAGTCATCCATGAATTCTCCTAAATCCCTTAAGCTCCTCTTTGTATTTTTATCTTGTTCTAGCTCTTAAGGGCAAACACACAGTTCATAAGTCTAGGACCAGGCATTCAAGTTTCAGAAGACTTTCCACTCCCGTCACCTTTTATTCTATAAAATGGTCTCTTTGGTGCAAAATTTTAATAGTGACTTTTAGAAAGTAAAAATGATTTTTACTTTACTTATTGACTGATTCAAAGAGTTCACTTAGATTATTGAGGCTGGATTTTACTGTACTGATATCACATTAGCTTTTATAAATAGATTATTTTTTCTTATGTGTTCTCACCTGTAGTTTTTATCAGTTCTGCTAATTTTAGGCAAGAAGATTCTTCAGTGTAGTTGTTTTTTAAATAAATGCATGTCACATTGGCATGCCATTATTCTTAAGGCCTTTTAAAATTAGATTATATCGAATTAATTTTTTTTGAGGTTCTGTCTTTGGACTTCTTTCAGTTGATATAGTCTTGTCAATTTTTTATTTACACACACACACACACACACACACACACACACACACACACACCCATATGTATGTCATTGGTTTTGTCAAAAAGCCTGAAAATGCAAATTCTGCTTGTAAATATTGGTAGAGGAGAAAAAAAGAAAACCGTGAGATGAGTCTGTGTTCCAGACTCATTGGTGGGTTATGTGGGATGAGTCTCTAAAATGGTGAGTTAAGCAAAATAATTAATTTCCAAGGCAGATTTGTTTATCTTAGAGGTATTCCACTTTCAGTAGCATACTATATACTTTAAAAATTAAAAGAAATTTAGTTTCTTTCATGAGTACCTCTTTCTTCTACCTGTACTTTACATTTTTTAATTAAAAAAATTTGTAAAGTTTTATCTTTAATTGACAAATAATTGTATATATTTGTATTAGGGTTCTGTAGAGGGAGAGAACTAATAGGATAGATGTATATAAGGAGTATTGACTTACATGATCACAAGGTGAAGTCCCACTGTAGGCTGTCTGCACGCTGAGGGGCAAGGAAGCCAGTCTGAATCCCAAAACCTCAAAAGTAGGGAAGCCAACAGTGCAGCCTTCAGTTTGTCGCCAAAGGGCAGAGAGTCCCTGGCAAACCACTGGTGAAGGTCCAAGAGTCCAAAAGTTGAAGAACTGAGAGTCTGATGTTCAAGGGCAGGAAGCATCCAGCACAGGAGAAAGATGGAGGCCTCAAGACTCAGCCAGTCTAGTCCTTCCATGTTTCTCTGCCTGCTTTTATCATAGCCACACTGGCAGCTGATTAGATGGTGCCCACCAGATTGAGTGTGAGTCTGCCTCTCCTAGCCCACTGACTAAATGTTAATCTCCTTTGGCAATACCCTCACAGATACACCCAGGAACAATACTTTGCATCCTTCCACCCAATCAAGTTGACATTCAGTATTAACCATCACAATATTCATGGGGTACAATGTGATATTTCATTACATATATACATTATAGAATGATCAAATCAAGCTAATTAATATATCTATCACCTCAAACATTTATCATTTTTTTTTGTTGAGAACATTTAAAACCCTCTTTTAGCTATTTTGACACACATACAATGCATTAACTATAGTCACCGTACTATGCAATAGATCACCAGAACTTGTTCTTGTCTAACCAAAACTTTGCACCAGTTGACCAGCATCTCTCTTTTCCCCATCTACCCTCTCCCCTAGCCTCTGATGACCACCAATCTGATCTCTACTTCTATGAGTTTGACTTTATTTGATTTTACATATAAGTGAGATGATGTGGTATTTCTCTGTCTGTGCCTGGCTTATTTCACTTTGCATTATGTCCTCTAGGTTCATCCATATTGTCAAATGATAGAATTTACTGCTTTTTTTTTTAAGGCTGAATAGTATTCCAGAGTGTGTGTGTGTGTGTGTGTGTGTGTGTGTGTGTCACATTTAAAAAATCTATTCATCTATTGGTGGACACTTTGGTTGTTTCCATATCTTGATAATTGTGAATAATGTGGCAGTGAACATAGGGAGTACAGATATTTCTTCAACATACTGATTTCAATTCCTTTGGATATATACCCAGAAATGGAATTGCTGGATCATATGGTAATTCTATTTTTAGTTTTTTGAGGAACTAGCATACTGTTTTACAAAGTGACTGTACTGATTTATAATACCACCAACAGTGGACAAGGGTTCCCTTTTCTCCACATCTTTACTTGTTATCTTTCATCTTTTTTAATAAAAACTAATCTGAAAGGAGTGAGGTGACCTATTGTGGTTTTAATTTGCGTTTCTCTGATTAGAGATGTTGAGCATTGTTTCATTTATCTATTGGCCATTTGTATATCTTTTGGGAATCGTCTATTCAGACCTTTTGCCCATTTTTAAATAGGGTTATTTGTTTTCTTGTTATTGAGTAGTTTGAGTTCCCTGTATATTTGGTATATTAGCCCCTTATCCAGTGTTTGATTTGCAGATATTTTCTCCTAGTCCCTGGGTTGTCTGTTTACTCTGTTCATTGTTTCCTTTGCTGTGCAGATTTTTAGTTTGATGCAATCCCATTCGTCTGTTCTTGCTTTTGTTGTCTATAGTTTGGTTCCTGAGCATCCCAAGGCTTTTTCTCAAGTCTTTGCACTTGTTAGTCTTTGTACTTCGTGGTCTCTCTACGTAGAATATTCTTCTGTTTCTCTTTAATCTTTACAGGGTTAACTGCTTGTACTTGAGGTCTCAACTTAAAACGTTGTGTTAATATCTTCGGAGAGGTTTTATTTGACCTCCTAATCTAAATTATGTTCCTTGTATCACTCATTGATAGCATATAGGGTTTAATCATGATTGTTACCTATGTTTATTTAATATGCATGGGGCTCTTACATTATCTGTACAAGGGGTCTTCAGAAAGTTCATGTAAAATGCATATTATGAAAAAACTTTGCATAGATTTCAAAAAATTTTGGCACCAAAATAAACTCATACTAACTTGTTAGAGCATGTCTCAATAGGATGTAGTTTGAGGCATTAACAGGGATAAGATATCAGTTTGAAAAGAGCTTCTATCAGAACAACATGAATTCTGCTAAAAATTAAAGCGAGAACAAACACCATATTTATGGTGAAGCTTGGGTGGAAGAGTGGTGACATCATTAATGCTTTATGAAAAGTTTCATGAGACCTCGGAATAAACACCACACATCTACAACTATCTGATTTTCGACAAACCCGATACAAACAAGCAATGGGGAAAGGATTCTCTATGTGATAAATTTTGCTGGGAAAACTAGCTAGCTGGAGACTAAAAGTCCAAGATCAAGGAATCCTTCTGAGGCCTATCAGGGAGAATCTGTTCTGGTCCTCTCTCCTACCTGCTGGTGGTGTGCTGGCACCCTTTGGCGTTCCTTGGCTTGTAGATGTAGCTCCTTGATCTCTGCCTTCATGGTTACATGGTATGCTTGCTGTATGTATGTCCCTTCACACAGTGTTTTTTAATAAGGACATGGTCATATTGGATTAGGGGTCTACCCTTACTGCAGAATGACCTCATCTTAATAATTCCATCTACAATAACCTTATTTCCAAATAAGATAACATTTTGAGGTAGAGGGATAAGGACTTCAGCATATCTTTTTAGGGGTACACAATTCAACCCAAAACAAATAGGCCCATTATTTCCAGATTTTCTTCCTTTTGGCACACATAGACTGATTATACCCATCTCTTTACTAGAAACAAGTGTTTTGATTATTATTTAAATGTTTTGCTCATCTATTCAACGTCTGATGTGAGGTTGTAAATAACCATTGAATTTTGTAAAATTGCCAATCTTGTGCAATTTTGTGTTTGTAGTACAGTTCTCTGAAAAGTTATTCTCTTATCTTTGACAAATATCCTGGACAGTATCTGTCCAGGTGAAGGTATGTATGCAAAGTGTTACATTAATTTTAGAGATGAAAAAGAAACATTTATATATATATTTAAAAATAAAGGAAAATGCCTAGGAAGAAAGAAGCAGAGGTCTGAATCTGAGATTCGAAGAAAGAAAAGTAGCCAAGGTGGAATGGGAGAAGAGCTGAGGTCTAAGAGGTAAGGTGTGTTACTCTGGGAACATGTCTTTGTATAGGACAAGCAGAGGACTTAAAGCTCTGAGGGATCAAGGGAGTAGAAAGAAAATGTCAGTCTAGTGAACTAATCTCTAACTGTGCTTTATTTTTTATCTGTATTTTTTTCAGCTATCTTTAGAGATAGTTATTCTGTTTTAGAGATAAGAATAACTAAGTCTCAGTTTTTCCAAGGTCATCCAGCCAAGCACATAGGGGACCTTTTGAAAGCATAGTTTTGGAGTTAATGATACTTCAGCTTGAGTTCTGATTCCCTTTTGTCACTTTGGAGAAGTTATGAATTTGTATATACCTCAGTTTCTTCACCTGTAAAATGGGAATTAACTACCTACCTCATTGTGGTGTTGTGAGGACCAAATGAGACAGTATATGTAAAAGGATTAGTGTGGTTCCTCATAGCAATTTTTTGGTCAAGAAGGTAGCCATGGTCTTTAGAATACCAAAAAATTGGAAGCAGTGTAATTATTAGTAGGGAAAGGGAAAATAAATTGTCTGGTTATATATTGGAATATTATACAGCAGTTAAAATGAATGACTTAAGTCTATGTGTATCAACATGGATAAATCTCAGAAAAGCAATGTTATAAAAGAACACATAAATGATATCACTAATTTAAATTTTGTCACACACAATATCCTGTTTAGGGGTTCAAACAGAAGTGGTGTTTTCTTGTCACATAGGCAGTCAAGACAATAATAACTTCTGGGAAATGAGAAAAGGGTTAGAGATACAGGTAGGCTGGTGTTTTACATGTATTTGCAATATTTAATTTTTAAAAAATTATACAGAAAATACACACACATGAATTTTTTATAATGTACTGCTATTTGACCTTCACTACCATCATAATCAGGTGAAAATGAGACCCATGCACATCTGTCTAGAAAGCCCATGTTGAACTTGAGAGCATCTGTTTTCCAGCACATCTTGCATTAGAAAGACAGAAGACAGCCATCAGATGACCAAGGCTTCCAGGGATGGCAGGGGGAAGGCTGGGTGCTTGCACTGTCAGTTTCTAGGATCTGCCCAGGTCATTTCTTTTCCTGAATCTGGTACTTGCCTGTGTTTTCTTTTGCCTGTAGCTACCGTCAGGAATGTAGGGAGACTTTAGGAGGATTACTGGTGAGTAGGTAGAGTCTTTTATGGGGGCCTACTCTCAAAATAATATAACCATGAACAATTGAGGAATGTTTTTTTGTGGTCCCTTTTATTTATGCTCTAAACTTGACTAGTTCTGGGAATTGAGGAATCTCAACCTCACGTTCTGATTGACTAAGTAAATGCTAATGTGTTCGTTAACACAAAAGGCAATGCATTGGTTAGGGAAGCTAGCTGTTAACACAAAGACCCCAAAAAGTCTAATGGCTCTAATGTTGTGAAAGTTAATTTCTTCTTTTTTTTTCTTTGCATAAACAATCCATGGCCTTTCCACATTGGGGGGTGGGGTGAGACTCTCATCACATAGGCAGTTAGGAACCCCAGAGGCTCTTCAGTTTTAAACGTGTAGCTTCCAACGTCATCTTGAGAACTGATATTCAGCAGTGGAAGGAGAAAGAACAGGGAGGATATACATTTATGGCTTTTATGTGAGGCAGGCCTTGCATTGGCACATACCCTTCTGCCTAAATCTGATTATAAGCAGAATGCATTCCGATGGTCACAGCTTACTGCGGGGGCTAGCAAATGTCTGCTTGTTTTTCAAGGAATAGGAAGAAATGTTTAGTGAATACCTAGCAGTCTGTTGCCAGAGATGGTTTTTGTTGTTTCAATTCCATTGTACATTCTTCTTAGCATTTAAAAAATTATTTGAACTTTTGAACAGGCAATATCTTCACATACTTTAAAAGTTTGAAAATCTGAAAAGTTACACAGTAAAATGTTTGCTTATCATTCCTGCCCCACATCTACTCAGATCCCACTAGGTAATCATGGTTATTACTTTATCATGTATACTTCCAGAAACCTTTTGTTTAAAAAAGCAAATATGAATTTTATATATATATATATGAAATCTCTTCCTCCCTTATTACATAGATGGAGCCATAATATACCCAGTACTTTGTACTTGGCTGTTTTCCCTTAGTAGTATAAGATAGTTATTTTAAATTTTGTATTATTCAGTCTCAGTGACAAGGTGGCGTTCCCAGCGTCAGGGAATTTCTAATCTAATCTGGTCAAGGTATAATCTACTAGTAAGGAGGAAGAGATACAAGTAGTGGAAGCTTTTGTACTAAAATCAAATACTTACCTGTTACTCACTCTATAACTCAATACCACATTTAGAGCAAATGAGTAATACCTTTATAAGTCAAATTAGATTTTTAGAAAACTGCTTTAGGAAATTAGGCATGCTAAGATAATTCTTGGCATTTAAATCACATAATTAAGGGAATAGAAAATGGTTTGTGTTAGGAAATAGATCTTTGACTACATTTTTGCATGACTTTCTGATGTACTAAGTACATTTTAGTGGTCAATGTTCTCTACATTAAATGGCTTTTGTTTTGGTAAACCCATATGTTTGGAGTATTAATGGTTGTATTTCTAATTTGTTACCCTGGCCCAAATGATGAAGTAATAGAATGTTGCATATTTCCTTCCACTTAACATTTAATTTGTGTTAATGAAACCAAATGTCACTTTTAACTCTGGAACTTCTAAAATGAACTACACCGGGAAGCCCTCTGTATTCTTTGTGGTTTCCCATGTTCCATGAGCCAGCAACCGGGTGTTCACTTGCAGTGACTCTGGTTTACTCAGCCCCTGGGGATGCATTACTGCTCGGAAATGGGAAGGGAGAGTAGCAGGTGGTGCGTAATTGAGAGCTGTGTTTGATTGGGACTGACCTGGTGCCCCTTTCCTCTGCCGGTTTGAATGAGAGTTTAAAGGAGGAACTGCTGCTGCTAAGAACAAAATGAACCCGAGTGCCTCTTACTGTTTGTCCCGACTGTCAGTGCATAGGGATTAACTAACATCCAGGAACTTTTAGCTGGCCTCTGCTTTGTTCTTCAACATTCGGACCTTCAGTGAGCTCTAGACCTGCACAAACGACCTGCAGCAAATGGCAGCTTTCATTTGGGCTGAGGAAGAGGAATATTGGAGAGAATGAGGAGAAGGAAATAAATATCTTTCCTTTTTGGCCCTTCCTGCTTTATCTTTCTCCATCTTTATGCCTTTATTAATGAGGATTTTCCAAATATCGGTCTTCAAAAATGCCATAAGAAGACTTCATTTTCTGTGGTTTTAATGTCATAAAATATCTCCTTATGTGAAATAACTAGATATGCTGGATCAAGCATAACAAACATCCCTTTAGGACATTGCTGAATCTGTATTTAAAACATAAGGGAAGAACTGAGGGAACAGATGGAAAAAGGAACTGGAAATGGAAGTGAATTGACTGCTGCAGCTGCCCTCTGGGCTCCTGCAGATCTTGGTAATCAAAAGGATTGGGGTTCAACTGCCTTGTGGGAGACAGGAGACAGGGTCTTGGGTCCATTTAAGTTAGAGATACCATAGTAACGTGAGACACTCAAAGGACTGTGGTCTCAGTAGAGAGGTGACAAATACGTCTTGACCTGTTCTTGCCTGAGGAAAACGTTTCTAAGAATTCTTAACCACAGGCCCTCCCTCATAGATTTTCAGTTTCAATTTATACTCTGTGTGGTCTGGCAATTTCCAAGCTGTGAAACTTATTTAAAACAGTCTGATGGTACTCACATAAATCACCAAGTTAAAAAAATACAAAATAGAATAAAAAATATGAGCATGGAAAATAAATACTATCAAAAGGGCTCAGATTGATTTAAAAAGGAAACACAGACAATTCTTTAAGACTGAATGGACTAAAGAACTCATTCATGTAACCAAAAACCATTTCTGCCACAAAAACTATTGAAATTAAAAAAAGAATGACTTAAATAAGAATGGATCTTATACTCCAAAAAGAAAGAAAGAAAAGAAAACAACAACAACAAAGCAGGATATGGGTTAAACAAGAATAGAGGAAATAACTGAAATGCAAGATAATACCTGAAGAAATTACCTAGAATGCAGCACAGGGTGGCAATGTCAGGCCTTCAGTGTTTCTTCTCTGGATTTTTGAAACAGCTTTCTAACTGGTATTCCTGACACTGTTCTTATGTGCATCCAGACTATTAGCCTTGGATCCCAGCTCCTGTGATCACATTTTCAAACCTTCACCCTCCATTTTCCACTAATCTTTTATAGACAATAGCTAATCTTTTACTCAATAGCTACCCCCAGGAAATCCTCCCTGATCCTAAAACTGCATTTGTTCGTTAGGTGCTCCTGGCCTGTGTTCCCATTGTACCTAGATCATAACCCAGTTATAATCTTATTACATTGTTATCATTAATGCTTTTTAAAAAGTTTTACTATTCATCACTAGAGTGTAAATTGTTTGTAGACTAGCAAAGCTCTGTTAACAATTATAGCCCTAATGTCTACCACTTTGTACAATTAGTACTTTGTAAGCACTCAGTAATTGTTCATTGAATGTAAGAATGAATGGTGTATGTGAAAGGTGAAGCTATATAGGTCTAATGATGCTTAGATCCTAGGAAAGGGCCTATGGTTCATGTTTCTGACAGGAGATTATTTAGGTAGTTCATTTAGCCATTTCACATGACCAATGTGTTAATGTCTGAATTTAATCTACTCGTTCTGTGCTGTCTTAAAAGTCAAACTTTTCAGTAAAACGAAACCAAACAAAAAATACACCCCTAGCAGTTTGTATTTCAGCTCCCCACCCCCACCAGACAACTTTTTTTAAACATTTTATGTTGGTAGGTACATAGTAGGTCTATATATTAAGGGTATATGAGATATTTGTTGCAGGCATACAATGTATAATAATCATATCAGGGTAAATGGGGTATCCATCACCCCAAGCATTTATCATTTCTTTGTGTTACAGATATTCCCATTATACTCTTCTAGTTATTTTTAAATGTACAATAAATTGTTGGCTGTAGTCACCCTGTTGCACTCTCAAATACTAGATCTTATTCAATATATCTAACTATACAAAATTATCTTAAGTTTGAATTATAGAGGCATTTTCACAGTAGCAACCAGTAGGTACTGACTCCATCACTGACAATAGCTATAGGTCACACTCTGTGTTTCTGAGTGACAGCCACACATGGTAGATACTCATGTCACCACCTAGTTTATCTTCAAATGTGAAGGACTCCAGTGACACTCACATTTAGTCCTTTCATCTTTGGTAGTAAAGATGAATCTTTGTCATCCCCAGGACCTCTTCTTTTTGTTTGTTTGGTATATGGAATGAAATGACTCAGGTGCCTTCTTTCAGTTAATTTAAGTTGTATAGTAAGATCAACCGTAGAATACTATCAGTCATCTTGGAATAATATCTTTATCATCATCCAATTGATGATGCTTCTTCCAGTTTTGTTTCCTGTTGCTATCACTCCATCTGTCATTAATTGCACTAAGATAATAATTCTCTATTGTGTGGCCTGACATACTGTTTTATTACAATTATTTGGAAGGTCTTGTTACTACTGCACATTAAAAAACAATTCTAAGGTATGTGAATTGTTTAATATTTAAAAATGTAGTCATTCTTGCTTATTTCCATTCTGATCTTCGTACAGGAGTTGAAGATGGAATTATACCTAACCGCAGTGATGAGAAATTTGTGGTGAACAGTGTCACATACCCTTTCACTCTCTCCCTGCCCATTTAGACCTCCATAATTATTAATAGTTACATTGTGCTTTCTCAATGCAACCTACTGTCCAGTCTCAGCACAGCGAGTACTTCAGATCATTACTACTTGTCAGGTTTAGCACTCAAGATCCCAGGACTAGCTTTTCTTGTATAATTCCCACTTGTTGTTCACTTTGCACAAAATACCTGTTTACATATCTATGCCCTAAGGTTTGTCCATACATAGTTATTTCTGAGCTCATATTTTGGATGCTATTTATCCCTCTTCCATGCTGTTCTTTGTAGTGTCTACTACACAAAATTTGTAACGATGTGGTAACAGTAAACATTTATGAGTGGTTGTCATGATGTAGCAGGTACTGTGTTAAGTACCTGACATTTATTATTTCATTGAATTCTTGTACTAACACCAAGAGTTAGGGCTCATTGCTCTTCTCATTTTATAGGTGGAGAAACTAGGACAAGGCTAAATAATTGGTAAATGGCAGAGCCTGGGTTTGAATCAAGGCCACCTGACTTCTGAGCCCAAGTTGGTAACCTCTGAGGTAGTCCTTAAAGAAGGTTGGGTTAAAACCAAACTGATTGATAGTGAACATACTGCTTTTGCCTGTGTTGGCACTAGACTAAAATAAAAACCTTTTCCTTTATGTTTTCCCAGATTCCAAACCAACTTGGCCTAACCTTTCAAGTCTCTAAGAAATTTATAGTTTTATATCTATTAAAAAAATCTTCTGGTAGACTTCATAAATATGACTTAGATTTTTATTAAACTTTTTTGCTCGTATCTTTCTGTATCTCAGAAAACCTTTAATTTTTGAGACAGTAGCTATTTGTGTAGGCTGTCTTATATGTTCACAGATGGCATTATTTTATCAGTCCTCAAACCATCTGTAGCATCAACTTAGTCTATTCCAATTGGTGTCATCTTTCATTTATGCAGGAGTGAGTTATTAAAGTAAAACTTTATATTTGTATAACATTTTGGGTAAATGTTAGAGTAAAACATTGGTTTATTTTATCACAACAATCCTTTGCAAAGAAAATTTATTTTTTCCAGCTCATCTTGATTTACTTTATATGTAGTCTTCAGAATGAAATTGAATCGAATAACTGTTTATTGAGCACAAATTGTTATCCTGAAATGTAGGGATAAGAAATGACCCCTGTGTTCACTGAATTTATAGTCTTGTAGGAAAGACAGTGAAGTAGTAAATTCCCATTGAAGAAGAAATACAATTATGATTACCATTATGAGAAGGGAAAAGACGGTAGTATGGGAAATGATAGTAAAGGGATTAAGTCTGGTCTAGTGAATCTAGAAAGGCCTTTCAGAGGAAGAGAGGGTAGGAGTTCGCCAGACGAAGTGTAGCTGATGGGTGGTAGGGAAGAGGAAAATAACCTTCTAGGCAAAGTAAGCAGCAAATGAGAAAGCCTCCATGTCAGAGAGCTTGGAGTAACTAAGTCATTGAAAGATATGCAGTCTGACTGGAACTTAGAGTAGGAGGAAGAGAGTGACACATGATCTCAGGGGAGACCCAAGAGCTAAACAGGCATCAGTTGTTTTTTAGGACAATTAAAGATTCTGGATTTGAACCTAAGATTAATAGCAAGTCACAGATGAGTTTAAAGCAGAGGTGTGACATGAACAGATTTGGGCTTTAGGAAAACCACTCAGGCTGCAGTGTGGAGAATGAGTTGGAAAAAGGAATGGAAGTGGGGAGGAAAGTTAGGAGGCTGTTTCAATATAATTTGGACTTAGACTATAGTAGTGGCTGTAGAGGTGGAGAGTGGTGGATGGATTACAGAGTCCACCCTGCTGAGAATGGAAGAGCCAGCCCGTGTGTGTACAAAGCTCTGTCTTGCTCTCCTGCATCGTACTAACAAATGGTCCTTCTGCATGCAAGAGTATGAGCCAGAGAAAAATGGAACAAAAATGAGGCCTGAAGTTAGTATAGAAGCTCTGTATTATGAAAAGGCATGATCTCACAGGTAGTTAAGGATAATAAAGACAAAAGCACTCACTAAATCGAAAGTCCTCAGTCTGATTGTAATCTAGCCAGGATCCTGATCTAAGATTTGCTTTTCATATCAGTGTGTATGATGTCAACAGAATTTTGAGAGACACCAAGTTTATTCAGTGGCTGATGCCTCCTTTCCCCCAAAACATCAGTTCATTCTTTCATCCACTTGTTTATTTATTCATTCATTCATTTACAAACACTTTAAATCCTTACTGAGGACTTACTACTCACCAGACATGTTTACTTATCTTAGTTTTTAATACTACAGATGGTCATTATACCTAGTGTGGGCCTTTGATGTTTATAGGTACTTCATGGACCACATCTCATTGATGATACATTTAGTCCATCAGATTTCCGTTTTAAGTTGAGTCATCACTTAAGGTGTAGCCGTTGGTAAAATCCCGCAGCACTGATCTCCTATGTATCTGAATGTCATATCCTCTGCACTTTCTATTGCTACTCCCCAATCTTTGGTCAGGGTCAATATGTTTAATTTAATTCATTCAAACAGTTGGTCAGTTCAGCCATCACCACCACCACTAGGTCGTCTTGTTGGTCATTGTTTAACTATTATATTAGCCAAGGTAATGCAAGCTATCAGCAAACAAATTCTCCGTCTAAGTGGCTTAAATACATTAGAAGTTTATTTCTTGCTAATATAAGTTCAATTGGTAACAGATCCGGGAATGGTGGATTTTCTGCTCCACTGTGGGCTCAGGCTGATGGAGTTACCATGAGGCTCACAAGCTTGCCTAGCTGGCAAAGGGGATTAGGAGAATGTGAAAGCTTATTCAGGAAGTTTTTATGGGCCAGGGCTAGAGGTGGCTTACATCATTCCCACCCATGCTTCAGAACTGAGGTACATGGCCATACCTAACTACAGGGGAGACTGGGAAATGTAGTCTTTGTGTTTGCTTGGTGAGCCTGTCTTTGTCAAACCCAGCTAGTGAATTTCCTTGTATGATACCTGCTCTTTGATTCAGATAATAATAAGAGGCATGGAAGGACCAGATATATTGTTGTAGGACTTTTTCCTTAGTTCAGTTAAAGACAGCGAGGTTGGGGGAGGGTGGTCCTCATCACACAGCCATGTAAAATTAGGCCCGCAGACAATTCGAAGGAGGAGAAAAATGGAATTTATTGGGCAAAGAGCAATAAAAAGGGAAACAAAGACTCTCCAACAAGACAGAACGAGAATCTTGCTAGTATGCTTCCCGCCTCACAGACTGTAATCCCAGGTTCCACCCAGGAGGAGGAGGGGCCAGGCTCCTCCCTGCTGCCAAAGGCGTGAACTTCTGTGTCTCCACCCCAGTGCACCCTCCTCTCAATGCATACGCCCATTGGAGTTTTGTCAGGGAGTCCTTCCCACATGACTATCTCAGTATGAAGGAGGAGTTTCCTTTGTGCCTAATAAGTGGCTGTGTCACATTCCTGGGCATTAGAGTGGGAAATGTCTATATTCTGAATTCCTAACATATCTGATTATTGCTATTACTCTTTTCTCACAGGGAAATAAATGCCCGGCTTGATGCTGTATCGGAAGTTCTCCATTCAGAATCTAGTGTGTTTGGTCAGATAGAAAATCATCTACGTAAATTGCCCGACATAGAGAGGGGACTCTGTAGCATTTATCACAAAAAAGTAAGTGTGATAGAAATCTATTAAAGCTGACAGTGTTCTTCAGCTTGAGGACACTATATATTAAAAGAAAACTTTTGAGAGCTCTATTATTATTTTATTTTGTAAAATCTTACAAATAGCATGCGAGAGTAGCTGAATCCTCAGAAATTTTAATAGTACAAATTAGAGTTATTCCAATTTTTCCATTGTAGAAAATAAAGTTTTCTCATGTGCCTTAACTACAGCAACATAGAGGCCCTTCTGTTATAATATAGGGTATTCTCCTGTTTCATCCTGAAAGTACAGACTATTATCAAAATAGGAAATTTATGTAGACTTGTTATTTTAGAAAAAAAAAACCTTATTTCTTTTGATCTTAGAACAACTTATTGTTTCTTAAACTATGGAAAAATCTGCTAGTATAACATCTGTGGTGGTAGTTAGTATGCAAACAAGCTTGGATATTGAAGGTGAGTAAAGGATTATTTTGATTTTTATCACTTAAGCTTTACAGTTTGAGTCATAGCAAAAATGAGTCATTTTCCACGGTTAGGGAAATAATTTAGGTTATCTTCAAAATATGCCTAAAATTAAAAAAATTATTAATATTTTTAAATGATAAAACACTATAAACTATGGTGTTTTACTTTTTGCAGAAGTCATTCACATACCTTATACTCTTTGTTCCTTATCAAAACTTTATGACATTGAGAAGTTACTATTTTTATTACCTTCTTACTAATAAGAAATTATATCTAATGCTATATATGTGTGTGTATATATATATGTATATATATAAAATGCTGCAACCACTTGAATTACCTTGGCTAATATGATGATGCTCAGAGGTTTAGTAACTTGCTAGTAACAGAATCTGTATTTAGACCCAGGATTCTTGACTGTGTTTTCATTGGCTGTGTCTTTTGGATGCTATCATGTTTGATGTAGTTATCTTGACTGCCATTTTTTTTTTCTGGTTGCCACTTTTCATAAGCAAATTTTATTTTTCCTCCAAATGTAACTCCTTGCCAATTTAATAATTTTACTGTGTAACCATTTTTATGTGCCTAAATTTTTATTTTATTTTGTTTTATTTTGTTTTATTTTATTTTATTTTAATTTTTTATTTTATTTTATGTTATGTTATGTTATGTTATGTTATGTTATGTTATGTTATTTTATGTTATTTTATTTTATTTTATTTTTGAGACAGACTTTTACTCTCGTCACCCAGGCTGGAGTGCAATGGCGTGATCTCGGCTCACTGCAACCTCTACCTCCCAGGTTTAATCGATTCTTCTGTCTCAGCCTCCTGAGTAGCTGGGGTTACAGGCACCCGCCACTATGCCTGGCTAATTTTTGTATTTTTAGCAGAGATGGGGTTTCACCACATTGGCCAGGCTGGTATCGAACTCCTGACCTCAGGTGATCCACCCGCCTCGGCCTCCCAAAGTGCTGGGATTACAGGCATGAGCCACTGCGCCCAGCCAATATGCCTAAATTTTAGTTGTGACCAATTTTTCATTAGTGTTTCTATATTTTTCATCCCCTTTTACCCCCACAGAGTTTTACTAGAATGATAAGTACTGCTTCTAAGAATACTTGAGGTGCCCAAGAGGACTTACGTAACTGTTTTACATGCCTCAGCTAAATTTGAAAACAATGCACAAGCCAGAACTGGAAATACTGATCCTGGGGAGAAAGATATATGAGTTGGTTATGGGGCCGGGGAGCCTATTGCATCATTATTGGGTACACCATGTTATTGTTTTGCTGGCAATAGCAGAAGCTGTGCTGATAGTCGCAAGTTTTATGGTAGACCTTTTTGAAGTTGCAATGTGGGTGCCAAACCATTTGTTGTTTTTATCCTTGGCTCAGAGCCTGAAAATTGATGCATATTAACCTTCTTTAAACAACAGATCTCCAGGCACCTTGCCTTAACTACTTCAAAGGATTCACTGACAGATGTCAGAGATTTGAAAACAGAAGCAAAGCTGAAAATCTTTCAGTGGCTACTCAAATGCACAAAGTCAAAGTGTCCATGGCATCAAGATGGCAGCATCAGTTCATGGGGCTGTGATTTCTATTCCACCTTCCTGCCTTTTTGTAAACTTTACTTTGATGTTTGTATTGCACAGGGTTTGTGTATTTATAAAAGTTTCAAAACTCTAGTAAAGTCAGAATCTAATTCATTTAAAAAGTGGCCGGTATGCAGTGCAAGAATGACTTATTTTGGAATTTCAAAATATAGTTTACTAACGGAACTTATAACTCACTTGGAAGCCATTCCTTGTTGCTGTTTTAGTGTTTGTTTACACAAGAATGTACCTAAAGATTAGTTTGAAGGGTGAAGAGTAGAAATGATCTGGTAACAAACCAACTTCAGGAAAGCTGAATGCTTTAAACCAATGTTTTATAGATTAGTTGGCTGGCTCTGTGTACACACCATCAAACATATGTCTGTTCTTTATTATTAGATTACTCTAAATAAGCTTCTACTGTGTACACCACATAGTGGGTGATGTCCTGGGTACAGATTGTGCCAATTATGTGAAATTCATAAAATGAGAAGGAACACTGGATGTTGTGGGAAGTGGTTAGCATAGGCTGTATGGTTTTGTGGAACGTGCCCTGGAATATGTACCAATAGGTGTTTTTATGGTGATAATGATAGAGGATCTCAAGTGAGCTGATTCTGGTATAAAATAGACATTTCTTCTTCTTCTTTTTTTTTTTGAAACAAGATCTCACTGTGTCACCCATGCTGGAATGCAGTGGTGCGACCACAGCTCACTACAGCTTCAGCCTCCAGCCTTCTGAGTAGTTGGGACAACAGGCACGTGCCACCATGCCCAGCTATTTTTTTTTTTTTTTTTGCATTTTTTTGTAGAGACAAGGTGTTGCCATGTTGCCCAGGCTGGTCTCCAGCTCCTGGGTTCAAGAGATCCTCCCACCTTGGACTCCCAGTGTGTTGGGATTACGGGTGTGAGCCACTGTGCTTAGCCTAAAATAAACATTTCTTTTGATGGCAAAATGTTAAATTCAAATCCTGTAAATAGTGCTAGTCACAGGAACCCATAATAACTTTGCTCAAGAACTGTTTTGTAAGAAATTCTTAAGTAACTGCCGAGGTTGGTGAATACATTTAAAGGATAATCGCACTTAGCAAATGTTGAGGAGAGTGTTTTCAGAATTTCCTAGGTGAAAATCTTTTTTTAGCTAAGCAGGAATAAGCCCACAGCTGCATGTTCAGTGTGGCACTTAAGCTGGGGTCCTTCCCATCCTGTGTCCAGTGAGGCCCTGCCACCATACTTGTGGGTCTGTGCTCAAGCTCTCCCAGTGAGACAGCTGCTGCCAGAAGTAGGGCTGAACTCCTGGAGAGTGACTTCAGGAGCAGCCACTTACCCATCCTCAGCTTTCTTGTAGCTTCTTTTGAGTTCTTTTGCTTAAGAAACTTGAGAACAACCTGCTGCCTCTGGCTTTCAACATGATTGTAAAGCACTACTGGTTTTCACCTTGCTTCTGTTGCTGACTTAACTTTACATTGTGTCTCAGCTTGGAAAATTAATCATTTTCTTGGGATTACAATAATCATAAGAGGTTAATATTCAAAATTATATTGAAAATGTTTGTGTTTGTTTCTTTACTTTTGTTAAAAGGTATCATTAATTGACTAGTGGCCAAAAAGCTTCCAGGTTTCACATTTATTTAAACAGTCCAGCTTCCTGTATAGGGTGGGGAGGGGGTCTTTCTGGAGAAAAGTTGCCTCATGATACACTTAGAATTCAACATTTGCTCAGTTGGACCTAACTTCTTATTTTTTTTGCATAATTCACCCTTTGTGGTTAGTAATTACCTTTTTGAATACGTTCTTAGCCTTAATCTATTTCATATATACTATCTATTATGTGCCTTATTACTTTACCCCTAAATTGTTTTCTCATCTCAAGACAGTTCTTTTCAGCCAACATTTTGTCAGTTTTATTTTCCTGAGCTGTCTTCTAGAGCCTTCTAACTTGATCCAGTCTGGACTGGTTGTCCCCATATCTGTTGTATAGTACTATCTTAGATTCCCTTTACTTCCCTTGAGTTGAATCTTTTATTTTCTATATTCCATGTCTTCCTCTTCGTTTATTTCTTCATTTTGGTGGAGTATATATCCTCTAGAACCTTCCTGAGAAAGCACGTTGGAAGTAAATCTTTTGAAACATTCATGTCTGAAAGTGGTTTTTTTGTTGTTGTTATTATTGTTACTACCTTCACATTTGATTGGTAGTTTGGATTGGTATAAAATTCTAGGTTTTAGATGACTTCATTATCTTTACTTCCTCTTCTGTTGAATTTTTCATTTCTACTATTATGCTTTAATTTCCAAGAATTTTTGTTTTCTTGTCCTCCAAATGTTTTTTCTTTTTAAAAGTAGCATCTTGTTTCATGGTTGTAGTATCTTCTGTTTCATGGAAGATATTATTAATATTTTTAGAAGTTCCCTAACAGGGCAGAATCCATATTGGTACACAAGTCTTTTTGGATTCTTGATGTAAATTGTGTCTCCGTTTTCCTTAAGGACAGTTTAAAATTCAGATACCTTGAGTCTTTTAAGTCAATTACTGTTTATTTGTTTACTTTATAGCTTCTAACATATTATTGCTGTTGTCTTCTTTTCTAGTGTGTTTTTTTCCTTTTTTTTTTTTTTTTTTTTTTTTGAGACGGAATCTTGCTCTGTTGCCCAGGCAGGAGTGCAGTGGCACGATCTCGGCTCACTGCAGTCTCCGCCTTCCAGGCTCAAGCGATTCTCCTGCCTCGCCACCTGAGTCACTGGGATCACAGGCGAGCGCCACCACACCCAGCTAATTTTTGTATTTTTAGTAGAGATGGGGTTTCACCATGTTGGTAGGGCTGGTCTCGAACTCCTGACCTTGTGATCTGCCCGCCTCAGCCTCCCAAAGTGCTGGGATTACAGGCGTGAGTCACTGCGTCTGGCTGGTTTTATGCCGTTTTAAACAATCTCTTAACTGTCGTTTCAAGATGGAGAGAAATTAGATGCATGTGTTTAACTCACTGTTTACCAGAAGCTATGATATAAAAATTATTCATGTTCATGTTAAAAAAAAAACTACAGTAGTATGCAGGGGTATGCAGTAAAGGGTAAAAAGTCTCCCTCTGCCACCCTTCCATACCTACTACCCAGAGGTAACCAGAGTAAGTCACATGTGTTACCTCCTAAAATTTTTATTGATATTTAGATTTTTTATTTATATAGAATAATGTATATCATTTAAAGAATACAAAGAAAGTGTTACCATGTAAATACATAAAAATATATACATATATGGTATATGATATAAACATACTGTATATATTCAATGTATGTTGAAATTATGGAGTTCTATACTGATGCAAACAGATCTTAATTTTCTTTTAGCTGTTTCGTAGTACTACACTGCATGAGTTTTTCCCAATAAGATCCCAATTGATGGACATTTATTTCTTATTCATCTTTTTAAATTATAAGCAGCGCTACTATGAATATTCAGACACACATATTTTTCACTATTTGTTAGTCTATTTTTAGATAAATTATTTAAAGTGGTGCTTATTCAAAGGGTTATGTGCACTTTTTTATTACGAAGACATGCCAAGTTGTTTTTCAAAAAGGTTAGTCCTCTGCTAAGAGTATATAAAAGTGTCTTTTTTTTCTTTTACATCCTGTTACATGGTTATTGTGAAGCTTTTAAATCTTTGGCGTTCCGATAAGTGAAAAATGCTATCCTATATTTCTAATTTGCTTGTCTTTAATTATATATGAAGATAATCGTATACATACTTGCTGTTCTCTTTCTATGAGCTGCATATTCAGTTTGTTTAGCCATTGTTCTTTGGATTATTCATCTTTTTCTTGTCAATTTGTAAGAGCCTATTATGTTTGGGAGAATTTTGCCTTGTGTCTGTTATGCCTTACAGATATTATCCTTCACATTTTTTAACTTGTTTAACCTATTTTTGCTATATGGTTTATGTTATTTTAAAAATGAAAAAATACTAAACAAGTATTGGCTTTGTTTTCCTTGCCTAAAATTATTTCCTTTATACCTTTAAAATATTACATAGTATTTAACCTCATTTAGAAAATATCAGTGATATTTTATTTCAACTAACTAGTTAATAGAAAATTTAAACTTTCCTCAATTCTGATTCTAACTTTTAAAAGTCACTAATTAAACTTCATTTTCATGTATCTTATGCTATTTCATAAAAAATATTTCTATTTTCAGTGTTCTACCCAAGAGTTCTTCTTGATTGTCAAAACTTTATATCACCTAAAGTCAGAATTTCAAGCAATAATACCTGCTGTTAATTCCCACATTCAGTCAGACTTGCTCCGGACCGTTATTTTAGAAATTCCTGAACTCCTCAGTCCAGTGGAGCATTACTTAAAGATACTCAATGAACAAGCTGCCAAGTAAGTACCAGACCCTGAATTCTTCCTTTTCACCAGTCAGTATAATTCAGTGCATTTGCCATTTATTTGTGGATTCTTAATCTTTACTAGAATAATAATAGAAGTTGCATGAGTACATATATAATTAGAAATGTGATTGGACCCTAAAAGTGTTACATTACAGCTGGAATACTTGCTACCTAAAATTTAGGCAGTTTACCATCTAGGACAGATATAGTACTCCCCCACATATCAGATGATGGAAAGGTAAAACACAGGCAAAGCCAAGCATTAGTAGTTTATTAACCCCAAAATGAGTGTCAGATATCTTGTACTCATTTCCTATATTTCCAGAGATGTCTTTATATTTAGAATCTGTAAAAGCAAAGTTATCCTTTAAAAGGTAGTTATAACATATTGCACAAAACATTCTATGTAAATGAAATAGGATTTGACATTTACGTTTGTCTTTGTTTTCTGCATAGGCAAACAACAAATAATTTATCTCTTGGTTTTACCATGGGAATCATGAAGTTAAAAAGCAGAAATGATTTTAGGGTAATTTTGACCATCCTCAGAGAAGTTAAAAAACAAATCCATAAGTGCTTAGTGACAATTGGAACCACATTTTTCTGACTTCCAGTGCTTTCCTCTTTTATCACACTATGAAAAATAAGCGATAACTGCTGTAATTAATAAACTTCGAATATGTATTTGCATGTTTTGATTTTTTAGAGTTGGGGATAAAACTGAATTATTTAAAGACCTTTCTGACTTCCCTTTAATAAAAAAGAGGAAGGATGAAATTCAAGGTGTTATTGACGAGATCCGAATGCATTTGCAAGAAATACGAAAAATACTAAAAAATCCTTCTGCACAATATGTGACAGTATCAGGACAGGAGGTAATGTCAAGCTTACTTTTATTTTCTATTAGTTTTACTCTAGTAGAAAAGCTATTTTAAAATGTAAATAGAAATCTGAGGATAGGATATGTATTATCTTTTCAAATTTTCTGTTTTATTCCTTGGAAATATGTTGTAATAACTTGTTTTGATAAGAGTTATTTTAATGATAGTGTTTTATTAGTCTCTTGTTAAAGTAATGCAACTTAATGTTATATGTATATTAGCGTTATCTGTTGAAATTATATTATAGAAAATCTCAATTACTATGAATAACAACTTATAGAATTCATTTGTTCTAAATCCAGGAAAGAGAAGTTAGTCTTTGATCCCTACCTTGCAGATGATGAAATGATACAAAGCCTGTGTTGATTGGCTCATACAGTGATTAAACGGTGGGGCTTCCTCCTAAAGTTAAGAGTATAGCTGCTAAAAAAAACAAGTCTAGAGTGAAAAACTACAGTTAGTGAGTCTTCCATAAAATTATGGTACTGTTTAGAATATGTTTCTTGGGGGTGTGTACTTCTGTTTAAAGTTTGATAGTAATGTCTGAATGAGAACCAGAAAAGGAAGAAGTATGCCTTTTAAATATGGTTGTGCTTTTCAGTCCTATTCTGGGTCTTGAGGCATGCTACTCCTATATCTTATGTTTAATAAAATATGAAGATTCAAACTGAGGGAGTTTGAGAAATTCTGTTTTATTAAAATACCAAATTAGGAAACTTATGGTTAACTTCTATAGAATGAGCATTTTATTCAGGATTTTCAAAAAATAGATATTTTTCCGGTGGGGAAGAACTTAATTTCAAATCAAATTTTTAAACATTTACATTGTTTTGTGTGTTTTGCCAAAAGATTGTTGAATGTATAGTTATTTGAAATAAGAAGCTCTACATTAATTGAGAATGTTCATTAAAGTGTTTATTAGTCTTGTGTTATTTCATAGATTTACCCATTAAGTCAACCTGTCTTCTGAACTAAAATTATTAAGATATTATACTCAGCAGACATTCACAATGCCACATAGAGCTCTATATAACAGAAAAATGATTTGACAATATTTATACTTATGTTTATTGTCTGAACAGACAAATACCAAATATTTAATTGTAACTCTTGTTTTTGCTATGCAGTCATGACCTTGCAAAGTGAAAACTGGCCTAAAGGCCACTATTCTGGCTATTGGTTTAAAATCAGATGATCAACACTGCTTTAGTTACTTTAATAAAAGATATGTAGTAGAAAAGTGGCTGCCTTTTCTACTACATTTTTTTTTTTTTTTTTACAGTGGAGAAAGTAAGTGTAAGTGCCAATTCTACCATTTACATGCTATACGACCATGGAAGAGTTACCTCTGTTGTAAGACTATTATGGAGACCAATTAAGTTAAAATACATGAAAGTGCTTTTTAATCATAAAGTGCTATGCTTATACTACTCATATAATAACAATAATAGTAATACAGTTACCATTTATCAAGTACTTGTTAAAGTCTAGAATGGTGGTAGGTGCCTACATATATTATTTAATTCTTATAACAATGCCCAAAAGGGTCATTCCAGTTTGTTGGAAAGAAAACCAAGGTTTGGAGTAGTTAGATAAGTTACCCAAGGTCCGAAGCACAAATCCAGCCCACTTCTGCCAGACTCTAGTCTTTCTATTATATTAATATCAGTATTTCATTCCATTTATTAATTCCAAATATTAACACAAAGATTCTCAACACCATGGATTTTATCTGACAAAATCTAGATATTTTAGAGCTCATAGTATTCAAAATAAAATAAAGTTTAAGTCTTGGAAAGACGGTCCTGGATTCATTTGGCAGTTTTTGAGTAAAAATGAGAGAAAATTATCAGGAATTCATAAGAGATAGTAGACTGGTTATTCATTATGAGTGTGGCATTGAGGTTTAAAAAGTACAGCATGGAGATCAACTAATTGTATTAAAAATTATTAGGAAGATCAGTTATCTTTTATCTTTACTAGGTTAAGTTGATGAATTTGAGGAACAAAGTTTCTTCGTTATTGATAGTAGGATGGATTCTTGTTGGTTTTTAATAATCTTCTCTAGGATTTTAGTAGAATGTTAATACAAAATTGCTTTCATAGAACCTTTTGAAAAAAATAATTCTATTCATTGGAACACCAAAGGAATTCTAAATATTCAAAATTGTTTTAATCAAATTCTGTTTTAAAAACGACTACAGTGGCTCACACCTGTAATCCCAACACTTTGGGAAGCCAAGGCAGGAGGATCGCTTGAGCTCCGGAGTTCAAGACCTGCTTGGGCAACATAGCGAGACACCATCCCTAAAATATAAAATTAGCCAGGCATAGTGGAATGTGTCTATGCTCCCTGCTACTCGGGAGACTAAGGTAGAGAATCACTTGAGCCTGACAGGCTGAAGTTGCTGTGACCTGTGATCATGCCACTGTACTCCAGCCTGGGCAACAGAGAGAAACCCTGTCTCAAAAAAAAAAAAAAAGGACTAATGCTATTCTCAAATTATTTAGAGGTACTTAAAGGACTAGGAACAGACTCCATCAAATATGATTATCTCTGAGAAGTGAGGGAGGCAGGGTGGAAAACCCTTATTTTACATTTATTGGTGCTTTTTTATGCCTTTCTGTTCTGACATTTTATTTCTATACATATGTCTTTTGTAATAACCTTAAAAGACCCATTATAGCAGCCCCATGTGAGCCACGTGATGGTATGTGGATCTTGTTATTTTTACTAAAATTAGATAAATGTGCCAGTCTGTAAATCCAGTGTTATTTTGACAACATTCATTTTTCACCTCTGTTCCCAGCTTTTATATACTCATTAGAATACTAAAGCCTTATTGTATGATTCCTTATTGTCTCTATGTAAATATTGGCTTAGAAGAAATTAATGAAAGCAGAAACTTTATATTTTTATGTAATAATGTACATACATTATTATGTATTATGTAATGAACGTATGTATGAATGTTTGTGTGTATGTATGAAAGTATGTATGTATGTAATGAAAGCAGAAGTTTACATAGTTTACTGCTTCTGTTGCAGTCTCTATCATATTTTATGAATATATACCAATTATCTCTTAACCTTGAATGAAATGTGGAATGGAAATGGGGCAATGTTTACATTGGGGGCAGTACTGATAAGTATTATTATTATTACTAAGGGAAAAAGAAAAATATTGGAAAAAATCTTTAGAAAGGGTTTTATTAATTGACAGCATGCAGCATATCCAAATACCTGTTTACTGGTTTAAAATGTGGAAAATAATCTGTTACATCTGAGTACTTTTTACTTAGATTTAAAATATAGTAAAACATCCTTAAATTATTAAGAGAATGAAATTGGGGGATTGGAGGAATGGGTTAAGTGTGGTGCTGGAGAAAACAGCAGTTTCTGGAGTGAGTAAGAGTTTCGGCAAGCCTAGCAACGTTGCCAGCCCAGTGATACCACAGGCTATATAGATTGAATAACAATATCTGGCATTTAACTAAGACAGAATTGGGTCCCAGGAGAAGAATATGAGAGATTGCTTATAATGAATCAAGGCAGACTACTCACATCAACACCTAATAAACAAAGTCAGGAACTGTAGACCAGGAAAAGTTGCTATGAGAGCTTTCTAAGATTACTGGAATGTATGCTATTTTTCTATGTTAGTTTTCTTTTCTTTAGTAATAAAATTCTTAAACCAAAGGCCTACCTGTTCATTCTTAGAATGTTTGAAAAAAAGAATAGCTAGAGAAAAATGTTGTATCTTATTGTCAGTATAGAAGAGAAGAAAAGCTAGCAGAAGACAACTCTGAGGAGGAACCCAGGCTGAAACTCTGAGGATTGCTGAGTGAGGAAAAGGGACCCTCAGGATCAGTCCAAGGACCAGACCCTGTCTGAGGATGTGACCAGAGGGGTTTAACTTGTGCCTTCCTGACTCTCGCTGTTTTCCCCCCTGCAGTGGCACTGTATTGGCTCTGTGTATGGTAGCCCGCTGTAGTGATTGTGCTCCTAGAGTAGAACTTTTGATACTTACAGATTGAATAGTTGTGGTCCAAACTGTTCCCAAGGTGCTCCTTGTTCAAAATGTCCACCATCCCTTAGCCAGTAACTCCTGTGGAGCTCTGTGTTAGTCATTATGCATCTGGATGTGTCCTTCCCAAATATCAGTGATCCAATCAGTCTGTTCCTGAATTTTGCTGTTTGCCTTTAGCATAGCTCTTTCCAGAATTATTTTATAAAAAGGCCAACATTTCTTTTAGTAGAACACTCTAAAACAGCAGAATTATTTAGCACAGTTTAAAAGTGATTTTATCTTTCCCATTAGTGATATTTTTTGTGGTTTTTCAAAAGTTACTTTTTGTAGCCAAAGGAGGCTTGTTAGACTCTTCACTCTTAACTATTTAAGTGGGTGTGGCAGATTTGAAACTGTAGTAATTCTCTATAAATGAGGGCATCACTAGTTCAAAACAGTTTTCTAATGATGAAATTTTTTAGATTAGCCACTAATTCTTAATATAATTAATGTAAAAGCTACAGTGTTTCTATTAATGGGAAAAATAAACTCAAGAACCATGTTGATACTGTTATTAATATGAACATTATAAATACCTGAAGGTACGTGCATATAATAAAACTGATAAATGTGAAAAAGTTCTCATAGCTCTCTCAAGATGACAACCACACAGTTTCTGGGTTCCATTCTGCTCAAAATGGGTTTTTATAAATTTATTTAAATGAATCATTGAATTAGTTCTTTTGTTTTTCTTTTTGTTTTTTATTAAGACAGATTCTTGCTCTGTCGTCCAGGCTGGAGTGCAGTGGCACAATCTCGGCTCACTGCAACCTCCACCTCCTGGATTCAAGTGATTCTCCTGCCTCAGCTTCCCGAGTAGCTGGGATTACAAGTGCCTGCCACCACGCCTGGCTAATTTTTGTATTATTAGTAGAGATGGGGTTTCACCATGTTGGCCAGGCTGGTCTTAAACTCCTGACCTCAGGTAATCTGTCCGCCTCAGCCTCCCAAAGTGCTGGGATTACAGGTGTGAGCCATCGCGCCCGGCCTGAATTTGGTTGCAATAATACAGAAATGCAAGCACACTGAGAAAAGATAATACATAACTAAGGCTAAAAATGAATGGTGTGATAGAACTTCACTTGCTTCCTGGCTGATTTCAGAGAACCTTATTTGCAGAGCACAGTTGGATCTATAAATATATTATGAATGTAAATTAAAATGACAGGAGATATTATCTCACCCCAGTTAAAATGGCTTTTATCCAAAAGACAGGCAATAACAAATGTTGATGAGGATGTGGAGAAAAGGGAACTCTTGTACACTGTTGGTGGGAATGTAAATTAATACTACCACTACCACTGTGGAGAACAGTTTGGAGGTCCCTCAAAAAAAAAAAAAAAATAGAGCTACCATATGATCCAGCAATCCCACTGCTAGGTATATATCCCAAAGAAAGGTAATTAGTATATTAAGGAGATATCTGCACTGCAGTGTTTATTGCAGCACTATTCACAACAGCTAAGATTTGGAAACAAACTAAGTGTCCATCAACAGACAAATGGGTAAAGAAGCTGTAGTATGTAATCACAACAGAGTACTATACAGCCATAAAAAAGAATGAGATCCTGTAATTTGCAACAACATGGATGGATTATGGAGGTCATTATGTTAAGGGAAATAAGCCAGGTGCAGAAAGACAAACTTTGCGTGTTGTCACTTACTTGTGGGAGCTAAAAATTAAAACAGTTGAACTCACGGAGATACAGAATAGAATGATGGTTACCAGAAACTGGTAGTGGTAGTGGGGGTGGAGGGGATGAGGGGATGGTTAATGGATACAAAAAAACCAGAAAGAATGAATAAAACCTAGTATTGATAACATGGTAATTATAATCAATAATAATTTAATTGTACATTTTTAAATAAAAGAGTATAACTGGATTATTTGTAGCACAAAAGATAAATGCTTGAGGAGATGGATACCCCATTTACCCTGATGTGATTATTACGCATTGTATGTCTGTATCAAACTATCTCATGTAACCAATAAATATATACAACTACCATGTACCCACAAAAATAAAAAAAAGATACTATGGTTCATATAAGTGAAAACTTGAAGAAAACTCTCATATGGGAAGAAACACTTTCTTCTCTTTATAGTTAGGGAAGTCAGTGCTTTCCTGTGAAGAGACTTTTACAGGATTTCAGTTCCTTGGATAAAAACTATCTAAAAATCCTCTCTGTTCAGAATAGGGGAGGATCATATCTCAGACTGGTGTAACATCTAGTAATTGAATATTTTAAAATTTTATATACTTAGAAATTCAATCTTTTATGAGTAGTAGAATTCTTAAGATAAGTGAGTATTAATAAATGAAAGAGGTGGTTAATGAAAAAGCCATCAGAGTATACATATAACAATATTAGAAACATGAAAGCCCAAGTATTACAAATGTTTTATGCAATACAAATTGTACTTTGTCCCAAGTAGTGAACCCTTAATTAATAATATTTGTCTGTATTGACATATATACAGTCTGAAAAACAATACTGGACTTATCTTGAGTGTTTAACAATATATAATAAATTGTTATACCACAATTTGGGGAAAGCTTTAAAATATATAATGGTTACTTATCTAAATCTCTGTTTATTTGTATTTGTTTTAGTTTATGATAGAAATAAAGAACTCTGCTGTATCTTGTATACCAACTGATTGGGTAAAGGTTGGAAGGTAGGTTTAAAATAAATTTTTTTCTTACAATGCATTATGATGACATCTGTATATCTATGTGCTACTGGGCTCATCGTAGCCACATTCTTGAAATTAAAAGCAATTCTTTTTACTTATTTTTTCTGATGGAACTTTTTTTTTTTTTGGAGGGGATGTAGTCTTGCTCTGTCACCCAGGCTGGAGTGTAGTGGTATGATCTCAGCTCACTGCAACCTCCGCCTCCCTGATTCAAGGGATTCTTGTGCCTCAGCCTCCCGAGTAGCTGGGACCACAGGAGTACACTACAACCCCCGGCTAATTTTTGTATTTTTAGTAGAGACGGGGTTTCACCCTGTTGGCCAGGCTGGTCTCAAACTCCTGACCTCAGGTGATTCACCCACTTCAGCCTCCCAAAGTGCTGGGATTACAGGCATGAGCCACTGTGCCCTGCCCTTTCTTATGGAACTTTTAACCAAGGAGATCATTACTTTTAACTCTTTATCATTGATTTTAAAACATTTTTCAAAAAGGTATCTTATTTTTACACATTTATTTTCTTGTTTTGTAAATTATTGCTTTATTTTTATAGCACAGGGTACACATGGAAGAAAAGTTGAGGAACCTTCAATTGTAAGATTAATTTAGTTGCTTTTACTTCATGGTGAATGCTATGCCTGACATTTCTTTTAAGAAGCTGCAATTTCATTTTCTACCTCACTGAGCTCCACATTTCTTTATTCTTAATGCCTTCCTTGGCACATAATTATTATAATTCTTTACATCTTTTTTTTTGTAACCCAGATCATGAATTGATGAAAATAAATTAATCAAAAACAAATTTAGAGAACCACATTGGGACTCTGCCTTTTCTCCTTGGTTAGATACTAATCTCCAGGAGAGGACTCATTTAAAGACAAGGTATTAGGGAAGTATATACAGCTGTGAATAGTATCTTTTGTGGAATATTTATTAGTACTGTTATCAATAAGTTGCACAAACATGAGATGAAAATGGTACATTTGCCTCAGATGGTAGAAGAGGGACCGTAGCTGGTAATAGTGTACAGACATTCTGTTTTAAGGATGAAGGGAAATTTTGACATAATGTGTGAATGATTGTTACTTTATTACATATATAATATATATAATACATATATACAAAAAATATAATACAAATATATATATATATATATTTTTTTTTTTTCTTTTTTTTAAGACAGAGTCTCTTTTCGTCAGCCAGGCTGGAGTGTAGTGGCGCAATCCCGGTCTACTGCAACCTCCGCCTCCCGGGTTCAAATGATTCTCCTGCCTCAGCCTCCCAAGTAGCTGGGATTACAGGCACCTGCCACCACAGACGGCTTTTTTTTGTATTTTAGTAGAGATGGCGTTTCGCCATTTGGCCAGGCTGGTCTCGAACTCAAGTGATCCACCTGCCTTGGCCTCCCAGTAATTTATTATTTTAACTTAAAAAGAGAATGTTTATTATCCATTGCCACATCATCAGATGTTGAAGGCACAGGCATGGATTTCTTTCATTCTAATACCATCTTTTTTTTTTTAATGCTACCAGAAGCTGTACTTTAGATTTGAGTATTGTTGATTCTAGGGGATGTTTTCTCTTTTTGCAGGCATTCTTTCCTTTATCTGTTTTTGTCCTGTACCACAGCTAATGAATGAAATATGCATTATGAAGAGAAATTACCAAAAACCATGTTAGTCTATCTACAACAATAACTGAAATATCTCCCTAAATGAGTTTTTCCAGAAGATAAAGCTTTGATAAATATGTTGGCCTAGAAGTCTAGATGATATAATTTTAAAGCAACAAGCAAGGCATAAATCAGTGACACCATCTTTCACATGTTCAGTAATGTAAATTGAATCAACAGATAAGATAGTTAGGGAAAGGTTCATTGCAGTTTATCTGTTTGGCCATAGGGTTTTGACAGAGATGAGTTAGAACATCAGGAGTCAGATTTTGAATGCAAAAGGCCCACCCCTAATCCAGCAACTTGGCAAATTAAAGTGCAACAGTGTATTACAAGAGTTGGGGAGCAAAAAAAGACCAGACACCTTGACCTTTTCTTCTTGAAGATTTATCATCATAATGACAGCATTAACAGCAGTGGCAACCGCCACCACCACCACCACCACAACCACAATACTTACAGGCGCTCTCCTAAGTTTTATTTGTTTGATCCTGTCAACAGTACCTATGAGGTAGATATTATTATCCCCGTTTCATAGATGAGAAAAGTGATATTTAGAGAAGGTCTGTTTCATTTGCCCCAAATCACATAGCTAGTAAGTAAGTGGCAGGACTGGAGCCTCGACCTGGCTTCTCTGACTGGGGACCCATGGCATCCCCTGTTGTGCTCTAGCTACTGAACAGAGAGCAGAGATGATACTCAAGCCCAGATGGGGAGCATGTGGTATTTCTTCCTATCCAGAGCCACTGTGAATCTGCACAGATCACAGTATCCTGAAGATCTTTCTTAATTGCCTCCTGACTTAATGCATTGCTTTCTTTGTAATGCTTTTTTATTTTTCTTTTTTCACTGAAATACTTCAATCATACAGAAAAGCCCATAAAACAAAGAATAATACAACCTTCACCAATGTATCTACCTCCCAGCTTTGTCTTATTTTCTTTTACCATATATGCTTCTGATCTTTTTTAAAGAGCATTTTCACTTAGTATAATTTAAAGAAAAAAGCTTTCTGCCTATGAAATAAAAGTTCTAAACTCTGACTTTGCTATATGGGTATAATTTGAAATGCATTTTAAAAGGCTTCCTGAGCAAAGTCATATTCTTTGGAATCAGTAGAGTTCAGGACCATAATTAAAGAATGTTCTTCTGTTTACAGCTGTTTACTTTCAAGGTTCATCAGAGAATAATAAATAACTAATTTTCTAAAGTGATGGCATTTCGGATTTTTTACTAACCTTGATTTCCTATTTGTGTTCTTTCCCCTCTTCTAGCACAAAAGCTGTGAGCCGCTTTCACTCTCCTTTTATTGTAGAAAATTACAGACATCTGAATCAGCTCCGGGAGCAGCTAGTCCTTGACTGCAGTGCTGAATGGCTTGATTTTCTAGAGTGAGTTTACAATGAAAAAATATAATCTGACTTTTTGCTATCAGAAACAGACTGGAAAAATCTTTCCATCAAAAAGAAAATAGAGATTACAGCTCATGACCCACCATAAAATAGTTGAGTACATGTGTTCTCTGATTTTATTTCTTTTTTTTTTTTTTTACTTTTTTTTTTTTGATACTGAGTCTTGCTTTGTCACCGAGGCTGGAGTGCAGTGGCACGATCTCGGCTCACTGCATCCTCCACCTCTCAGGTTCAAGCAATTCTTTGTGCCTCAGCCTCCTGAGTAGCTGGGATTACAGGCACCCACCACTACACCCAGCTAATTTTTGTATTTTTAGTAGAGACGGGATTTCGCCATGTTGGCCAGGCTGATGTTGTACTCCTGACCTCAAGTGATCCGCCTGCCTCAGCCTCCCAAAGTGCTGGGATTACAGGCTTGAACCACTGCACCCAGCCCGAAAGAAATTCTTAAAATCTACTGAAAGTTAAGATGACCCTCTATACACCCTTCACCTAGGTTCATCACATGTTAGCATTTGCCACATTTGCTTTTTATCTCTCATGTATTTTTTTTCCTGAAACATTTGGAAGTAAGTTTTAGGCATTGTAACACTTTACCCCTAAATACTTAAGCCTACGTCTTTAAAAATAAGGACATTCTACTATATAATCTTAACACCATTTATTATTACATCTAAAAAAAATTAACATTAATTTTTTTTTTTTTTTTTTGAGGTGGAGTCTCACTCTGTCACCCAGGCTGGAGTGCAGTGGCGCAATCTTGGCTCACTGCAAGCTCTGCCTCCCGAGTTCTCCCACCTCAGTCATTCTCCCACCTCAGCCTCCTGAGTAGCTGGGACTACAGGCGCACACCGCCACGCCCTGCTAATTTTTTTTTTTTGTATTTTTAATAGAGACGGGGTTTCACCGTGTTAGCCAAGATTATCTCAATCTCCTGACCTTGTGATGCGCCCTCCTCGGCCTCCCAAAGTGCTGGGATTACAGGCATGAGCCACTGTGCCGGCCAAAAAATTAACATTAATTTATGAATATATTTGAATTTCTTGAATTTTCCCAATGTCCCCCCGCCACCGGCTTTAGATTTTAAAATGAAAGACCTAATCAACTTTTACATGTTGCATTTGGTAATTATGCTTCTTTAGTCTGTTTGAACCTAGAATTATCTGCCACGTTTTTTGTTATTTTACCATGGTATTTTTTGAAGAGTCCTTGCCATTGTCTCAAAGAATGCCTTATATTCTGGATTTATTGATAGTCATGTGTTCATATTGGCAGTTTTAAGTCATGGCATGCTGGCCAATGTTTAACAGCCAGCTCTTTGGAAGGACAGTCATGTTTGTAGAGTTTGCTGATTTCTGTAGTGTAAACACTCCCACCAGGGCTGATGTCAAGCTACCACTGGACTGGAGTTGGGAAGAGATGTACACAGTTGATTTTCATGAGTCCATAGGAACCAGCTCTAGACCACCACTGGTCTGAGTACTTTATATATAAACTCAGTATTTTTCACGTGACCCCTGTAAGGCTAAGTATCATACCCAACTTACAAATGAATAAAGTGAGATGCAGAAATAAGAAGTTAATCTTCCAAGGGTAAGGGTTGGAGCCCAGATTCAGCCCCAGCCATCCGGCAGCCAGATGTCTGGCCTTTGCCAGCCTGCCCATGGTGAGCCTGCAGGCATCAGTCTAAATACATCTGTTAGTCTCTCACTTTAAAACCATAAACAGGCCAGGCGCAGTGGCTCACACCTGTAATCCCAGCAGTTTGGGAGGCTGAGGTGGGCAGATCACTTGAGGCCAAGAATTCAAGACCAGCCTGGCCAAGATGGTGAAACCCTGTTTCTACTAAAAATACAAAAATTAGCCGGGTGTGGTGGCATGTACCTGTAATCCCACGTAACTCAGTAAGCTAATGCACGAGAATCACTTGAACCGGGGAGGCGGAGGTTGCAGTGAGCCGAGATTGCGCCTCTGCACTCCAGCCTGGGCAACAGAGCGTGACTGTCTCAAATAAATAAATAAAACCTTAAACAGTAAAAATTCAGTGACGTCCTTCAGGGAGCTTTATTGTATTTCAAGTAATCAACCCGACAAATGAAAAAAACTAAAAACAAAAAAGATATGTGAGAATTTTTACAAGCTAGTAAGTTGGTATCAGTCTTTTGCCCTGAGGAGTCTTGAATTGTAAGACCAGGAAGAGATTCCAATTTACTTAAATCTTTTGAGACTAGCTTGACTCAGAGTCTTGAATGGAGGGATGGAAATTTTGTCTATTCAGTTTCTTTTCTATTTCACTTTTAATTTTCTATTTTAAGGGTTTTCAGGGCCTTTGAGTGTTTCAGTTGTCCTGGCTTTTTCCTTAGTATTACCACTGAGAATGTGAAAACTGAACTAAAATTACACCTTTCAGTCTTCAAGGACTCACATTCTAGAAGGGTCCTGGGATTTGGTGAGGTAATTTCATGTTCATTCTATTCAGACCTTACATAATTTCATAGATCTGGCTTCTATTCTCTTGTCATTATTCCAGACTAAAGAAAGTTGAGGTCTCCCAGGCTAATCATCCTGGTGTTATTCTTGATTCTTTCTTCCTTTTGGTCCCTTTATCTGTTACCAAGTTCTTTTTTTTTTTTTTTTCCTCGCTCTGCCACCCAGGCTGGAGTGCAGTGATACAATCATGACTCATTGCAATCTCTACCTCCCCAGCTCAAGCAATCCTTCCACCTCAGCCCCCTAGTAGCTGGGACCACAGGCATGCAGTGCCACACCTGGCTAATTTTTAAGTGTTTTTGTAGAGACAGGGTTTCTCTATGTTCCCCAGCATAATCTTGAACTCCTGGGCTATGTCCAACCTGTTATCAAATTTCTGATTGTCTTTTTCCCCCTTTGAGGTGTTTCTTTGATTTGTCCCTTCTTCTGTTGTCTTCTAACAGCCCATTATTACCTCAAACCATTCTTACTGTATTGGCCTTCTGACTGGGCCTTCTACTAGGTTGACCCAGGAGTTTTTATTATATTATCCCTAGGCTGTAATTGAGAGTTGCGAAGAGTGAGCTAACAGTAAATATAACATCATAGAAGCATATGATACTCTAATTACTAAGTGAAGAAAATCATGTAAAGTAAAAGTATGATACAGTTTTATATGTGTATATTTACATAATGCACAGCATACAGACTTTTATATTTTTAAAGATTATATATGCTTATTATTGTATTACTAATATGCTTATTGGCCATGTGTATATCTTTGGAGAAATATCTATTCCTATATACATATGAACATACATACATATATATATGTATATGTAGACTCAAAATGTTAACTGATTATTTCTGGATGGTGAGGTTACTGGTGATTTTAATTTCTTTACTTTGCAAATGCAGTTGGCTCTTGATATCTGTGGGTTCTGCATCCATGGATTTAACCAACTGCAGATTGAAAATATTCAAGGAATGAAAAGGATGGTAGCATCTATACTGAACACATACAGGCTTTTTTTTTCCCCTTGTTATTATTTCTGAAACAGTACAGTATAACTGCTATTTATTTATAGCATTTACATTGTATTATGTGTTATAAGTAATCTAGAGATATTTAAAGTCTATGGGAGGATGTACATAGGTTATATACAAGTACTTTACCATTTTATGTAAGGGATTTGAGCATGTTGGATTTTAGCATCTGCAGGGGGTCCTAGAACCAATCCCCTATGGATACTGAGGGATGACTGAGCATGATTTCAGAAGTTCCTATAATGTACATATATTACTTTCAGAATAAGAAAAGTGTATTAAAGTTTTTATCCAGAAAAAGAATATTGGCTGAAATTTAGCTAGAGCATTTTGCAACTAGAGCCCCCACTTGAGAGCAGCATTGATTGTTATGTACACTATTTATTGAGGTACCAGATGGTGTGACTATGATATCATTAAAAAAATGATTAACCTCAATGAACCTGACATCAGAGGATTGAATACCAGCATTACAAATGTATTTGTCACTTACTGAGGTACTAACTGTTGTGCATTAGTCACATTACTTTTGATCAAAATGTTGTCAGAAATTAAGGCTGTAGACACTGCTGTGGATTAAATCCTCCCTTGAAACATGTCTCTCTTTTTTTTGTTCTAGAAGATGGACTGTGTATATTCAGTAATCTTCTCAATTGCAAATTATTTAAAAATTGAATTATATCATAAAAAATTATAGAAATTCATTTGCAAATATTTTCAATTTTTATTAACTTCAGATATCATTGAGCAACACTTCATGGTAAACTTCTCTAGTCATCATAACACTATAACAGCTTTAGAACCAAAGTGTCTTCATCTGCTTCCTATGGACCCAGCAATATCTTTTGGCCAGAGGTTAAATCATAGTGCCTTGACTTCATCCTTAAGTTGGTTGGTAGCATAGTGATAAAATTGCTTGTTGTTATGCTATAAACCCAGTCTACCAGATTGTTATCTGCATTGACCATTTTTCAGCTTACCATTTTTCTAAGTATGGATAATCTCTTTGAAGTTTGGCAAAGTGTATCAAATGGACAAAGACCAAGATGTCAAACAAGCCTTCTTTAAGAGTTATGATGTTATAGGTTTATGATAGTTTTTCATTTTATTCATGTCTTATTTATACCATTGACATCAGAAAGAGCATTGTTGTTCATATCAAAATAATTACTTATCCCTTCTTGCTTTTTTGTTGTTTTAACTGAAATGGGACCCACTAAGAGCTGTGTTAACTCATTTCCATCTTAAGAATTAGATCATCAGAGATAGCTACCCTCAAGTCAAGCTGCTGAGTAGTAGCAAATTAGAGTCTTGAGGACCTGGGCAGGACCTGAGAAGGAAGGAAAGAGTGAGAAAAAAATTGACCATTTGTTACTGCTAAAGCTTTGATACTCATGTCCAGAGAGGCAAGGGCAGAAATACCAAATATGGCTGCTTTCTGGCAAAAGAGAGGGTGCCTAGATAGGAGGACCGGATGGGTCAGTAATTAGAACAAAGACAGCATACGCCACAGTGCAAGAGGGCAACAAGTGGTCAGATCTAAAGTCAGAGCCATGGCTGACGCAGTGGCTCATGCCTGTAATCCCAGCACTTTCGGAGACTGAGACAGGTGGACTGCTTGAGGCCAGGAATTCGAGACTAGCCTGGCCAACATGGGGAAACCCCGTCTCTACTAAAAGTACAAAAATTTGCTGGGTGTGGTGGTGCATGCCTATAATCCCAGCTACTCTGGAGGCTGAGGCAGGAGAATCGCTGGAATCTGGGAGGCGGAGGTTGCAGTGAGCTGAGATCATGCCACTACACTCCAGCCTCGGCGAAAGAGCGAGACTACTACGTCGCAAAAAAAAAAAAAAAAAAAAAAAAAAAGGGAAATAAATAAATAAATAAATAAAGTCGAAGCCAGAGCAGGAATAACAAGGCAAAGTCAGTGGGCACCCACTCGGGTTTAGGGTGACTCTTAACTCTAAACACCCAGGGCAGTTAGGTCAATGCAACATGTGGCATCTTCAAAACTAGAGAGCATTTTATTTTGTTTTATTTTATTAAATGTTTGTGGGTATATAGTAGGTGTATATATTTATGGGGTACGTGAGATATTTTGATACAGGCATGCAATGTGAAATAAGCATATCACGGAGAATGGGGTATCCATGCCCTCAAGCAGTTATCCTTAGAGTTACAAACAATCCAATTACACTCTTTAAGCCACTCCAAAATACACAATTAAGCTATTGACTATAGTAATCCTATTGTGCTATCAAATAGTAGGTCTTATTCATTCTTTCTATTTTTTTGGACCCATTAGCCATCCCCACTTCCCTCCACATTTTAAAGTGGTGACTGAGGGCTGCCTGTCTGATGCTAGGGGCCTGTCCGTTTTGTGTTTGTGGTTTTGCACAGATTCTAACACTGTTGGTGGGAATCGTATTATTTGTTTTGATGAACTTTAATTCAGTGAGAAATAGATAAGTTATATTCATTATGTTCTATCTACTCAGTAAATAAGTATACAGTATACTGTGAATATATTTTTCGGTTCACAAAAAACAGAAATAAAGCTGGATAGTTAAAATGTTGTTTCTAGTATCTGGAAAAAGTCATTTATGTACAATACCTTATTCTAATAATACTAGAAATATCAGAAGTTACAGTTTTAAAAAGTCATAATGATTATATAGGAATAGTCCATCATTCTAGTAGTGTAATCTGGATATCTTTTTCAAGCTAGGAAGCACTGTAGAAATCTTTGGATTTCAGTAGTAAACAGACTGTCTCAACATTTCTGAAACCCACACTACAATAGAGAAATGTTTTTAAAGAGAGGCATTTATTGTCCGTTTGTTGTCTTTTTCACGTTTTTGGATCATCTTTAAAAGGTCGTACAGAATATCTGAGCTACACTATTTTTTAAATGTAGAAAGTAGGCACCTTCTGATCCGTGGTCAGACGCGTTACCCATTGCGCTACTGGCCACATGAAAAAATGCTCACCATCACTGGCCATCAGAGAAATGCAAATCAAAACCACAATGAGATACCATCTCACACCAGTTAGAATGGCAATCATTAAAAAGTCAGGAAACAACAGGTGCTGGAGAGGATGTGGAGAAATAGGAACACTTTTACACTGTTGGTGGGACTGTAACCTAGTTCAACCATTGTGGAAGTCAGTGTGGCGATTCCTCAGGGATCTAGAACTAGAAATACCATTTGACCCAGCCATCCCATTACTGGGTATATACCCATGACCCAGCCATCCCATTACTGGGTATATACCCAAAGGACTATAAATCATGCTGCTATAAAGACACATGCACACGTATGTTTATTGCGGCATTATTCACAATAGCAAAGACTTGGAACCAACCCAAATGTCCAAGAATGATAGACTGGATTAAGAAAATGTGGCACATATACACCATGGAATACTATGCAGCCATAAAAAATGATGAGTTCATGTCCTTTGTAGGGACATGGATGAAATTGGAAATCATCCTTCTCAGTAAACTATCACAAGAACAAAAAACCAAACACCACATGTTCTTACTCACAGGTGGGAATTGAACAATGAGAACACATGGACACAGGAAGGGGAACATCACACTCTGGGGACTGTTGTGGGGTGGGGGGAAGGGGGGAGGGATAACATTGGGAGATATACCTAACGCTAGATGACGAGTTAGTGGGTGCAGCACACCAGCATGGCACATGTATACATATGTAACTAACCTGCACATTGTGCACATGTACCCTAAAACTTAAAGTATAATAATAATTAATTAATTAATTAAAAAATAAATTAAAAAAAAGTAGGCACCTTATTTCTATTTTATTTCTATGTATGCACAAAAATAAGGCAAGATGCTAGTAGGAGTCTGTAAAATTGCACTGTGAAGTAGGGTGATAGGAAGAGCACAGTTTGAGTCTAGGCTCAATTGCTTTAGGCTAACTGCTTTTTCTCTCTGAACTTCATTTGTAAAACTTAGGTAATGAAGACCTACCTTTATGGTTGTTGTAAAGAATATGTAGTGGCTTCTTCGTAGTCTTTGATTAGTAAATGTTTGTTTTCCTTTCAGCTTTCCTTTTGGACCTATTTACAGTTAGTTTATTACATTTTCTCATTTTCCAGTCTTTGAAGAATTTGTGACTTATCACCACCTACTTAAACATTTTTTGTGCCTCTTAATCTCTCTTGGAGGCAGAGTAGTTACTATAAAGATTTAAGCTCAGCTATATATTTCCTGTTACTTAAAAAGATACTTTATACTTGGCCATTCTTAAAAATTAAGTTTTGGGTCCTTTTTGTAGTTTAATTATGTACACTTCACACATCCACAATTGATCACTACATACAGATGTCCACAATTTATACGACACTACACACATTGACATAAAATACTATGATATGAGATAATGGGATAATTTAAGAAAAAAGAAAAAAGTATTCATGTATGTTTTCTGAATAAGTTTTTCATTAAAAGCCATTTAGGCTTTTAGATCAATAAATATTATAGTTTTAAGTAGCCAGAGACTTGAGGCAATGACCATTATCTTTTAAAAAACAAATCTGAAATTTAGTTTTTATATGCATTATTAATAAGATAACTGAAGATAAGTGAAAAAAGTACCTTTTCCCCTTGTCTTCAATAAATATTTATTACAGTGTTTATTTTATGCCAACATTATAAACTAGATGTTAGGTCTACAATGGGGTTAATGAGATGAGATAGACAACCTGCTTTCAAGAAGCTTCCAGTTTAGTGTGAGAGAAAGGTGTTGAAACTGTTATTCCGGATTTGGAGGATGCTGTGAAGGAGAAGCACAAGGGAAGCTGATCCACATGAATATTTCATGATGTTATTGAAGCAAAATGAAAATGACTGCTATATTTATGTTATATCTTAAGTTCAAATGTCAGGGTCAGATGAAATCTGTGATATATTCTTAATGGTTGATATCTTTACATAGAAGTTGTTTTAAATTTATATACAAAACAGAAGCCTCAATAATTTAGTTATTATATTAAAAAGTAAAGCTGTTTGGTGTAATCTCCATCTCTCTTAACTGTTAGGAATGCCTGCTGATCATCTGTATGCTTACACTAGCTGATAAAGTGATTGCTTGTTGTAGAGCTATTATAGGTTTAAGATATCAGTTTGCTCACCTTTTTGTTGTTGCTGCTGCTTCCGTAGGAAATTCAGTGAACATTATCACTCCTTGTGTAAAGCAGTGCATCACCTAGCAACTGTTGACTGCATTTTCTCCCTGGCCAAGGTCGCTAAGCAAGGAGATTACTGCAGGTAAGATATTTTTCATTTTCCTCTTTATCAGTGCTTTAGATAAGATGACATTATTCAATTAATTATAGTGTCTTTATTATAAAATATTACAGTTACTCAAATGTGTTAGACTCTTGGGAAAGCTGAATGTCATACATATGTAGCTTGATTTGAAAATTAAATTCATTTCTTGCTTCCTCTGTCACTGAGTACAATGAAAGCAGATGTTAAAGTTTATGTGGGTGACATTTTTATAAAGTTTCAGCACTCTTTTCATTTGTTAGCTTTTACTTGAACACTTTTATAATTATAAAAGTTTGATTAGGCAAGAAAAGACTGAGAAGATAGGGACTGAGGGGCATTTTAGTGATCTGTTCCTTTTGTTAAGAGCCCATATTCATCCCACTATTCTTTATTGACCTCTAAACATCCCAACATGGAATATTTATTCTCTTTTTCATAAAGGATGTTAGCACAAACAAATCTAACTTTAAAATTCAGATGGCTGGGCGCATGGCTCACGCCTCTAATCCCAGCACTTTGGGAGGCTGAGGCAGGCAGATCACGAGGTTAAGGCATCGAGACCATCCTGGCTAACACAGTGAAATCCCATCTCTACTAAAAATACAAAAAAAATTAGCCGGGTGTGGTATCACGTGCCTGTAATCCCAGCTACTCAGAAAGCTGAGGTGGGAGAATTGCTTGAACCCAGGAGGTGGAGGTTGCAGTGAGCCAAGATCGTGCCACTGCACTCCATCCAGCCTGGGCAAGAGAGTGAGACTCTGTCTCAAAAAAAAAAATTTTTTTTCAGACAAAACTTTCATACAAGTTGTATGTCTTCCAAAGCTTGATTTTATATATACTTAAGAAAAAGTAAGACTAGGCTTGGTGGCTCATGCCTGTAATCCCAGCATTTTGGGAGGCTGAGGCAGGAACATCTCTTGAAACCAGGATTTTGAGACCAGCCTGGGCAACATATTGAGACCCTATCTCTACAAAAATTAAAAAATTAGCTGGGCGTGGTGGTGCACACCTGTAGTTCCAGCTGCTTGGGACACTGAGGATTGCTTGAGCTCAGAAGTTTGAGGCTGCAGTGAGCCATGATAGTGCCCATGCACTCCAGCCTGGGTGACAGAGCAAGAGCCTGTCTCAAAAAAAAAAAAAAAGAGAGATAGAATTTAAAAAATACAAAATTAAATAAAGTTGTTCAAGTTCAAATGTTTTATTCTTTCCAGGAGGCATCTAGATTATTCCCTTCACTGCCATAGGTGTCATCAGTATGCTTTCTTGCTATGCGTGTTCTATCCTAGTGTATCCTCCCAGCTCTGTGAGTTATCCTTTGCATCCTATTCTGCCAGGAAGCGTTTTGTCATTATATAATTTTGATAGCAACAGAATAAGTCGATGTAAATTTTAGTGCAGAAAAAATCACTTAAAATTTTGTTCCAAAGTGAAAATCTTCCTGGTAAATCATATCAGTGTCATGAATATTATATAATGATTTCACTTGGCAGAGCACCTAGGATTTTATTTTAAAATTAATGTCACAAATACTTTCATTTTTTTCTTTTACAATGAATTTGTAACCCACCTAGACAAAAAATCTTGTCTTCAGAATTACACTCTAAAATCCAAAAACTATCCTTTTTTCATAATTTTAAGTGTCTCTCTCCAACAGATGATTTCAAAGTATTTACTCAGAAGACACTGTAGTCACTTTTTTTTTTTTTTTTTCCTGAGACAGAGTCTCACTCTGTGGCCCAGGCTGGAGTGCAATGGTGCGATCTCGGCTCACTGCAACCTCTGCCTCCCAGGTTCAAGGGATTCTCCTGCCTCAGCCCCCTGAGTAGCTGAGATTACAGGCGTGTGCCACCACGCCTGGCTAATTTTCATATTTTTGGTAGAGATGGGGTTTTACCATGTTGGCCAGGCTGGTCTTGAACTCCTGGCTTCAAGCAATCCACCTGCCTTGGCCTTCCAAAGTGCTGGAATTATAGACGTGAGCCATAGCGCCTGTCCTGTAGTCACTTTCTTTGCAAAATGTGAGAGCATCTGGGATTTTATTAGCCAGATATATTTAAGAAGAATAATTTAGGAAAGTAGTATTTATTGGTGTTATGAGTAAGTTCAGAAATGTGGTTACACATGAAAGTTCTGAGTCAAAGAACTATAGGAGGTCATTGGTAGGATATTATGCTTTTGAAAAAAGACCAATGAATCACCAAGAAACTGATGAAAAGATGTTCAATCTTAGTAATCAGTGAGTGCAAATTAAAACAATGGGATAACGCTGTTTACCTGTTATGTTGACAAACATTAGAAAGTTTAATAATACCAACTTTAAGTGAGGGTATGAGAAAACAAGTTAACTTTCATATCCTGCTTGTAGGAAAGTAGATTGGTATATCTACTCTTGTCTATTAAAATAAAAAATAAGCATACTCTGTGACTTAGGAATCCCACTTTAAAAATTTACTCTAGCTTTGGGAAACACTTGGACTTGTACACGTGGAGATGTGTATAGGATTGTTCATTGCATCATCGTTTATAAGTAAGAATTTGGATGCAATCTAAATGTTTAACAGTGGAAAATGTGTAGCAGCTTTGAAAATCTGACAAGAAGTGATCTTCAGTATACTCTACTGTAAGGGCCTATTGAACCTAATTTCAGTTTCTTAAAGGCCATCTAAAGAACAAAGACGAAGTTTACTTTTTTTCCTTTAAAAAGGAGAGTAAAACTTACTCTGTCTTACACTTACCATGTGGGTTTATTGGATTGTTTTATAAATGTAAGATGCATTTTGGGATCTTTAGTGATCTTATTTTTTCTGTATCTTGGAACATTTTGTTATTTCTTCATCCTGAGTATTGTTTTAACATTGTTTATCATTTGTTTCAACTATAATATAAAAGTCTAAAATGAAAAGAAAATGAGAGAATGATGATGCAGAAGTGAGGGGAGAAATCACTATCACGTCATCCTTCTGTTTTCTTCTTGTATTGCCCGCATTACATCATCTTCCAAGAAGGTATAAAAGAAGAGTGCAGATGCCACAGTTGGAGTCTGCTTCTAATTTTCATTGAACACAGTTGAAAATTCAGAATTTTTCGTTGTTCACCCGTAAAGGCAAAGAGAACAAAATTGACAGAAGGCCTTTCATAATTATTAGCTTAATCAGATGATGAATGTGAAGAGAAAAAAACCAGTGCCCTGCATATTCATGGTGATGGTGAAATTTCATGTATCAGCAAAATCTGAGATTCTGAATGCTCAGAAAATATCCTAGGTGAATTTTCTCAAACTCAAAAGTTGGTATGTGAATAATATATTTGTAAGGGCAAAATGAACTCTGTTATTCTCGTCCAGTTAGTCATTCAATAGGAAACATTCATCATGTAATATTTGGTGACAAGAACCTGGACTGTCCTGTTTTGCTGAAAGATGTGATAGTATTCTTCTATCTTTTATAATATTTATTCACTAAAATTTACTTGATACAATTTATAGGTTACAATTTATAGACAGACAGGAGATTGAAAGGATATAGATGATGTAGAAATAAAGGTACTCATTTGATTATTCTAATTGGTGTTGATAAGTCAAAAAATGAAAATATTTTGCAATTATGGAGCAAAGATGACCATCTCTTTAAGAAAATTATGAGCTTTAAAAGATTTCAAAAACTTCTTCAAGTATTTGCATTTTTGTTGATACAAATGTGAAAAGAATCAGAAATAATCAGCTCTAGAACCTATTAGAAATGTATTGAAATTTGGAATTTAGTATTTATGAATGAATATGTTCTAGATGCATGCTTGACGGCTGATGAGCAATGACATTCAGAATGTCTTACCCATTTCAGATATATATGCCTTGAAAACCAGGAGAATATGGAATAAAACTTTTGAGATTTGCTGTGTTTAAATTCTTATTAAAATTTGTCATGAGGTTGATTTTTTTTACTATCCCCTTATTCTCATTTCTGTAAAATTATTTGTGAAATGACTTTAAAGGAATATATTAAATCCAGATAGTAAATGGTGAAATCTATTTTTTGTGTGTGTACTGAGAGTTAAAATAAACTTTGAATTTTTTAAGTTACAGAATGATAGATTACAGTATGACTTTTCCAAAGAAATCACAACGAGTGTGATGCATACATAAACATAAATGCACAGAAGAAGGTTGGAAAGGGTAGACACCAAGCTGGTCTCAGTAGTAACATCTGGGAAGGAGAGCTGAGAGTAGGGCAGGGCTCAGAGGTGCTTGAATACACAGCTAAAGCTGTAGATAAAACAGATATAGAGGTCTTTAAAAAGCATAAAGAACATCAAGGTCAAAAAATGATTCTTGTATCAAAGTAAAAGATACAAAAGACCGTAGAAAGATGTTTTAATTGAACAGCGTATGAAAATTTTAGGTCATTTCATTTCCAAGTCCAACACATAGTTTATATTAATAATTACATCTAGAAATAATTTTATGTGATTTACTTTATTGTATTCATTAATGAAAATAAGTAGCAATAATCTGAACTGTTATCTTTACTAATGAAAATATTGGTTTGATCTCAGACAACAATAGAAAAATGAAGAATAAAGCCCAGCATGGTGACATGCACCTATAGTCCCAGCCTCCTCAAGAAGCTGAGGCAAGAGGATCACTTGAGCCTAGGAGCTTGAGGCTGTAGTGTGCTATGATTGTGTCTGTGAATAGTCACTGCACTGCAGCCTGGGCAGCACACTGAGACCCTATCTCTTAAAAAAAAAAAAAGAAAGAAAAGAAAAAAAAGATCTTGTAAAGGTAAACTACAAGGGTGAAGCCATTTATAAGACTCTTCTAAAGTATGTGCTTCAGTGCACTATTATAATAATAAATGTTTTCCCAATTTTGATCTTATAGTTCAAATTTAACTTTTATACTCAAGGTTTTATTCTGGACATATGTTCTTAAAATCTATGTTTAAAGTTTTGTTTTCTGTCGTACAAACAGAGTACTGAAATTTTTCATGCTATCTTAGAGTTTTTTTTTTAAGGCTATTTCCATGCCTAGTAAATTGAAACATATTTCTTTTTTGCAGACCAACTGTACAAGAAGAAAGAAAAATTGTAATAAAAAATGGAAGGCACCCTGTGATTGATGTGTTGCTGGGAGAACAGGATCAATATGTCCCAAATAATACAGATTTATCAGTAAGTACCTTATGCCAAAAAATAAGTCGATGATAACATCCCAAACTTTTACATACCAAAGAAACATTTTTATAATTAAAAGTTACCCAAATTTCAACTTTGGCTTTAAATGGGCTAAGCCTGGACATAGTTTTATATTTACCACGAAATGTGGAATTGGTGCTATTTCCAATGCAAGATTATCAATAGGTTTAGTAACTAAAAGTTTAGTTCTAATTAGTTATCCTAGGTAACCCAATAAAAATATTTTACATTTGTAAATACCCAATATGCAAATAGAGTTGGAATTATACCATAGTTTTGCAAATTCATGTTAGCATGTAGTGTTCCATCCTTTGTACTGTGACTATTTTCAGATATTCTATGCAAGAATCAGAGATGCCTTTGCAGATTCCAGTGATGAGAATTTTCATTATAGGGGCTGGATTTCTCTTACATAACACAAATGATCCTGAATACTTAATTTACTTAACACATACTTACTGAGTGCCTGTGTCTCAGGTAATGAAGTATTAGGAACAGAGACTAGTAAGCAAGACAGAACTCTTCCCTGCCCTCACAGAGCTTGTTGTATAGCAGAGAAGATAGGCTAGTGCAATACAGCTTAGTGCATGGCATGATAGAGGAGACCAGGATGGCCTGGGGATAGGTAGCAGGTTGGCCTAACCCAAGGGCAGGGAAGCATTGAGGAATGTTCCCCAGGGAGGAGATACCAACTGAAGAATGAGTCAGTGCAGGCCAAGGTATTGAAGGGGAGTATTCCAGGTAGAAGAACCAGCATGGCAGATATTGGAAGTGAAGCATAGCAGGAGGAATTCGAGGAACTGAAAGATGATGAGTAAGGTTGGAGTGCAGAGTGTGAACAAAGAAGTGTTCAGAGATAAGGAAGAGGCCAGTTCACTCATATCAAGAAATTTGCATTTTTACCCCTAAAAGATTAAGAATACTAGCAAGAGAGTGATAGAAGCTGGGTAAAAATAGTGAAGTTATGGCAGGGTGTTTGAGTTCCATTGTCAAAGCTAAATGGAGCTGGGCACTGAAGTGGTAAGGATTGATCTTATTCAGTAATACTCCTGCATAGGGAAGAGTCCAGTGTGAACTGAACTTGACTTCATTTTGGCATAGATGACTGGGTGTTTTAAAGGGAATACGAGGGAACAGGGAAAGGGAATGAGCTGGGGGAGGAGAGAGAGTGAGGTGTGGTTATTTGAAACCTATCTGGGTTTACTAATTGTTTGCTTATACCACATTTCAAAGAGTCAGCTCTCTGGTCCTTAAGAAGACAATTCTGGGTGATAGATTTACATCACAAAGGGGCAGAAAAAGTATTTATAATTGCAAGCTTTCTAAGGTAACTGTTCTAAGAAGGGCTTCAGCATCTGGCTGCCTGTCACCAAATTTTGGCTGGAATGGCGAATCCTGGCAGCACTGAGTTTTCTCAGGCAGATACTTTTAGTGGGGCTGGGGTCATCCTAAGGATGCAGCCTTGAGCTGTTAGAAACTATGCTAGTGGGGTAACTTCTAAGTAGGGAGGGTGGACAAAATCATTTTTACTCAAAGTCTCTAGGTTTTTATAGGTCAAAGTTGAGAACTAGTCCAGAAGAGGGCTCAGAGAAAAAACCTGATGAGAATTTGGTCAAGGACATGGGGTAAAACGGTATGGTGATGGGTCAAAAAATGAATATGTAGGGAGTAGTTATGTGAGAGAGAAGGTATCAGAGAATAAAATGCCTGACTTTCAGATATCAAATGTGCTGTTTTTCTGGTTGATGGCAAGATCTTATGTATGGCTATGGAAGGTGGGTAGCAGAAGGGAGAAGGTCTTTGGAGATGAAGAGATCAAGGAACAGAGTTTGGGAAAAAGTTGTCCATGTGAATGTTGAAATCTAAGATAACAGCAAGATATGCCATAGAGGAAAACAGGGATCCAGGTGTCTGAGATTGCGAGAAATGGCGATTGGGAATCCTGAAGTTTATAGATAGCTTAGATTGAGGACAGACAGTGGTAAAGCCCTAAAGAAGAGCTTCTGAACCCTGAACCCTGAGGTACATGGTCCATGGTTGGATGTGGCAGAAAGGTCAGCGCCCAAATGAGAGAGCTGCAGGGGAATAACAAACAGCCAGCCAGTTTTCATTTTAGTGTATGAAGGAAATGTTAAGCAAGGTGGTTAGAAACAGAAGTACTAAGGAACTCTTCTGAGGACAGTGAAAGAATTGAGATGTAGGGGAGCATTTGGAATGTAGATCAGAGAAAGCTCAGAGTAGTAGCGAGCTGGGACTGTAACAGAGTATTCTACCTCGGGCTGTGAGCAGAGGTGGCAGAGATGTGTGGCATGGTGCATTTGGCTGGCCATGAGAGGGGGATGTGAAGGGAAATACTTTGAATGACATCTAGTTTAATTTATAATATGGATTTTCATATCATAACAAGACTTGTTGGTAGTATATAATGCATGTCTTAGTCTGTTCAGGCTGCTGTAACAAAATATCATAGACTGAGTAGCTCATAAACAACAGAAATTTATTCCTCAGAGTTCTAGAGGCTGGAAAGTCCAAGATCAAGGTACCAGCAGATTCAGTTTCTGGTGAGGGCCTGTTTCCTGGTTCCTAGATGACACCTCACATGGTGGAATGGGTAAAGGGTCTCTTACTCATGTATTCACACAGTGGAAGGGATAAGGGGTCTCTCTCAGGCCCTCATGAACTTGTCATCTCCTGAAGGCCCCATCTTCTAATACCATTGCCTTGAGGGTTAGGATTTCAACATACAAATTTGGGAGAGAGACAAATATTCATACCATAGCAACCTAAGACCCAATGTCTATAAACTTGTTCATTCTTTTTTAGGAAATTTTTATATGTGGTAGTCAAACAAGTTAATAAGTACCAATCTTTTTATTGTCTTTAAAAAGAAGACTATGTCTTTGAGAGGCCGAGGCAGGAGGATTAGTTGAAGTCAGGAGGTCGAGACCAACCTGGCCAACATGGCAAAACCCTGTCTCTACTAAACATAAAAATTAGCTGGGCATGGTGGCGCCTCCCTATGATTCCAGCTACTCAGGAGGCTGAGGCAGGAGAATTGCTTGAACCCAGGAGGCCGCTGCACTCCAGCCTGAGCAACAGAGTGAGACTGTCTCAAAAAAAAAAAAAAGAAGACTATGTCAACATAAGAATTTTTTTTTTCAGTTCTCATAATACCAGTAGGATATAGCTTTTCTTGAGAAAGTAATATAAGTTAAATATAAACTAAGCAACTAAATATTAGAACTATAAGTTTCTTAAAATAATTTCCTGTTACTGTTTCCCTGCCCATCTACTTGACCTCAAGAATATTACCCTTGGGATTGACTTATTTCTTTTTTTCTTTCCTTTTTCATTCTTTTTCTTTCAAAACGTATGTTACACTTTAATAAAGCAAGATTTGAAGAACTAAAATAGCCTTCTGTCTAATTACAATAATGTTTTAAAGAAACATTGAACTCTTACATTTAAATCTTTACAAAGTAAATGGAGTAATTTTTTTTTCAAGCAGGCACCTCAGAATATTCCAGAATATTCGTTTCTATTACATATGCTTTTTCTAACTTGAGTAGGAGTTGATATAGAACTGTTGCTATGGTGAAGTGCATTCTATTTTTCAGGGTAAAAATTTATATATAGGGATAGTGTTGAGAAAGAACTTACGTAAAATTCAATTTAAAATATTTTATGGATGTTAATTATAAAATATACCCTGAAAATAATTTCAAAGTTAAATGACATTGTTGTTTTTGATAATCATGTGGTTTTAAGAACTGGTGCTTTGTACATGTAACTATAAGTATACTTTTCTGTATTCTGTATTACATGAACTTATTATAGTGCTTCTGAATAAGCCAACTTTCTGCCCGCTTTTCCTCTCCCAGTTTTAAGAATACTTTTTAAAATACTCTTTCTTTTTGTCCCCTTCCTTGATTCACTATATAATCCAAGCATTTATACATGTGGTCACCGCTGGAGCTCCCTCCTCCACCCTGCCCACCTCCATGGATTCTCTACTCTGCAGCCACAGGGCTTCTGGAACGTGCCATGCCACTCTCCCTTTTGAATTCATACTTCACACTCCAGCCAGATTGGACTTCATGCCGTTCCCAAGTCACTGTGCCTCTGGGACTTGGCAGATGGTTTTCCCTCTGCTTAGAATGTCATCTTTCCCCACCCCACCCACTCCCGCCTCACACACTCCAACATCCACCCACCCAACACCCACCCGACTCCCCAGCTCTGGCTTGTTCAAGTCTTGCCTTGGATGTCAGCTCTTGCACTCAGCCTTCCTTTGCCCAGCTGGGATGGGTAACCCTCTCACATACCCTCGCCACTCTATTTCTCCACATCTCAGTACTTATTCCACCAAATTATAATCATTCTTTTTTTATCTGCCTTTCCCAGTGGACTGTAAGCATGAAGAGAACAGGGACTACATCTCTGTCACCTATGTGTAATCCCAGGATCAGTCACAGTTCTCTGGCACATAGCTGGCACCTAATCAGATTTAATAAATCAGTAAGGATTAGCTAGAAGCCTTCAGCAGTCTCCAAGTCTCACTTGAAATTTTTGCCTTTTATTTTCTACACAAAATGTTTTTTTTCAGGATATTATATGGGGATTGCCCCAATTTACAGAATAATTTTACTGTCAAACTAAAAGGGAAATTTGGGATCTTTTAGTGTAACCACGTCTTCATACTTCTGAGTAAACTATGGTTCAGAAAGGGGAAATGATCTGCCAGAGGTTGCTCAGGTTGGGTCGTCTTGAACTGTTTCCCAAAACATAAACATATTTTAAGGCAAGCCAGTGCTTTCCAACCTTTTTCACTTTGCATCACACAGAAAATGATAGTATTTTAATGGAACACTGGATTAAAAGGAGAAGGAAGAGGTTGCTCAGAGGCCAAGGAGGCTGGCCCAGGGACTGTGGCCGCCCCAGCCCCACCCACCACCTGTGGGTTAAGGGGTCAGTATCTTGGCACCCCTGTCACCTTGTGAGGCAGCCCAGGACTGCTGCTTAGGGAAACCCCAGCGAACCCACTGCAATCTCAACTCTCCCAGGATTGTTTGTTAAACCAAATGACTCTTTTTTTTTTAGTGGATGGATTTTCAACAGCAGTTAAAGTCGGGGTTTTCAGTTCATTTGTAGGGTTTTTGTTTTTAGTATAAAAAATATAAATTTCAACTAATGGAGGGGAGGGGAAAGAGTGGTTGACAGCTTCTCAGTTTGTTGGGTGGGAAGAAAATGAGTCAAACGTGCACAACAGGAAGATTCCCAGGAAGCACTCGAACCCTGTAGCTCTCTAGCCCAAGCAGAATTCACAGCCCAGGTGTTTTATTGCTGGGGCAGGGTAGACATTGAGATGCTAGTCACAGTCCCTTCTTGTGAGATCAAGATGGGCCTAGGGTGCTTCAGTCATTAGCTCCGCATGTGGTATGGAATGGGTGCTCACACATTTGTTACATGAACAAGTGCTTGAAGCTGGTAAAGATGAACAGATTTCCCAATTCCTTCCCTTATCTCAGTACAAATAATGTCTAGCTGGCCCAGAAATACTTGCTTTGGCTGTATAAAAGTTTAAAAGACTAGTTACAGTAATATTCATAAGCTGTTGACAATTTGTGCCTAATTACCAAGTGGAACAGTAATAATACATACCATAAAATATGTCTGAGCTTTAAGCTTAATTTAATTCCATGGCTAAATTATATTCTCACAGATTCTGCTGTAAAGGTGTTTTTCACATAGCATGATCTTTGAATCATGAGCCCATGGATTAAAATTCTAGGAAACATTAATGGCAATTGAATATTGTTTTCTTGTCAGTCCTTTCCTCTGGTTCTCCTCTCTCCTGCTTCTGAAACAATGGATAGAGAAGGACATTTGTCTGATAAAGTGTTCTGACCTGCACTGCTGTCTCTGCCCAGAATGGCCCTCCCCTCTCTTCTTATCTCTTACCTGTCTGCATTGATTGGACTCACACTGTTCCTGCAGGACCCAACAAAACACTGCCTCTTCCTGAGAGCCTTCACCATCCTCTGGCCAGAAAAAATCCCTTTCTATTCAAGCACTTTCTTTGCTCTGTTTTTAAAGCTCTCACATACTACTTTTGTTACACAAGTGTAGTGGGAAAGTGGCTCACAATGGTAGGAGATTTAAATTAAAATCCTGCTCTGCTGTCATTTCACTCTCATTTTGGATAGACCACGATTACTTGCTGGGCCTTAGTTTCCTCATCTGTAAAAGGAGGTGGTTAAGCTGGGTCACAGCCAGCCCTCACACCCAGGGGAATGTAAATTGGGCAGGATCCAGGTGTTGGAGGGATTTAAGTCCTGACTTTGGCATCTCAACATGCAGCTGGTGCCGCTCTCCAGCTTCATTTTCCCTCTTTCTGTTTCTAGTTCACCTTGGGTTAAAAGTGCAAAGATTTGGCTGAGAGCTCGTCTGGAGGAGGCTTTGACTCAAGAGTCTCTTACCATAACCTGCTGTTGATTGACATTTTCGAGGAATAAAACACTTTGAAACTACCAAACTTTTTCAGCAGTCTGCAGCTGTTATAAAAATAGTTCTCCCATAATTCTTCTTTAAAGACAGTTGTCAATATTTATACCTGTCAAGGAAGATAGCACTTTTTTTTTTTTTTTTTTTTTTTTTTTTTTTTACAGAAAATTAGCTTTTCAGGTCTTAGAAATTAACATGTGACAGTTTTATTTTATTTTTTTTCTGCTGTACATCTGCTGACTTCAGGGATATTATGACTGTCCATTATTCTAGTGTACTCAATGATGAACACATGGAGTGAAAGCATGTCTTCTCCTATTTAGTAGTGACTATGATTCCCTGTCATTGAGCAAGCGTCCCCATTGAGACATGTCAGAGGATGAACTTCACTTAACATTCCAGTTCTGCGACTTAGTTGCTGGGAAAGATATTTAGCTTTAGGCCTCTGTTTCCTCACCTGTATAATGGGAATCCAGTAATATTAGTATTACCCTGTGACATTGTTGTAAGAACTAAATGAAGTGATACATAGAAAATCATTAGCACAGTGCCTGGCACTTGTTATCTGTGATTTTCTTAAGATATCTTGAAGTTTGTCTTTTATTTTTAGATCTTCTCTTCCCCCACAGAAGTTGACATTCTATGTGGAAGTTGCTTAGTTATCACAAGTTTTGACTCACTGTTTAGATACTGGATAAACAATACTAAGATCTTATTGATTGATGCTATTCAGACAGATATTGCCAATACTAAAGGGAACACTTAATAGAATGTACTTCTAGTCTCTTCATAGGTTTGCCAAGGCAGTCCTCTCTAGTTGTTATCCAGCAACATAGTCCCTTCAGCGCAATACTTCCAGCTTTTGTTTGCTATCATTAATTAATTCATTCATCCCCCTTTAGTTTCTTGAGAACTTGCTCTGTGTGTGGCCTCCTTAGGCTTGGTGCTAGCCCAGCTTTGGGCACTGTCTAGGCCAGTCTGGTATTCCCAGTAGGCTCCAGAGTGTGTGGAGAGGTGGTTATTGCCAACTTTCAGATTCTGGCTATTTGGTTAGAACATTCACTCATGCTAACTGGTCCTGCCGATAGATTTTATGTGTCTTTTATATCTGGGAACCCTTGATGTGTGCTGCCTCAAATACGCACGATCTTTCTAAAAGAGATTAGCACATTAGATGAGTGAAATTTCTTGACCATTTCCTTACTTATTGTGTCATCTTGGGAACCGTGGAAACAAGGGGGTCATATATTCTTGACAGATTTTTATAGAGAAAGCAAATGATTGTTTTTGAAATGTAAACATGGTGGAAATCTCTGCTGTAATGCCTTTTGTGTATTACATTCATCTCTTTGATCTATTTATTGGGTGCCTTCTTTGTGCCAAGCCTTGTTCTAGGCAACGGGGATGAACTAGAAGACACAATTCCTGCTCTCATGAGAACTTACTTTCTAGAAGTGAGATTGGTAATAAATAAGCAAGAAAATTCAGGTAATTTCAGAGAAGGTTGAAAACAAAATAAAATGGGCTGATGTGATAGAGAATCACAGAGCAGAGGGGCTTCTGTAGATTGGGTGGTCAAGGAAGGTGTGTCCTGGGAGTTGATGTTTGAGTGTAGACCTGTAGAAAGGCCTTAAGGCAGGAATGAGCATGTTGTATTCTGGCAGGTGGAAGGAGAGCAGAAATCAAGTCTGGCTAGCACCAAGTGAACATGGTGGAGGGTGGTAGAAGAATGGATCGGAGGCAGACATGGCCTTTAGACTGTGACCTTTAGACACTTAGAAGTGCTCTGAGGATCTGGATGAGGGCTTTTAGCAAAAAACAAGTTCTGTTTTACTTTTTATGACAGTCACTCTGGCTGCCCTATGGAGAGTGGATTGTGGGCAGAGGAGAAGCAGGAAGACCCAGCAGGAGCCACTGCAGTCACCTGCCTGGGCAGTGGCACTGGGCATGGAGACAGGAGGTTTTATTTACCTAGAGGACCTCCTGATTCTTCAGTCTTGTGTCTTTTTTCCTGCTGGTGTTTACTAGAGTGCCTGATGTACAACTTATCTCGTGCTGGCAGTCTCTTAGGGCTTACTAAGAAAGCCACCATGTTGTCACCTACAAATATTTGAGTTTAGTGGGTTGAACACATTTAACTTCTAAAGCCTTGAAGTTAGTTCTTCTTTGACATCCTCAAATCCTGGGGCAGGGGTGGTGGGGGCTGGAAAAAATCTGTCTCTACAACAGTATCCCCAAGTCTGCCCAGGTTCACCATGCACCACTTTTCCCAGGTACTTCATGCAAACGAATTCCACAACTTCTCATCTTCCAAGCAAATCTGGCACAGAGCTCTGGTGCCAATTTAATTCCTGCTCTTTCATTCCACCCAGGGCCACATATTCAAGCAATGTACCTGAATTTAGGATGAGAGATCTTATTTAATTCAACTCCCTGATTTTAGAGGGGAGGAAACTGAAGCCTAGAGAGGTGTATTGGCTTGTCCAGAGTCCACACTAGAAACCACCTTTCTTTTGTGGGCCAATTCTTTATTCATGTTTATACTTTTATTTTCACACTCTGTTATTTTCTTGCTTATCAAGGCTCTCATAGAAATTGACGCCACAGTGAAAATTTTTGTATAATACTTGACATAGTATGCATTCAATGAACAAATGGTTGTTAGTACTCTCATTGCTGTAGAATCCATTTACAAATAAGTGTTAGATTAAGATTTGAAATATAAAGAAAGGGAGGAAATTGCTCCTTAATTCCAAAGATAGCCACTGTTAACATTTTGGAATGTTTCCTTTGTCTTTCTTTGTAATTTTTTTTAAGAAATAGCCATTTTTTATATAAAAATTTTTATATCCTGCTCTTTTAGTTAATATTATAACATGAATATTTTCCTATATTCTTAAAAAGTCTTAAGATAACTTTTAATGGCTTCATGGTTTTCAACAATATGGATATACCATAATTGCCTTAATATTTTCTCTGTTGTATCTACTCTTTGCTGTCATGAATAATCCTGCCATGGTACCTCACAGAATTGATTCTTTAAAAAAACAAAACAAAAATTGGGGGCACATAGTAGGTGTGTATATTTATGGATTACATGAGATATTTTGATACAGACACCGAATGTGTAATAATGTTACCCTCACATGAGGGTAACTGGGGTATCCATCACCTCAGGCATTTATCCTTTCTTTATGTTACAAACAATCCAGTTATACTCTTAGTTATTTTTAAATGTACAATAAATTTTGTTGACTATAGTGACCATGTTGTCCTATCAAATACTAGATCTTATTCATTGTATGTAACTATATGTTTGTACCCAAGGACCATTCACCTTCTTCACCCCTACTACCCTTCCCAGCCTCTGGTAACCATCCTTCTGCTCTTTATCTCCATGAGTTTAATTGTTTTAATTTTCAGTTCCCACAAAGAAGTGAGAACATGCAAAGTTTATCACTTTGTGGCTGGCTTATTTCACTTAACATAATATCCTCCAGTTCCATCCATGTTGTTGCAAATGACAGGATCTTATTCTTTTTTTATGGCTGAATAGTACTCCATTGTGTAGTGTACCACATTTTCTTTGTCCATTCATCTGTTGATGGACACTTAGTTTGCTTCCAGATCTTGGCTATTGTGAATAGTGCTGCAATAAACATGGGAGTGCAGCTGTCTCTTCAATATACTGATTTCCTTTCTTTTGGGCATATATATATATACCTAGCAGTGGGATTGCTAGATCATGTGTTAGTTCTATTTTTACTTTTCTGAGGACCTTTAACTCTTATCCATAACAGTTGTACTAACTTACGTTCCTACCAGTAGTGTACAAGAGTTACCTTTTCTCCACATCCTCACCAACATTTGTTATTGCATGTCTTTTGAATATGTCATTTTGACTGGGGTGAGATGATATCTCATTGTAATTTCGATTTGCATTTCTCTGATGATCAATCATGTTGCACCTGTTCATATGCCTGTTGTTTGTATGCCTTCGTTTGAGAAATGTCTATTAAGATCTTTTGCCCATTTTTAAATTTTTTTTCAGTTTTTTTCCTGTTGAGTTCTTTGAGCTCCTTGTATAGTCTGGTTAGCGTTCCTTTATCAGATGGATGGTTTGCAAATATTTTCTCCCATTCTGTGGGTTGTCTCTTCACTTTGTTGATTGTTTCTTTTGCTGTGCAGATTTTTATTTAATAACTTGATGTGATCCCATTTGTCCATTTTTGCTTTCGTTGCCTGTGTTTGTGGGGTATTTCTCAAGAAGTTATTGCCCAGACCAGTGTTCTGAAGATTTTCCCCAATGTTTTCTTCTAGTAGTTTCATAGTTTGAGGTTTTAGATTTAAGTCTCTAATCCATTTTGATTTGATTTTTTTACAAGGTGAGAGGTAGGAGTCCAGTTTCATTCTTCTGCATATGGGGGTATTGAAGAGACTGTCTTTTCCCCAGCATATGTTCTTGGCACCTTTGTCAAAAATGAGTGCACTGTAGGTGTGTGAATTTGTTTCTGGGTTCTCTATTCTGTTTCATTGGTCTCTGTGTCTGTTTTTATGCCAGTACCATGCTGTTTTGGTTATATAGCTCTGTAGTATAACTTGAAGTCAGATAATGTGATTCCACCAGTTTTGTTCTTTTTGCTTAAGATGGCTTTGGCTATTCAGATCCTTTTGTGTTTCCATATAAATTTTAGGATTATTTTTTCTATTTCTGTGAAGAACGTCATTGGTCTTTTAATAGGGATTGCATTGAATCTACAGATTGCTTTAGTTACTATGGACACTTAAACAATATTTATTCTTCCAGTCCATGCATGTGGAATATCTTTCCCTTTTTGTGTGTCCTCTTTAATTTTTTGCATTAGTTTATGTAGAGCCCTGGGACCTTGAATGAACATAGGTTGTAGTCAGACAGTGGTCACCATGGGCCTTGGGTGAGACCCAGTGTTGTGATGGCTTCAGGTCTGACCCAGTGAGCATTGAAGAATTAGGTATTTATTGTAGCCTTCACAGTCTAGCTTGTTTGTACTTGTTCTTGGGAAGGCTTTCCAAGTATTCAAAGGGACTTGAGTGTTCTGATCTAAATCTGTGGTCACTGCAGCTATGTCTGCATTAGGGGGCACCCCAAGTCCAGTAATACTGTAGCTCTTGTAGACTCTTTGAGTTACCACCTTGGTGGTCTTGCATAATATTCTGGAAAATTCCCTGGATTTCTAGGCAGAGACTCTTGTTGTCCTCCTTTACTTTCCCCCAAACAAACGGAGCCTGTCTCTGCTGAGCCACCTAGAGCTGAGGGAGGGGTGACTCAAGCACCTCTGTGACCACCACCACTGGGACTGCACTGGGTCTGACCTGAAGCCAGCAGAATACTGGGTCTTACCCAAGGCCCGTGGTAACCACTGTCTGACTACCATCTATGTTCACTCAAGGTCCTAGGGTCTACAGTCAGCAGGTGGCAAATCCAGCCTGAAGGGCTATCATTGTTTATACCACCATGCCTGGCAATAGTGAATGATACTCTGGGAGGGAAGTAATTAATTTGACCTTAATGATATGTATATGATTAGGCAGCCTTGTTCTTTGTTAGCCTTCAACAATAGGGATCTTTTTGGTCACTGTCACAGGAGTGAAGACAGAATGACTTACCTTGTAATGTTTGTTTTCTGATACATTGGGCCAAAAGACCCACAGGAATCCACCCGTCATCTCCAGAAAGTGAAGTTTTTATTTGAAGTTTGTTCTAGTGTAACAACTTTCATCACATTTCATGTTTCAATAGATGCCAAAGCAAAGCACTGAGTGTGTTGGTATTTCTGTTGCCTGCTTCAGCAGTGTCTGGCTCTCAAAGTTGTAGCCTTGCTACCTAACCTGAGACCAAAATAGCCAAGAGCGTTAAAACTGGTATGTGGGTTGGGAAACAAACATAGTGATCAGGCAAGCCATTTTAGAAGGGGTGGTGGAAAAAACTTCTCCATACACTTAAGTCTTCTTAATATTATTTTTTACTTTTCAAGCATCTAAATTTCCCCTAATGCACACAATTAAATACTGAAATATACATTAGAATTTATTCATTAGAAAATTTGAGATACTCTACACTTTAAATTGAACTTGTACCGTAGAACTTTTAAATGATTAGGAATGTATGTTTTATAGTTAAAAGAGATTACTTAGAGTAATTTTTTGTCTTCACTTTCAATATGATGCCCCCCCCCCCTACCTTTTTTTTTTTTTTTTTTTGAGATGGAGTCTTACTCTATTGCCCAGGCTGGAGTACAGTGTCTCAATCTTGGCTCAATGCAACCTCTGCCTCCAGGGTTCAGGCGATTCTCCTGCCTCAGCCTCCTGAGTAGCTGGAACTACAGGCATGCGCCACCACGAGCTCATTATTGTATTTTTAATAGAGATGGGGTTTCACCATGTTGCCCTGGCTGGTCTCAAACTCCTCAAGTAATCTGCCCACCTTGGCCTCCCAAACTGCTGGGATTACAGGCGTGGGACACCGCACCCGGCCCCAATATGATGCCTTTTGATGACAAAAAAAGCCTTAACTTTAATGAAGTTGAAGGTATCAGTCCTTCTTTTTATGGGTGAATGCTTTTGTGCCTTAAATAGGAAATTATTTCAATCCCTGAGGTCTTAAACATATTCTCCTATAATTTTTTATAAACATTTTAAAGTTTAATTTTCAAATTTCAGTCATTAATCAATCTACTCAGAATTTATTTATTTACTTATCTTTTGAGACGGAGTTTCACTCTTGTTGCCCAGGCTGGAGTGCAATGGCGCGATCTCGGCTCACAGCAACCTCCGCCTCCCAGGTTCAAGTGATTCTCCTGCCTCAGCCTCCCAAGTAGCTGGGATTACTGGCATGTGCCACCACACCTGGCTAATTTTGTATTTTTGGTAGAGACGGGGTTTCTCCATGTTGATAGGCTGCTCTCGAACTCCTGACCTCAGATGATCTGCCCGCCTCGGCCTCCCAAAGTGCTGGGATTACATGCGTGAGCCACTGTGCCTGGCCCAGAATTTATTTTTATACATGATATGAGTTAGGAATCTAATTTCATATCTTTCTATATGGATAATCAATTGTTTTGTACCAGTTTTCAAATCATCCTTTTCCCATCAGTTTATGGAATTATTTATCATATATTAAGTTTCCACATTTTTATGGGGCTGTTCTGAACTCTTATTTTTCACTGGTCAGTGTTTGTGTGCAAGCCAGAATCACACAAGCTTATTTGCTATAGCATTATAATAACTTTTTACATCTGTAGGGAAAGTTCTCCCCTCCTATTCTCCTAATAGAATTCCTAATTTCTATTTAGCTTTTGCTCCTCTCTCTATTTTAGAGTCAACTTACTCAGTTAATTGGGGGAAAAAAATTGAGATTTGTATTGGAATTGCATTGACCCTATAGATCAATTTGGGGAGGAGTTGACATCTTTATGATACATATGTGAACATATGAATATGTCCCTCCATGAAACCAGTAGATACAGTCAGTCCTCACTTGACATTATCAATACGTTCTTGGAAACTGCTGGCTGGGTATGGAGGCTTACATCTGTAATCCCAGGACATTGGGAGGCTGAAGTGAGAGGATCACTTGAGCCCAGGAGTTCAAGACCAGCCTGGGATGGGGAGACCTCATCTCTACAAAAAAATTACCTGGATGTGATGGCACCCACCCATGGTCCCAACTACTCTGGAGACTGTGGCAGGAAGATCTCTTGAGCCCAGAAGGTTGAGGCACAGTGAGTCATGTTTGCACCACTGCACTCTAGCCCAGGTGACAGAGCAATACCCTGTCTCAAAAAAAAAAAAAAAAAAAAAGGAAAAGGAAATAACTGCAACTTTAAGTGAAATGACATATAATGAAACCAATTTTACCATAGGCTAATGGATATAAACAAAGTTAAATTCCTATGTCATATTTCTGGCCACAGAAAACATCATCAAACTTCTAAATAAAGACCCAACACACTTCTAATATTAAACATTGAAAAAAGTATGAACTATGTGTTTAAGAAAGATTAATAAAAACAAATAAGATTATTGGATACACAATTTTTGGTAAATCAGGGAGTGACAGAGGTCATAGTGATGGTGGGTTAAATCAAGGAATAAATGTTTCCATAGTGAAAATTGTGAGAAGTACCTCCTACTACCATGCAGCTCAAAAACGAGTAATACGTGCGGCAGATTTGTTTATCACTTTTGTGTTACATCAGTTTATTGTCATGCATTTGTATGATTATCACCTGCCTTATGAATTTTTACTTGACAATCATTTGTATTCACTCATTTTCCAACCCACTTATTCCATTTTGGAGTCATGGGTAGCCAGAGCCTATCCTGGCAGTGCAGGGCACCAGGCAGGAACCAGCCCTGGACAGGATGCCATCCCATCACAGGGCACACTAACAGATACCCACCTCAGACCGGGGCTATTACACCAATGAACCTAACTTGTACATCTTTGGCATGTGGGAGGAAACTGGAATACCCAGAGAAAATCCACACAGGCATAGGGAGAATGTGCAAACACAGTGGCCAGGCTGGGAATTTTTTTTCCCTTATCAATTTTGTAATGAAATGACATTATTTGAGGACCTGCTGTATTTTTATTTTGGTTTTAAGTCCTTTCAATAAATTTTAAAAGTGTTCTCTATAAAGGGTTTTTACATCTTTTATTAGATTAATTACTAAGTACTTTTTGTTAGTATATAGGTCATATCTTTTTTACAATAGTCTTCTAATTATTTGTTGCTCTTACAGAAAAATGCAACTGAGTTTGCATCTTGATCTTAAATCTAGCCATTTTGCTAGAGATCCTCTCATTAATTATAATACTTTGTATAGAGATTCCTTTTGGTTTTCCTTGTGGACAGCTATGTGATCTGCCAATGACAGTTTTGTTTTGTCCTTTCTCATCCTAATGCCTTTTTATTGTTATGTTTTTCTATCTGGGACCTCCAGGAAAATGTGGATATCGTGTCTTGATTGACCTAAGGAAAGGCTTCTACCATTTCACCATTAAGCCTGTGTTTGCTGCAGGATTTTGGTAGCTAGCCTTGACCTGGTTGAAGAAGTTGTCTAAGGGTCATTTTGTTCTCTCACTCACTCACCACTTAGTGGTGGATGGTGTCGGGAAGAAACCTGTTTCCCAGCTAAATAAACATGGTTTAAATATTAGAGCTGTGAAGTCTAAATTTTTATATGATATTTTTTCTATATATACAAAGAATTGATTTTTGTATATCAATTACCTCTGAAATCCTGAAGTTCAAATAAACTAAAAACTTCATCATTCCCTATTAAATTCAGGAGAAATGAAATGCTCAAAGAACATATACATGATTGTATAGTTTTAAAAGCCAGCAGTTTCTGTGTAGTTCAATATAAAAAATGTTATTCCTTTTGAAAATATTGGAAAGGGAAAGTGTCAGACTTACTTACTTTGGGTAATATATCTTCTTCATATATATATATATATATATATATACACAATCTAAATTCGAAGAGAGCAATATTTCTATTCATGTAAATGCCATACACATTTTACTCATCAAGGCCTTCAAATAAGTTTCACATCTGACTTTTACATTAGGCCTAAGCCAAATGTATTTTCATTTGTTTTAGTTCATTTCTTCTGTTTCAGTTAATTAGTTTATAGGGCATTGGGACTTCATGTGGCTGCTTTGGGCATCTTTTATTTTTAAGAATTTATGATTTATAAAAATTATAGCATTTATAGTTTCAAAGGAATTTCATATATATTTTCTTAATTGTTTTAAACTTTACAAAATGCACGTAAGGCTAGGATTTCTGTTATTTTTAAATTTTACAGATGAGAAAATGAAATGTATTTAGCCAATGGCTAAGCCAGAAATGGAACCTCAGTCTTCTAACTCTAAATGGTATTATAATATGCTTTACCACTACAAATCTTATTAAATTATTTTAGTTTACCAAGTTAATACTTTTAAAGAATACACTGTCAAATTATTGATTCTTATTGTGTGAAAAAGCCAAATTGAACAATAAGTATAAATACTCTTATCTTTCAAGGTATTGGAAGGCATAGGTTTCTACAAAATAAAAAGTGTATATTTTTTCTTTTTTTCTCATATCTTTCTAAACTACCGATTTAAAAACATTTCTATTTCTGCATTTCCATTGGTCCCTCTCATGTGCTTGTTGAATTTGGTAATCCCATTTGAGACAGCTCCTTTAACAATGCTGTCACAGTTCAGGGAGCCTTGGCATGACACACGTAACCCTTCTGTGCGGTATTCTCTCTGGCATTGCATTCTTACATTACATTCTCTCTGGCATTACATTCTTTCACTTTCCATTTTGTACTTTTCTCTATTGCTTTATTTGTATGTAATGTTCTGAAGTCCAAATAACAAAATGTCATTTGGAAGTTATGTGAATTATTCCTAAATTACATAAATGTGTTTGTAAGGAGTTATTGAATTGTTTGTGATGGTGATCCATGAAATAACTAAGAAAATTTATTTGATTTTTTATGATTTCAGCCAATGAAAAAGTATATAAAACAGTATAACAGACACCTATTTACCCATCACACAAATGTCGTAGAGATTGACGTTTTGTAATATTTAGGAGTTTTTTAAGTAAATAAAAAATTGCAGATACAGCTAAGGTCATACGTAATTAACTGCTATTCCTTTTTCTCCATCTTCATCTCCTAACCTACATGGTAACCATTATCCTGATGTTATTTATTATCCTTATGCATGGTTTTTATTCTTTTGTTTGACATACATATATATATATATATATATATAAACTAGTAGCATATAATCATGTTTTGTGTATTTTAAAAAAGGTACATTAATGTCTCACTGAGCTTATCTTAGTATTCTGCATTGTAAATAATTGTTTTAACAATTGTACAAGTAGATCTATTTATTTTCCTCACATTAGACAATTAGATTATCTCTATTTTTGTCAGTTATGAATACATACAAACAATATTACAGTGAACAGTTTTATACATGCCTTTTTGAGCACTTGTATGTTTCTTGGGTAGATGCTTAAAAGAGGAATTGCTGGGTCATCTAGACCAATATACACAATCTTTAACTTTGCTAGGCGTTTCCATATTGCTCTCCATATCTTGACAGCATACTGTGTTGAAAAGACTGTCCTTTGTCTACTGTGCTGCAGTGTCACCTTTGTCATAAATCAAGGAACTGTATACATGTCAATCTGTTTCTGTGCTTTCCATTCCACTGGTTAGATATGTATGTCATTGTGCCAAATCACACTACTGTAATTACTGTAGCATTATAATACTGAGTCATCCAGTTCATGAACATGGTATATTCCTTCATTTAATTAGGTCTTCTTTAATTTCTTTCAATAATGTTGTGTAGTTTTCTGTGTAGAGACTTGCTCATTTTGTTAGATTTATTCCTAGGTATTTGATTTCTTTTGATACTATGGTAAATTGTATCATTAACAATGTTTTATTTTGAATTACAGGTTGGGCATTCCTAATCTGAAAATCTAAAATCTGAAATGCTCCAATGAGCATTTCTTTTGAGCATCATATTGTTGCTCAAAAAGCTTTGGATTTCAGAGCATTTTAGATTTTATTTGTAATGCAAATATTTCAAGATAAAAAAAAAATTGAAATTGGAAACACTTCTGTCCCCAAGCGTTTTGGATAAGTGATACTCAACCTGTATTTGTTGCTAAAATATAGGGGAAAAGTTGATTTTTGAATACTGAAGTTGTATCCAAAATTCAATTTTTATAGATTTCCTTGGATTTTCTGGGAGCACAATCATGACATATAGGAATAATGAGTTTTATTATTTACTTTCTAGCCCTTATACCTTTTATTTTTATTTCCCTCTCCTGCCCATTTGTTTCACAAGTGAATGTTGAATTTTATCAAATACTTTCTCTGTGTTATTGGAGATAATTGTATGGTTTCTTTATTCTGTTAATGTGGTGAATTACATTGATTGGCTTTTGATTATTAAACCAACTTTGTATTCCTCAAAAGCTCTAAATGGTTTGTATAACCTTGGATTGACTTATTAATAGTTTATTAAGAAGTTTTGCATGTATATTTATGGGTGAAATTGGTCTGTAATTTTTCTTGTAATGTTCTTTTCAGGTTTGATAAGATATCCAAATCTGAAATTATTTGGGAAAAATTCTTGTTTTGTTCTCTGGAAGAATTTTTGTAATATTCGTGCTATTTCTTTCTTAAATGTTTGCAAGAATTCAGTAGGGATGTTCTCTGCATTTAGAGTTTTTCTTGTGGAAGGGCTTTTACAAATGTAATAAATATAGGATTGTTAGATTTTCTATTTCTTGTGTCGTTTTGTGATTTTTAAAAAAGGAGATAGACATATTAAAAAAGAGATTAAAAAGAGATTAAAGAGATTAAAAAGAGATATAAAATATTTGATCATGCCAATATTTGATTGTTTTATGACAGGCTTATTTTTTAATCTCTGTAGAATTCATTTTATTTTTATCATTATTTTTATCATTGTTTTATGACACGCTTATTTTTTACTCTCTGTAAAATTCATTTTATTTTTATCATTAGTTTTATCATTCTGCTTATACCAAACTACTTTCCAGGTTCTTATTGTGTTAAGCTCTTTCTGTCACAAGAAACACAGGTATACTCAAGTTCCTTCAAGTAATGGAGATATATTAGGTGCAATATAAAGCCATATGGAGCCTTAAGAGAAAGGAATTACACAGGAAGAGCAGGATCTCTAGCACAGTTTGGCATTAGGGAGACTGGAAATGTGTGGCTAATTAGAATATGATACAGCTTTAGGGATGGAACAGGTTTTCTTTTTATCCCCCATTAGTAACATGTTATAAGGCTTTACTTTGATACCCAGTTGTTTGTGTGAAGTTTCTCACTTCCTTTTGGCTTTTGTCTATCTTTTCTTCCTTTCATTACTAATTACCCTCTTTACCCCTGGTCTAAATAATTTTTCATCATACCTTTTATTTTCTCATAACTACTTACTTATGATCCCCAGTGCCTTGTGGCCTGGTTCTGTGATTCTTTTTAGCCTCTCTTCAAGTTACCAAGTAATTGAACCTCACTGGTTCTCAGTTAACTCCCAAAAGATTATTTGATTGGCCTAGTTTGAGAAGCTTTTATGCTAGCTAGGCCCATTGGCTGGTTCTGGCTTTTTTTTTTTTTTTTTGAGATGGAGTCTCACTCTCACCCATGCTGGAATGCAGTGGTGCTGTCTTGGCTCACTGCAACCTCCACCTGCTGGATTCAAGTGATTCTCATGTCTCAGCCTCCCGAGAACTGGCATCATCACACCCAGCTAATTTTTGTATAGTTGGGGTTTTGCCATGTTGGCCAGCCTGGTCTTGAACTCCTGGCCTCAAGCGATCCACCTCCTTGGCCTCCCAAAGTGCTGAGATTACAGGTGTGAGCCACCGCGCCTGGCCAGCTTGGCTACTCTTGACCAGGGAGCTATTGCCAAAATGTGGGATTCACATAGCCCAGAGCATGGATGCCCTGGGCTAACTCCTCTGCCAAGGGCTGTAGTTGGACAGTTTCCCTTAGCAGGGGTGTGTACCTGGAAAATACTATAATTGATCAGTACAGATAAGTCCTAGAAAATTAAGTTGTTGCAAGAGTTACAATTCTGCCTCGTTCACATGCTGTGGTGAATGCTAGTAAATAATTAAATGCTGGTAAACCAATGTCTAGAATTTGATGTTATATCTTTTAGTAGTCATCTACCTATAACTGAAAAATTGCTGCCAAAAATTACATGTGCTGCCAACCCCAAATAGGGCCATGGGCAAATAGATATGTAATACCTGTTGTTTTAAGATGGACAAATGGAAATTGATAGTCTTTAAACATAAGCAATAGGGAGAATATGCACATAGGCAGATTAAAAAATGCTTAATGAGAAAGCCATAGCAGTTATCCACTTCTGGTCTTATTTCCTTTTTAATACCCAGGAATAGCTGTGTGTACTGCTAAGAATTCACTTTTCTGCAGTATCACACAGTTCAGGTTGAAGACAGAGGACCGCTTTCCTTTTGTGATATTTATGCTACAAAGTAATGTTTTGCCTAATGCATTTCCACTTATGAGATAAATTGTGGATATTATCAAAAACTTTTCTGGTACAATAAGTGAAATTCCTTTCTAATTTTCAGGAGGACTCAGAGAGAGTAATGATAATTACCGGACCAAACATGGGTGGAAAGAGCTCCTACATAAAACAAGTTGCATTGATTACCATCATGGCTCAGATTGGCTCCTATGTTCCTGCAGAAGAAGCGACAATTGGGATTGTGGATGGCATTTTCACAAGGTAAGTACGTTAATTCAGCTTGCATATATTCTTGAAAATAAGTCAAGCCCACATTATCGCATGAATTTTCCTTTTGTGTACATATTTAGATGCTCTTAAAGCACTCAACATTTAGGAGCTTAAATAAATTATTTCAAGGCCGGGCACGGTGGCTCACACCTGTGATCCCAGCACTTTGGGAGACCAAGGCAGGAGGATCACTTGAGTCTAGGAGTTTGAGAGCAGCCTGGGCAACATGGCAAAACCCCATCTTGACAAAAAATGAAAAAATTAGCCAGGAACCTGAGGTGGGAGGATCACCTGAGCCTGGGGAGGTTAAGGCAACAGTGAGCCGAGGTCACACCATTGCACTCCAGCCTGGGCAACAAAGTGAGACCCTGTCTCAAAGAAAAAAAAAAAAACAAAAACAAAAACAGAAAAAAAACCCACGTTATTTTTATTATGACTGTTAATACTAGAAAAGACTTAAGAGTTAATTTTGTCCAATAGCTTCCAAATTATTTTTAATTATTGAGTTATTTTATTTTATTTATTATTATTATTATTTGAGATGGAGTTTTGCTCTCGTTTCCTAGGCCAGAGTGCAATGGCACTATCTCAGCTCACTGCAACCTTTGCCTCCCCAGTTCAAGCTATTCTCCTGCCTCAGCCTCCTGAATAGCTGGGATTACAGGTGCCTGCCACCACGCCCAGCTGATTTTTGTATTTTTAGTAGAGACAGGGTTTTGCCATGTTGGCCAGGCTAGTCTTGACTCCTGACCCCAAGTGAGCCGCCCGCCTTGGCCTCTCCAAGTGCTGGGATTATAGGCGTGAGCCACCACACCCAGCTGAGTTCTTATTTTGAAGAAAATCTTTTGTAGAAAATCAATATTTAAGCAGATAAAAACAGATCTGCTCTGTCTTCTGGGGTAGAAGGCTTGGAGACTTGGCTGTTAGGCTCTGTAGAGCACAGTCTGAAAACTTGTCCATCCTCCCCATTTTAGGTGCAGACCTGAAACAAACTGCAAAAGGCATTGGACCAAGATCATTTTGTTGATATCCCTTTTTACTCTATGAACATTACATGCAACTGACTAAGTCTTACCCTCAATGTGTAAACCTAAATTTTATGCCGTGTTAGGAATATGAGTGAAATATCCTGGCTTCACTAAGGAGAATTCGTAGTTTAATCTGTTTAACACCTTCTGATTTATCAGTTCTTAAAGCATCGTGTATATTTCTTACATGTACATTTCTAAAAAGTAAATACAGTCTCTGTGCATAGTCAAGCTTTGTGTATAGAGTGTCTTGAGTTGTTGTCCAGCTACGTATTTATATAATATTTGACTGTGGAATCACATCAGAATATATCACATGCTAATATTGATATTCTTGAGTAGACACTAAAATGCTTTAAAGCTTCATTTTTCATCTGAGAATGAACAAAGTACCCTGAATTCTGTTTGATGCCATGTCACCAAATAGGTGTTATTCTGATCCCCATATATGTTTAAATTAACTCAAAATAAGAAATTTAAAGAGTCTTTCTTTAGTTCTTAAGACTTAATTGATTTTCTATTTTATAAGAAAAACAAACCAGGTATTTTATTTTGGTTACAGTATTAAGGAAAGTAGCAGAGATATTTAGTAAAGAAAAAAAAAAGAGAAAAAAGAAAAAAATTATTGGTCAATATAAGGGGATTTGCCTGGAAGGAAATCTTGTTACTGAGCCGAATAGCAAGAATGTTTGTAGATACAAGTAAAATAAAAGAAGGGTTTATTTTTGTCATATAAGGAGAAGGCTGGAGGTGGGTAGCTACTTCTGGTGTTTCAGTGGCTCTGCCATTTCACTGGCCTTTCCCTCAGAGTTGTAAGATTGCTGCTGCAGCTCCAGGCATCACATTCCTATTCACATGAGGTAAAAAGGAGAAGGGACTGCCATAGCTCCCCCACACCCTTTTTTTAAAAAATTTTTTTAGGACATAGTAGGTTTTTAGGATCCTCCCAGAAAACTTACCTTTCACTGACCAGAACTGTGTCTCATGGCCATAGTTGCAAGGAAAACAGAAAATAAGAAGGTAGTTTTTGTCCAGCTTTTAAATAGAGTTAAGCACAGTAATTGGGAATACAATCAGTGGTAATCAGAAAATAGTTTCTGTCACAGGGTGTGGAATCAGTAATAATAGTAACAGCCAACCTTTATGATATATTTACAATATTAGTGTAATATTCTTATCAAGGTACAGGCACTGTTATGTGCACCTTATATAGAGTACTTTATGTAAGTACATTCAATGAGTACATGTCTAAGCCTTCTAAACCATGCTGATTTCAAGAAATTGGAGTATTTATCCATTCATTTTCATTTATTCATTCATCCAACATGTACTAAGTGAATACCTAACATATGGCAGGCACTGAGAATACAAAGGAACCACAGTTTTTGATTTCATGAAAGCTATGTAGTGGAGAAAATCAGCATTAACCAAATAATCACATACAGAAATGTGAAACTGCAGCTATGACAAGTCAATGAAGGCTATATGCAAGATGTTAGGACAGGCTGTGATCCTGATATGATCTGGTCAGGAAGGTCAGGGGAAGGCTTCCCTTAGCAAGTAACTTTTGAGTGCCTATCTGAAGGATGAGTGTAAGAAGGAAGGAAGTATATTTCAGAGAGAGCATGTGCAAAAGTCCTTTAGCATAAAAAACATAGACAATGAGTGAAGGGTGGTCCTCCAGGAGAGCAAGATTCTAGGTGAAGCATAGCCATGTCATTTTAGGAGTTTATCCTAAGAGCCATGGTAAACTATTGAAGAATTTTAACCAGGGTTTGGCATGATTATGTCTGCATTGGTTACACTGTAAAGAATGTCTGGAGAAAAAACCAAGTAGATCAGAGGAACCCAAAGAGCAGGCTCTTTTGGTGGTCTTGGTGAAAGGATCAGTAAGTAGCTTGGATTAAGTTTGTAGTGCTAGTTTAAGTGGAAAGGAGTCATATTTGAAATATATTTGGGAAATAAATCACCAGGACTTGGCGATAGATAGGGGTATGGCAGCTGAGATAAATGGAGTTGTCAGAGATGACATTGAGTTTGTGCATCTGAATGGTGAATGGTGACATTTACTAGAAGAGGATGTTTTTTCATAGATTCCGACGTTATCTTTGTGTATAATAAGTAGAATTATTCTGAGACATTCAAAGGGAGCTATCATATAGTAGGCAGTGGATATAAAGTTTAGATTTCAGACAGAGAGATCAAAGGTAAAGATGTAAATTTGTTGTGAGACATTTTTGTGTACGTGATTGGGTGTGGATGAGATCATCTTGACAGACAGTATGGTGGAGAAGATTAATGTTCTGAGACTGAACCTTAAAACTGCCAAGATTTCATAGTTGAGTAAGAAGTTAAGGTTGAAAACCAACAAAGGAGGTGTAGCCAGAGAGGCAGGAGAGAAAAACAGGACATTACAGTGTCATGGGAGCGAGGGGAAAGAGTGCTTCAAGAAGAAAAGTAGTGGTCAACAGTGCTGAAAGGTCAGGTGAGTTGAAGCCTGAAAAGTCACCTTTGGTCTTAGCAAAATAGCTGTCACTAATGACCTTAGCAGGAGCTGCTTTCGTGGAGTGGTGGGGCCACACTGCAGTTAAAAGAGGGCTAAAGAGTGAGTTAGAGGTCAGGAAGTAGAGGGGGTTAGTACAGGTGATACTGCAAAGGTTGGCCAGGAAGAAGACAGGAGAGATCCAGTGAGGGACTTGTTTTTTGTTTTTAAATGGTAGACTTGAACGTACTTCAATGGGATATCCAGTGGGATATGTTATTTCCAAGAATTTATTATTCTAAAAATAAATAAATTAATTAATTAATCACCTTTGGAGGATCCTAGAATGAATCCTAATGATACTTAAAATCAAAATATCATTAGTCACATGGAGGTTGAAAACTGAAAAATAAAGATCCAAGCAGGTATCCTATCTTTTCAAATAGGTAACGGGGAAGTTTCTCTTTATAGAAATGTTCCAGCCAATAAACCAAGCAGGAATGACAAGAATTAGAGTATCACCCTTTTTGCAACCCCTGATGTAATAACAGATTTAAGTAATAATCAGAAATGGCTGCTAATGTCACCAAAGCAGAGACAACCAGACATTAGGTAAAAGTTTGTGACAACTTATGATGTCTTCTGGCCAAAAAAAATCAAACTGAATAGTCGGGCATGGTGGCTCATGCTTGTAATCCCAGCACTTTGGGAGGCCAAGGTGGGTGGATCACCTGAGGTCAGGAGTTCAAGACCAGCCTGGCCAACAATGGCCAACGTGGTGAAACCCGTCTCTACTAAAAATATAAAAAATAGCCAGGTGTGGTGGCAAGCACCTGTAATCCCAGCTACTTCAGAGGCTGAGGCAGGAGAATTGCTTGAACTGGGGAGGTGGAGGTTGTAGTGAGACAAGATCACGCCACTGCACTCCAGCCTGGGCAACAGAGGAAGACTCCATCTAAAAAGAAAATCAAACTGAAACTGTTCAGACCTCTAGATCTAGATACCAATTTACAAGAGAAAAAGAGAATAGAGGAACATGTTAAACACCACCATAGGGGTACTGTCAGCAAAATCTAGACTGTGGGAAACTATAGGACAAATGACTGGTGTTTTTTTTTTTTTAACAAATAAATAGCAATGACAAAAAAAAAAAAAAAAAAAAGGTGGGGGAGAGAGGGAAGAGAACCTGCATATTAAAAGAGAGTTAAAGACCAGTCACCCAGTTCCAACATACAGATCTTAATTCAATCCTGACTCAAACACATAAACCTTTTTTTTTAAAGCACTAGTGAAACATTTAAAAATTTTTGAGCACTGACAGGGTATCTAATGATACTGAAGAATTACTTAAAAAAATGTTTAAGTGAGATAAACAGTGCAATGCAATGGTTATGATTTAATAGAAAAATCCTTACTTTAGTGATACATGCTAAAATGTTTACATATTAAATGATTTGCTACCCAAGATATACATCACAATAATCAAGGATGGATAGGGAAATTTGGTAGGATAGAGATGAAATGAGATTGGCCATGAATTGATCATTGTTTGAGCTTGATAATGGCTACATTGGAGTTGCATTATGCATTTTTCTTTATTGTACATCTTTGGATTTTTTTATAAGTTTTTTTGTTATTGTTCTGGGATTTAGCCATTTGAGAAAGAGATAAGATCCCTCGTGTAGGATAGGCATTGTTTCAAACTGTGCGTATGAAATCAGTGCATTGAATTGCAATTAGCATTTTGGGGTAATACTTCCTAGATAGTGCTTTGTGTTCCACATCATGGCATATCAGGGTGCAACCAATGTCCAGTTGACCCAAATAAGCTTTTTTTTTTTAATGCAGTAGAATGGAGTAGAAGAAAAAGTATCAAAATCATTAATTTATAGCATGTGGCACAGAGGTGGAGTTATGCAATAAGAAGGCCATTACATTTCTGTGTCATCAGTAATGACATAGAAATTATAATGTTATTAGGAGATGTTAACATTGGCCCAATAATGAGATTTAAACTCTGTTGTGCTAAAAACATATGTATATATAGGACAAGTCACCCAGTTCCCCATATATGTGTGTGTGTGTATATATATGTATATATATGTGTGTATATATATGTGTATATATGTATATATGTGTATATATGTGTGTATATATGTATATATGTGTGTGTATATATATGTATATGTGTGTGTGTGTGTGTGTGTATATATATATATAATTTTTTTTTTTTTTGAGACGGAGTTTCGCTCCTGTCGCCCAAGCTGGAGTGCAATGACACGATCCCAGGATCCCAGCTCACTGCAACCTCCGCCTCCTGGATTCAAGCTATTTTCCTGCCTCAGCCTCCTGAGTAGCTGGGATTACAGGTGCCCACCACCACACCCAGCTAATTTTTGTATTTTTAGTAGAGAGGGGGTTTCGCCATGTTGGCCAGGCTGGTTTCAAACTCCTGACCTCAGGTGATCCGCCCGCCTTGACCTCCCAAAGCACTGGGATTACAGGTGTGAGCCACTGCGCCCGGCCAAAAACATATTTTTATTAAAACCTTAGTGCACTGTAGTTTTATGCTAGACGTTAGGGATACAAACCTGAATAAGATAATTTACCTGTCTTTAAGGCCATAGGGCCTGTGTCCCTGCATATTCTTACTGAGTATGCCAAGAAAGCCCCTGTCTTTAAGGAGCTCAAGTGCAGTAAGGGAGATGGAGAAGCAAATCTTTACAATTCGGTAAGACCATGCAATGCTAGAGAAGTGTATGTGTATACGTGTTTATTTGCTTGCTCATTCCTTCATTCATGTTTTTCCTGTCATCTTCCAGAAAGGAATGAGACAGCTTGCAGAAAATTCAAAATAGCTTAAGTGAATAAATAAGGATGAGGGCTTAAAATGGAGCCATGACTGAGGCTTAAAACATCAATGCCCAATACTGCTGTGGATAAGCCATAAATCTGGTTCAAAGGTTTCCACAAAGCTAAATTTGTTCAGTTAAATAGTTCACAGTGCCCAGAAAGCCAAATGAATTAATTAGTTAAGAAGGCAACTTAAAACAAATTTTTATTGTGTTTGACAGCAATCTTTTAGTAATAAAATCAGCTAGAAGAATATATTGGGTAGTATCACACAGACTAGGTTTTATTGGGTCCCATTGGTTACAGTTTAGGAAACAAATGTTTGATTATATTATTCTTGGATCACAGGCTCCACTGAGACAGAAATTGTGCTTGTTCTGCACACCTTTTATCCCCTATTCCTAGTACTAAGTAGATGTGCAGTAAATATTTGTTTAAAAACTGACAATAAAAACTGTAATATAAATAAGATGTGTTGACATAACTCTGTTTCTTAGTCCAAATTTCTGGAATCTGAAGGAAACATCCCCTTGTGATTCAAACACCATCTAAAATAGTATATTGGAGCTTAACTAAGTTTTGCCACAGGACTCAAAAAGTCATCAAATTTCTATGTAAGTTTCGGTCTTATAAAGAAAACACTTAAGTTTAGGTATGTGGCAGGATAAATTATTAATACACAGGAAAGAGCAAAAGTTCCAGTGTCATGGAGATTAGTCTGTCCTGACAACACTCTGTGTACCAGTGCACCTTTGTGATGCTGAGTAAGAGGAGATTTGCACTTCACGAAGGTCCAGGTTAAGCTTAGTTGCTCAGTCTGGACTCTGGTCCCTAAAGTGGGAAGTCTCAGGCAAATCTGAGTATCAGACCATGCCGGCAATTCAGCTCTCTTCACCTGCTTCTCTCTCTGCAAGATGGGATAATCATGATACTTATATTTCAGGGTGTTGTCATGTAGTTTAAATAATGCATATAAAACAATCTAGTACCTGACATATAGTAGTTCCTTGGTAATATTAGTTACAATTTTAAGTCCCATCTCTATGACACTTTGACCATTTCATTCCACAATGATCTGTTCACGGTAAACTCCTAATGCCCTATTTATTTGGACTCAGTTATTTCAGTGTCTTATTTCAGTATCTATCTTAGTTCATAACTGGTTATCCTATGCCATCATGCTATTTGTTCACTATTTGAGGGAAAGAACTCTACTCCATTGTGTATTCCCTGCCCCACTCAGGATGGCAGTAAGTACAGCTACTAATATAAATTAAAGTCATTCAGAAATGAAATTATTTTCACATTTATATTACATTGTTTTCACTTCATCCTGGAAGTTATCATTAGTCTGAAACAAACCCAGAGATACTGATCCCATATTTCAAAATTGACCACAACTTTAAAGCATTAATTAATTAATAAAGAATTACACGTGCCAGTTTAAAAAGAAATATGCAGATTATAGAGATTTAAATACTGAAATATGGGACATTTTCCTGTGCTCTGCCATTTGAGTAGCTGTTAGTTTATCAACCTTCAGGTCATGTTTATAGAAGCACTCTGCCACAGGGCCTGTGTCCCTGCATATTCTTACTGAGTATGCCAAGAAAGCCCCTGATTGCTTTTTACATGGGCCACTTATTTGTCAAAGTTGTGCTTGCAGCAAACAACCTGGAGGGATAAGTTAATTCTCCCCTTAAAGAGGAAGCTTGCTTCCCTTGTTGTATGCACAGCATCCATGGTACATCACCCTCACAGGACTTGGGGGCTAATGTAAACCAACATGAGTAATAAAGTCCTTTGTCTCTGACCCAGTGGCCTTGTGTCTTCTGCCGTTATCTGTGAAACCAGTGGTATTAGGGTAACCTGTTAGCTTTTAAGCAGAGTAAAATCCTAGACTTCACACAGTTTTTGATAGGTCAATAGGATTCTCAGATCTCTTGCTAATATTAATTACCTGCAAAATGTGAGTAAACCGGCTGTGTATGGGAAAGAATAGGGGCTTTAGATCTAGAAAACTCAAGATTCTGTACAAGTTCTCCAGCATCCTGGCCATGTGCAAGTTACTTCATCCTTCTAGAACCCTGAGAGAAGTACTGTGCCATAGTCAAGAGAATCAGACATGTTATACTTGAGCACAAATCTTGCTTTTCCCTTTTAACAACTATGTGACCTTTTTCAAATTACTACTTCTCAGTGTCTCAGTTCTTTTCCTGTAAAATGGAGTTGATACTGCTAACCCTCATATATTATTGTGGGAATTAAATAAAGTACATGAAAATGCCAGACACATTGTAGGTACCTAGTAAATTTTAGTTTTTTTTCTTCCAGATTCTATGCCATTAGTATTTTAGATTTAAAAGTCTGTCTTCATATATGTGTGAGTATAGTGCTCACTTTTCTAAACTTAGCATCGGTTTTTGCACCTATAAAACAAAAAGTTCGATAATACCGACTTCACAAGGTTGATTTGAGAATAAGTTTTGAAAGGATGTGAAATCACTATGAAGTGCTTCTCTTAGTTGTTCTCATTGAAAGAAGTTGACCAAATCTAATCTCCCTGACACTTTCCCTCTTGGAGCACTGTGGCCATAATAGAATTGAGAATCCAGGAACCTAGAGGCACCACCCACACAGAATGGGATAATGGCAGTGCCTTTCCTTCTGTTCCTCAGGAAGTGGCTGGCATGGAAGGTGGTCTCATGGAAGATGCACATCCTCCTCCATGCTGAGACATGCCTTTATCTCATGACTCAGGAACAGCCTTAAGGAACTGGCCCAATTGCCAATCACTGTGTGAAAGAACAACCACCAAATTTGTTGTTTCAGCATAGTAGGATTCATTCTCAATTTATTCCATCAAACATACTAGTTTTTTAGCTACTTCGGGATATATTTTGCAGTGACTTGGTCCTGGTGGGTAGTGTTATGTGGAAAGATACGCTTGTTACAATATGTGAAAAAGAGCCAGTTACAAAGCCTGGCATTCATTTCACTTTTGTATGAGTAATTGTATGTATAAATATATGTGGAGAAAACCATCTAGATAGAAGGCTTATTCCAAAATACCATGGGGGATATGGCTTTATGGTCATTTTTCTTTTACTTATGTAAATTTTTAAATTTCTAAAATAAATGTGTGAAAAAAGTAAAACCTCCTCACCCTCACAAACTACCAGTATTGGTCAAAATGAGATGTTTTATAGGAATCTGGTGAAATGCTTACATGGTCACTGTCTGACAACTCTTTTTTTCTGGGGCAAATATCTCTTTCCTACTCAGGGACGTGGAATTTGGGGTTTTAAGCTTTAGACCATCCTGGGCACTTCAATATATCAGACCTTACTTGTCCACAAAGTTTTTCCCAGACTATAAGTAACCCTAGTTCTTCTTCCTTTAGGAGTTGATGGCATTCTGTCTGGGAGAGAATACAAGATTCATGTATTTAATTTTCATAATAAAAACACTGCTCATATGGCACTCTTAATCTTCAGTGCACATTAAATTTTTTTTTTCCATGGAGCTTTAAAAAAAATACTGATGCCTGAACCCTACCTCCAGAAATCTTTTTTTGTTTTGTTTTGTTTTGTTTTGTTTTTATTGATCATTCTTGGGTGTTTCTCGCAGAGGGGGATTTGGCAGGGTCATAGGACAATAGTGGAGGGAAGGTCAGCAGATAAACAAGTGAACAAAGGTCTCTGGTTTTCCTAGGCAGAGGACCCTGCGGCCTTCCGCAGTGTTTGTGTCCCTGGGTACTTGAGATTAGGGAGTGGTAATGACTCTTAATGAGCATGCTGCCTTCAAGCATCTGTTTAACAAAGCACATCTTGCACCGCCCTTAATCCATTTAACCCTGAGTGGACACAGCACATGTTTCAGAGAGCACAGGGTTGGGGGCAAGGTCATAGATCAACAGCATCCCAAGGCAGAAGAATCTTTCTTAGTACAGAGCAAAATGGAGTCTCCTATGTCTACTTCTTTCTACACAGACACAGCAACAATCTGATTTCTCTGTCTTTTCCCCACATTTCCCCCTTTTCTATTCCACAAAACCGCCATCGTCATCATGGCCCATTCTCAATGAGCTGTTGGGTACACCTCCCAGACGGGGTGGCGGCCGGGCAGAGGGGCTCCTCACTTCCCAGAGGGGCGGCCGGGCAGAGGCGCCCCTCACCTCCCGGACGGGGTGGCGGCTGGGCGGAGGCGCCCCCCACCTCCCTCCCGGACGGGGCGGCTGGCCGGGTGGGGGCTGCCCCCCACCTCCCTCCAGGACGGGGGCTGCCCCCCACCTCCCTCCCAGACGGGGCGGCTGGCCGGGCGGGGGCTGCCCCCCACCTCCCTCCCAGAAATCTTAAGTTGGACTGGGGCATGGTCTGGAAGTCACATTTTAAAAGTGTCCCAGATGATTTCAAAGTGAAGCCAAGATGTGGAAGCACTTCCTCAAGCCCTCGCTGGAGAAATCATGTGTTGAATTATAAAAATAATAGGTGCTTATTATGAAATGTAACAGGTGTACTAGGGTATGAAGTGAAACAAAAACACCCCATTCTCCCCAGGTCTACCATGTTTCTTTAGGTAACATTTCACAAGTCTACAAGTATACATCTTTTCTTTTCTAAAATGGTATCATACTAAGCATTACTATTGTATAACTTGCTTTTGTTTCCTAATATGTGGGAGACATATTTCTCTATCAGTTTATACAGATTAGTCGTGCTCTTTTTAATGACTGCAGTGTATCTGGAGTACAGATACTCCTTGATTTCTTTAACCTCTGAGAGCTCCGTCTGGGACAGACTGCCCTTTAGTATATGGGACATGTTCCCTATCCATTCCACTGTGCTCCCACATCTTCCTGTTGTTACCACTGGAAAGGAATCTACATGGACTACATTAAATTTTATCCCTAGGATATAATTATATCCCATTAAATTATATCCCTAGGATATAGTTTAATATTACGCCCTTGTAGCTTTCATTGATTTTTTATGAAATAATTCAGACGTATAATAATCCTCCATGCACCTTCTACCCTACTAAAGAAATAAAACACTACAATACAATCGAACCTCTAATCCTCCCTAATCCCATTGCCCTCTACCCTATCCATAGTAACTAACTGGTTGTCCTTGACTTTGGTATCCATCCCATGCATTTCTCTACATTTTTACTCACTGATGTTTTTTGAAACAATGCATGGAAGTATTTGGTATGCTTTTAAACTTTACACACAGTGTATCACACTATATTCTTCTGTAAGTGGCTTTTTCCCCCCTCAGTGTTATATATTTATAAAATTCATATGGGTACATATACTTTGAGTTCATTAATTTTTCCCTAATTATGATAGTTTATTTTATGAATATATTACTATTCCCTCATTTTTCTTGATATGATGCCAATTTTTTGCAAATATAAACAGTCATATTTGTGACTTGTCTCATACTCAACTCCTAGTGCACACAAGGGAGTTTTTCTCAATCTAGGAGTGGAGTTGTTGGATTGTAAGGAACATGTGTCTTTCATGATCTCCAAGGAGGCTGTACCAGCTTAGAATCCCACCACCAGTGTTTAAAAGTTTGTTCTCATGCTTAAAATAGATTAGAATAAGAAATGTTCATTTGATGATATTTCTATATATTCTCCAAAATTGCTCATAAGAACATTTTCATTTTTATTACTTAATGTCCTTCACATGAAGTGCCATCTGGTAAATTATTTTTTTGTTAATGCTAGGGACATTTTTTCTCTCCATGTGCATACTGTGCCTGTTTACAAAAAGATTTGAAGCAATTTATTGGCCTTTTCTGACAAACTGCCAGGCTTCCTGCTATCAGCCAGTGGCTGCTTCCTCTTTAATTCCTTTTTGTCTTGGCTGCCAAGACAGCAAGAGCTAAACTCAAGGCTCAGGTGTGGAAACAAATTTGGCTTAGTTTTCCCCTTCGCTTCTTTTATGGGAGTATTTCTCTAGTGTCATTCTTAGAACAGCTGCATCAGAATCTTGGCGGTGCTAGTTAAAAATGCTACTTACTAAGCCCTTTCACACATCTTTTTAATTGGAATCTCCAAGGTGGTACACAAGAATTAGCATTTTAAAAGCTCATGCTAAGCTTAAATGTAAGAATCTACTGTATGGCTTGTAATCTTAGTTTCATGTAATTGTTTCATTAGAATATGTTATTGTAAATCACTTCAAATGCTTTTTGTACTCAATGGAAAAAATATTAAAATCTAGCAGAATGAGATATTTGCATAAGATTTAGCTCCAAGCTGTATCTGTAAATAGATTCTATTATCAATTGGCCATTTAGAACACTAGGTTTAAATCTGTGGATTCCATAAATATTCATTGAGTGCCCACTATGTGCTATACAGTGTGCAAGAAGAAGAAGTAAATGGATGAAACGCTATAAACAGACAGGAGGTTAGGAATTTTTTTTTTTTTTTTTGAGATGGAGTTTTACTCTTGTTGCCCAGGCTGGAGTGCAGTGGCATAATCTTGGCTCACTGCAACCTCTACCTCCTGGGTTCAAGCGATTCTCCTGCCTCAGCCTCCCAAGTAGTTGGGATTACAGGCATGTGCCACCACGCCCAGCTAATTTTTGTATTTTTAGTAGAGACGGAGTTTCACCACATTGGGCAAGCTGGTCTCGAACTCCTAACCTCAGGTAATCCACCTGCCTCGGCCTCCAGAAGTGCTAGGATTACAGGTGTGAGCCACCGCGCCCGGCCTCCAGAATCTTTTATCTGAATACTATAACCTCACATGAATCTTTTCCTGAATAAGAAGCAGATTTTTTTAAAAAGTAGAGTTTTGGCAAACACATACATTTGTTTCTAATGGATATATCTGTGCATTATGATATGTGTACTCATCGATGAAATATTTCTAGACCCATATTTCCAAGGATCATTAACATCCTTGAATGCATCACTGAGATAAGATCTGTTTATTATCTTGATGAATATAAACTTAAATCTCATCTAGCCTTTTAGACTCAGTAATTAAGTTTTAGAAAAGCAATGAATTATTAAGTCTCATTAGAAAACAGTTTGAAAAAAGCAAAACAATTGGCCTCTTCTCTCAGCATAATTTATTTCTATTAAACGTTGGTGATTAAGCGTTGATGAAAAGAGATATTTACTCGATGTGGCCCATAGCTAACAATTTTCATGCCATGCTACTTACACAAACTCCCTCTTCTGACACCCAGCTTCAGGGAATTCTGTGTACTCAGAGTGGCACGAGTGTGTTTTTCTTGAAAGAGAATTGGAAGATAATAGACATTCAAGTACTTAGTAACTTATTTGTTTGCCCAACTTAGTGTAATTCAGAAAATATTGAGCACTGACTGTGGAGTATTTGTACTCTATACAAAATATATTCTTTATGGACAGAAAGAAAACATCTTGAATCAGTCCACACCTTCTAATTAGTTGTAAATACCAGTACTAAAATCCACATGATAAGTGAGCACTAAATGAGTAAGTTGTTATGATTTTATTGGCATTAAAAATGTCATCTTATCAATATCTCTGTGCTTTCTTTAACTGTGTCTAGCAAACACTAGTTATCTTATTTCATCTTTTTCATGGGAAATTATTTTATGAATTTAAGGCTTGTTCCTTTAATTAGCTTCCTCAAAGTCACCTGAAGGTTTGGTTTGATTTGGTTTTAAATGCAAATCCCAGGCAAATCTTCTGATTGAAGATCCCCTGGAGATAGATACTGTTGTAGTAGGTATGATGAAGGAGGCCTTTAGACACTATTTTTTTAAAAAAGACTTTAATTTTTCAGAGCAGTTTTAGGCTTACACCAAAACTGAGAGGAAGGTATAGAGAGTGTCCATCTACACTTACCACTGCCCCTGCACAGCCTCCCCCATTTTCAGCATCCCCCACCAGAGTACTCCCTTTCTTACAATTGATGAACCTACATTGGCACATCATTACCACCCAAAGTCCATAGTTTACATGAGGGCTCATTGGGTAATTGATAAACAAAGTAAATTTATTACAGTTCTGTAGACTGGGAAGTCCGAGGTCAAGGGGCTACATCTGGTATGGGCCTTCTTACTGCCTCATAAAATGGCAGAAGGCATCACATGGCAAGGGGGCTTACTAGAGAAAACCAAACTGGCTTTTACAACAGACCCACTCTAGTGAAAGTAACCCACTCCTATGATAACCCATTGATTCATTACCCCTTAATCCATTAATCCCCAAATGGATTAATCCATTCATAAGGGCAGAGCCCTGATGACCCAGTCACCTCTTAAAGGCCCCACTTAATACTGTTACATTGGGAATTCAATTTCAATGTGAGTTTTAGAGGGGACAAACATTCAAACCACAGCATTCTGCCCCTGGCCCCCACAAATTCTATGTCCTTCTCATATACAAATACATTCATTCCATGTTTATAGCCCCAAAGTCTAGAGTCTCATCGAATCAGATGTGAGTAATGCTCAAAGGACAATTCATCTTGAGGTAAATTTCTTACAGCTGTGAGCCTGTGAAATGAACGTGTTACCTACTTCCAAAATAAATGGTGGGACAGGTGTAAGACATTCTCATTTCATAAGGGAGAGATAGGCAAGAAGAAAGGGGTAACAGGTCCCAAATAAGTCCAACACCCAAAGGAAAAACTAAGCCTTGAGGCTCCAGAGTAATCTTCCTTGGTTCCATGTCTTGCTTCCTAGATACACCAGTGTGAGGATTGGATCCCAGGGCCTCAGGCAGCCCCACCACCTAGGCTTTCCTGGGCTCTCCCAGGCTTCAGTTCTCACAAGTAACAGTCAAGTGCCTGCAGCTTTCCCAGGCTGGAGCTGAATGCTGGCAGTTCTACAGTTCTGAGATCTCAGCGAGGTTCTGTTCTCTCTGCTCCACTAGACATTACCCCACTTGGGGTTGTCTGTCCTGGCTCTGGCTCTGACCCCACATTTTTGCTTGGCATTAATCCACGAATGGATTAATTCATTTATGAGGGCAGAGCCCTCATCACCCAATCACCTCTTAAATGCCCCACCTCTTAGTACTGTTACATTGGAGATTAAGTTTCAACTTGAATTTCAGAAGGGTCAAAATTTGAACCAAAGTACTGTTTATTTCCTTTTCCTGTCTTATTGCATTAACTAGTACTTCCACTGCAGTGTTGAAAAGGAGTGGTAAGAGGTGACAGCTTCCTATTTTGGCTGATCCTAGTTGGAAAAGCTTCAAGTTTCTCACCATTAAGTATGATGTTAGCTATAGGTTTTTTTGTGAATATTCCTTATCAAGTTGAGGAAGTTCTCCTCTATTCTTAATTTACTGAGAGTTTTTATCATGAATGGGTGTCGGATTTTATCAAATGCTTTCTATGCGTCTGTTGATATGATCATGTGATTTTTCTTCTTTAGCCAGTTGATGTGATGGATTATGTTAACTGGTGATCAAATGTTCACCCAGTCTTGCACACTTAGGATGAGTCCTACTTAGTTATGGTCTGTTTTTCTTTTTATACATTGTTGGATTCATTTTGCTAATATTTTATTGAGGATTTTTGCATCTATGTTCATGAGAGATATTGGCCTGTAGTTTTCTTATAATGCCTTTGTCCGGTTTTGGTATTAAGGTAATGCTGGCCTTATAGAATGTGTCAGGAAGTATTCCCTCTGCTTCTATTGTCTGAAACAGATTATAGAGAATTGGTCTAATTTCTTCCTTAAATGTTTGATAGAATTCACCAGTGAAGCCATTTGTGCCTGGTGTTTTCTATTTTAGAAGGTTAATACTTATTGATTCAATTTCTTTAATAGATACAGGCCTATTCAGATTGTCCCTGTCTTTTTGTGGGAGTTTTGACAGATTGTATCTTTCAAGGAATCAGTCTGTTTTATCTAGGATATGAAATTTATGGCCATAACACTTTACAGTATTCCTTTATTATCTTTTTAATGCCCATGAGATCTGTGGTGATGTCTCCTCTTCTATTTTTAATATTAGTAATTTGTATCCTCTCTCTTTTTTTCTTAGCCAAGCTAGAAATTATTAATTTTCTTGATCTTTTCAAAGAATTAGCTTTTGGTGTTGTTGATTTTTCTCTATTGATTTTCTATTTCCAATTTCACTGATTTCTGCTGTAATCTCATCATTTATTGTCTTCTGCCTACTTCAGATTTAATTTACTTTCCTGTTTCTGGTTTGCCCTTGAACTCTTATTTTTAAGAATCTCTACAAGTGACTCTGATGCACAAATTTAGGAGCCATTGTTTGCATTTTAATTTCTAACATTTTATAGGAAGAAAAACAGGATCAGAGAGAGATTTTGTTTTGCATGAGGTTATAATGTGTGCAGTTTATAAGGATGCAGCCTCTGGTTATATTGGGTTCCCCTGTATTCATCTTATTGATTTATCTGATTAATTTTATCCATGATGACAGATTAATCTTCCTTTGACAACCTTAATTATGTGTAGTTTTCCTAGCTATAGTTAACATTGAGTGAAATCATTTGCTCTGTTAATTATTTTTCTTTGCAGTTCTTGGGACTTTCCCACAAAGTGGACTACTAGCTATGTTAGAGGATGAGTTGCCCAGTCAGCACAGTGTGGATTTTCTTTGAAGGAAAATACCTGTGTCCTTCGTAAGTGTCCTACACATGCTTTATAGACAGGGCCAGGGAACACTGTCATGTGAGCCTGTAGAAATTTAGAATTTTTCTGGATTGTTCTCTTGATTCTCATCAGTGTTTCCACGGAAATTGAAAGATTGCTACAGTGGGTTTTGCTTGATTATATGTGCAGTTTAGTATTATAACTTTTATAAATAAACTTTAAATACTGTAGTGTGATCTTATTGCAATCATTAGAAGGAAGGATTATATGAGAGAAACTTTTTTTTCTATTATAATACACATGCTTCTCAAGTTAAAATGGGACTATGCCCTGATAAACCCATCATAAGTCAGAAACATCATAAATCAAAAATGCACTTAATACTCCAGTAAGCTCGTTATAAAATTTTAAAATAATAAGTCAGGGATTGTCTGTAATTTTACTTATGCTAATAAATGTTTTTCATATTGCTAGAAGAAGGCTAGTTATTTCTGCCTTGTCTTAACAGAATGATACGATATAATTCTTAAATGTATCATTTGTGATTTTTAAAAATAACATTTGTTTTTCTAATTACACAAGTAATGCATGTTCATTATGCAAAATTTTAAACTCAAAATTTTTTAATCACTTGTAATTCCACCACCTGGAGATCATTGTTGTTTAGGTAGATGGCTTTCCAGGCTTTTTTAAAGTGCACATATGTAGTGGTAAATCATTTGTAATTTCATTCCATTTCTGAGTTATTGTTTATGTTTAATTAAATACAAGACAGATTTACTAATTCACGCTTTTTATGCCTTTTAAATACCATATGGTGCCTACATATCTTTTAGTAATTGGTATTCTCTTACAGTCTTTCCTCTACTTGGACTTTAGTTTTTTGGGGTGTTTTTCTTCCTTATACCATCCTTCTTAAAAGTTAGAGTACTTTGTTAGTTAGGAGATTAGCTATCTTTTGTAAAATGTATGTAATATCCAAAAAAAAAAAAAACAAGCTTTGACTTAGACATCCATTTTGGACAGAGTTCAAAGTTTTTAGCAACCTGAAGTGAATGGGAACATCTTCAGTTTCAGAAAGCACACAAAATAAACTAACTCTTAAAACCTCTCCAGGTTGGGCGTGGTGGCTGACTCCTGTAATCCCAGCACTTTGGGAGGCCGAGGCGGGTGGATCACGAGGTCAGGAGATCGAGACCATCCTGGCTAACACGGTGAAACCCTGTCTCTACTAAAAATACAAAAAAATTAGCCGGGTGTGGTGGCGGGGCGCCTATAGTCCCAGCTACTCGGGAGGCTGAGGCAGGAGAATGGCGTGAACCCGGGAGGCGGAGCTTGCAGTGAGCTGAGATCGCGCCACTGCACTCCAGCCTGGGCGACAAGGCGAGACTCCTTCTCAAAAAACAAAAAAACAAAAAAACAAAAAAAACTCTCCCATACAAAGCACTTAGAGGATAAATCTATATTCCACTTATATGAGATGCCTAGAATAAGCACATTCATAGAGACAGAAAATATGGGGAAAGGGGAGAGTTTTCCAGGATGGGGAAAGGGGAGAGTAAAGAGTTACTCTTAATGGATACAGAGTTTCTCTTTCTGTTTCTGATGAAAAAGTTCTGCAAATGGAGGCCTGGCATGGTGGCTCACGCCATAATCCCAGCACTTTAGGAGGCTGAGGTGGGCAGATAACCTGAGGTCAGGAGTTAAAGACCAGGCTGGCCAACATGGTGAAACTCTGTCTCTAGTAAAAATACAAAACTTATACAGGGTGGTGGTGCAAGCCTGCAATCCTAGCTACTCAGGAGGCTGTGGCAGGAGAATCTCTTGAACCTGGGAGGCAGAGGTTGTGGTAAGCTGAGATTGTCCCACTGCACTCCAGCCTCGGTGACAGAGTAAGACTCCATTAAAAAAAAAAAAAAATTCTGTAAATGGAAAGTAGTGATGGCTACACAACATTGTGGATGTTAATACCACTGAGCTGTGTACCTAAGAAATGCTAAAATGGTAAATTTTATTATTTTTATATATATATATCATAATTTTTAAAAGCACTTGAAGTATGTCCAATAATACTGTTGTAATAGGAATAATCATTGCCTCTACTTAACAATTTTAATATTTAAGCTCTAGTTATCATTCAATATGAAAAGTCCTCTTTTCCTAATTGCAGTATTTCTCCCTTATACTAGCATTTTCCTTGCAAAAGGCCCAGAGATTGTGATTTGAAGGGACAGAAGCCCACTCCATTTGCCTGAGAGACATCTAGAATATTATCTCAAAATAGTAAGATCTCATAAAAACAAACTGTTTTTCAAATTTCCATGAAAGTGTTTTTTATTTTAGAAACTGACCCAAAAAAGTACTAATTTCTTTTTTCCACAATGCTTTATTAAGCTTTGTTGACCTATATAAGGGTTATAGGCGAGGAGGGGAGTAGGGGGATTAGAAAGATTAGTCAGCTGCCACTCCTAAAAATATCAGAGTGATTTTTTTTTTCCTTAATCACATAACTGTAACCTTCTGTCTACTCAGGGCAAACTAACTTTAAGATGAAACCTAAAGAATGGATTTTTCATTTTTTACTACATTTGACTGTAAATACAGACAGCTTGATAATAATAACATATGCTGTGGAATTCCCTAAATCTCTAACATATTTTAACATCATTGTCTAGTATAGTATGTCTTATAAATGATTGTTGATTTAATAAAAACTATAAACTTTATTTATTTTTTTGTTTTTTTGTTTTGAGATGGAGTCTCGCTCTGTCGCCAGGCTGGAGTGCAGTGGCACCATCTCGGCTCACTGCAACCTCCACCTCCCGGGTTCAAGTGAGTCTCCTGCCTCAGCCTCCTGAGTAGCTGGGACTACAGGAGCGTGCCACCACACCCAGCTAATTTTTGTATTTTTAGTAGAGATGGGGTTTCACCATGTTGGCCAGGATGGTCTCGATCACTTGACCTCATGATCCGCCCACGTCAGCCTCCCAAAGTGCTGGGATTACAGGCGTGAGCCACCTCGCACAGCCAAACTTTCTTGTTAATGTATATCTTGTCTTGCTTCTAAAACTGATTTTAGGCGTGAGCCACTGCGCCCAGCCATCTTAGGCACTTTACTGAGATATTTACAACATAGCAGAATAATAAGAGAAGAGAATGGTATCAAAGACTCTGGATCAGAGAGAAAATAAGAATTGAATTATGATATAAAGCCAGGTATAAGATGTTATTCAGTTGTTTTCTAGTAATCAAGCTAGAATAAATAAACTATACATTTCTTAAAGGAAATTAACAGGAAATACGTTTATCAATAAACAGTTCCCACAATTATAAATGCATACTTCCCCAGTAGCCTTGATGACTGGTTCATGAGCCAGTATTTCTTCAGTGTGTATTCAGCATTGCTACTTCCATTGGTACTACATCCGTACCATCAGGTGCTATGGAAAAATAGAATTGTAATAGAAAATGTGTTGGCTCCTAATGCAGTGGCCTTCAAACTACCCTCCAGGGTGTGAGTCCCACAGAGCCGCCTCAGAATAACAGGCCTAATAGTCCTGGGTTCTTAACCAGAGCAAACATCATTCATTGTATCTAATCTGCAGAGTGAATTTTCTTATAAAATATTAAATATTTTATATTAAAATATATTTTAAATATTTAAAAAGTTCTACAAATGGAAAGCAGTGATGGCTACACAACCTTGTGGATGTTAATACCACTGAACTGTGTACCTAAGAAATGCTAAAATGGTAAATTTTATGTTATATATATTTATCATAATTTTTAAAAGCACTTGAAGTAAGTCAAAGAATCCTCCTGTAATAGAAATAATCATTGCCTCTACTTAACAATTTTAATATTTAAACTCTAGTTATTACATTTTAAATATAATTAAAATATATTTTTAGTTTAAATACTTAATAAAAATAAATACTTAAAATATATATAAATATAAAATAATAATACTTAAAAATAATAAAGTAAAAATATTATTTGAACAAAGGATTTAACAGCTAAAAAGATATTTTGAAACCTCTGACCTAGTACTAGAGTCAAGACCATTGCCTAATAAAAGTATGTCCAAGATCTCCTGAACACTGGCCTGCCCTCCTTAAGAAAGAAACCCTATAATACCATGAGGCATGTAGGGGTGACTCAAAAAACTCCAGGCCAGAAACCAGAACACCTAATAAGTATTTGTCTCTTGTCTGCCACAGATTAGCCCTGTCACCTTGAGGAAGTGGCTTGACCTCTGAAATGTCTTATCTCATCTATAAAATAGGAGTATAAAATGATTACTAAGAACTTGTCCAGCACCAAGACTTTTTCAAAATTCTTTCTCTTGCCTCAAAGATGGCAAAGAATGTGCCATCAGACAAGCTCTTCCCTTCTGTCAAAAGAGAAGAACCATTGGAGAAAGAAATGACCAAATTCTATGTAGAGAGCTTGAGCAAGAAGAAAAAATGTAGGGGAAGGGTAAATAGCTCTGTCTAGAGCAATTGGCTTTTGTTGTTTACAGCTTGTCTATGTCAGACCATCCCGTAGGAAAAGTTTGGTAAGAACAAAGACCTTTGATAAAAGATGACTGAGAGACTGTCTGGGGTTTGATGCAAAGATCATCAGAGGCATCTACAAATGAGTAGTCACCAGTGACAAAATCTCAAAGCGAGGCAGGCTGGAGAATGGGCGATCTGTTAGTCTTGCCAGAGAGGAAGGTATTAGCAAAGGCAGATTGAATAAGCGGAAGGTAAAAAAATAAAAAGCAGCAATAGCATTTTTTTTTTACATATACTTCATTAGCACAGGTTTGGCTTTACCAATATAGGAAAGGCATTTTTACACTAATTAGGTCATTGTGAAAAAGAAAAATTGGAGTTATTTTTTAAATGCAGTGTTTTTAACTAAGAAGAAAATATGAGACCGGGTATGGTGGCTCATGCCTGTAATCCTAGCACTTTGGGAGCCTGAGGTGGGTGGATGACTTGAGGTCAGGAGTTCGAGACCAGCCTAGCCAACAGGGTGAAACCCTGTCTCTACTAAAAATACAAAAACTAGCTGGGCATGGTGGCACATTCCTATAGTCCCAGCTACTCGGGAGGCTGAGGCACGAGAATTACTTGAACCCTGGAGGTAGAGGTTACAGTGAGCTGAGATTGCACCACCGTACTCCAGCCTGGGCAACAGAGAGACTGTCTCAAAAAAAAAAGAAAGAAAATATTAATACTGTGGAGGTTATGTGACAGTCTTTAATAACAACAACCAGTTATATTACTATAATAAGCTTTCCATGAAAACACCAAAAAGTACTTTTTGATATCTTATTAAAAATTAAGATTCTGTCATATTTCTTAGAATTATATACATTATAATTTTATGTTTTTTAGAATAAACTCAGCAATACTGTACAAGGATATCGTAATCTATATGGAAGCACAAAGGAACATATAAATTTAAATCCTTTTGCTCCATGATCAGTCACTTCTTTTCATTTTAAACTTTAATTTTGGACATTCACAAAATTGTTAACTCTTGAGTGATGTGGATTGAGTAAGTTGTATTACAATTGTAAAAACAAATGATTCATTTCAACTTGTATTGAACATCTTATGTGCAAGACACTCTGCTTAACACTTGAGGGGACTACAGAGATAAATCAGTGAGGTCAGTTCTATGGGAGGGGAATCAGGGACAGCTACACAGAAGCAGCTTAAGGATGATAAGGCTTCCAGTCCACAGAAAGAGAGGGGTGAAGATGATTCCAGTATAATGGAACCATGAGAACACACAGAGGAATAAAGGTGTGTCACATCAGCTCTTTGAATATGCCACAAAAAAAAAAAAAAAAAAAAAAAGCTCTGAATTAGTTTTCCCTCAGTATCTGCTGGGGACTGGTTTCAGGACCCCCCAGTATGAAAATCTGCAGATGATCACATCCCTGATATAAAGTGGGATATTTGCATATAACCTGTGCACATCCTCCTCGATACTTTAAATCATCTCCAGGTTACTTAGAATACCTAGTGTAATGTAAATGCTATGTAAAGAGTTCCTATACTGTATTATTTTTAACATTTATATTATTTTGTATTGTTTTTTATTTTTATTGAATATTTTCGATCCACAGTTGATTGAATCTGCGGTTGCAGATACGGAGAGCTGATTGTATACCCTCTAAAAGGATGAATTTTATGCTATGTCACTTATATCTTAATAAAGCTATTATTTTTCAAAAGTACATGCCGTGTGTTAGAGATGGCAAGGATAAATTGTTGTCATGGTGACATGGGATCCTGTGTTGTGCAGAAGGAGAGGAGACTGGAGAGAGGTGTAGGATCAGACCACACAGAGGGTCTTGAAAACCATGCTAGGAATTTTGAATTTTATTTTCCAGGCATTAGTAAAACATTGTAAGTTTTTAAGCATAGGAATCAAAATGACTCCATTGATTTTAAAATACGGAGCTAAAAGATAAATTAGCTGTTAGTAAAAGTGAAGGTGGAGAGGAAAAACTAGGCTATTGGAACAGCTTCGACCAAAGAGTGTAAATTAGTGAAACTAGTTTGCAAGAATACTAGGGACAGGGGTCAGGCACGGTGGCTCACGCCTATTATCTCAGCACTTTGGGAGGCTGAGGCAGGAGGATCACTTGAGCTCACAAGTTCGAGACCAGCCTAGGCAATGTGGCAAAACCCCATCTCTACCAAAAATACAAAAATTAGCCAGGCATGGTGGTGCACGCCTGTGGTCCCAGCTACTCAGGAGGCTGAGGTGGGAGTTCGCTTGAACCTGGGAGGTTGAGGCTGCAGTGAGCCAAGATCGTACCATTGTACTCCAGCCTGCGTAACAGAGCCAGACCTTGTCTAAAAAAATAAAATAAAAATGCTGGGGACTGGATATTGCATCTTAAAGGGGCAAGGAAAATGAAAGAAAATGCTGAATTCTCATTTTCATATTTATAGAACAAAGATACTGTATTATTTTTCTGAACTGTGTAACCAACTATCACAAATTTAGCAGCTTGAGCAACACACATTTATTATATCAACATTTCTGTGGTTCATGACCCCAGACACAGCTTAGCTAGGGTTGTGTGAGGCTGTGGTTAAGGTATTGGCCAGGGTGGGATTCTCACCTTGAGTCAGGACTAGAGATGCATCCACTTTCAGAATTACCCAGGTTGCTGGCAGAATTCATTTCCTTGAGGTTGTGAGTCTGAGGTCCTCAGCTTCTTGCCAGCTGTAGGCTGGGGACTGCTCTCAGCTCCTAGAGGATGCTTGCAGATCACATGGCCCTCTCAACATGACAGTGAACTTCTTCAAAGCCAGCTGGGGAGAAAGTCTCTAGCACTAGTTGACTGGCAAAACATACAACATCATATAATCGTGAAATTAATATCTCATCACCTTTGCCATAGTCTGATGGTTCAAAGCAAGTTACAGGTCCCACTCACAATAAGAGGAGGAAATTATCCAAGGGGGTGAACACCAGAAAGTGGAGATGGTTGGGGTCACTATAGAGCATGTCCACCACAGGTACTTTTCAGCCTCTTAAAGTACAGTAGAGTGTCCTCTAAAGCCGAGTGAGCAGAGTGTAGACTCTGGCGTCAGACCGAGCCAGGTTTGAATCCTGACTCCATGACTGACTATCCTTTTGAGCACTAAACCTCAGTCTCCTCATTTGTACATAGGGATAAAGATCTACGTCTCATGATGTGGTGTCAGGACAAAATGAGATAATGCCGGTAAAACACTTCAGTGAGTGCCCAAGACAGGAAAATTGCTCACATATGTTATCACATTTGAGTCTCAGCTACCATGAGAAGTAATTGAAAAGTTTTCCATTAAATGATTTACCTATATTAAATCAGTTTTTGCTCTTGAGTAAACTTAATCTAATGGACTTTTTGCTATATCATTGTGAGCATGGATTAATACATTCATGAAAAATCACTAGACTTGAGTAGAGGATTTTTTTTTTAATCAACCTCTTCTTTTTACAGACAAGGAAGCTACAACCACATAGAAAAGTTATCCGACTTGCCTAAGATCTCACAGTACTTAGTGGCTAAGCCAGGACTAGAGTGATGGCCTATTTATGCAAGTTACTGCTGTTTCTACCATGTTTAGCTGTGTGACATAAATTTTTAATTACGACATTTATACATTTTTTCACTCAATCTTGTAGACTAGAAGCTCCTTTTTCAATGAGACAGCTAATTTTTTAATGCCAAGAAATAGATACATAGAAAAGTTCAAGGCCTTAGCCCTAAAATAAGAATTTGCAAACTTCTAGTGACAGTACTCAATCTCTCTGAATGTCTCTATTGTTTAAGACGTGATCTGATGTTTTAACTTTAAATTAAACTAAATTGGCTGGGTGCGGTGGCTCAAACTTGTAATCCCAACACTTTGAGAGGCTGAGGCAGGCGGATCACTTGAGGCGAGGAGTTTGAGACCAGCATGGCCAACATACCGAAACCCCATCTCTACTAAAAATACAAAATATTAGCCAGGTGTGGTGGCGTGCACCTATAGTCCCAGCTGCTTGGGAGGCTGAGGCGTGAGAATCACTTGAACCCTGGAGGTGAAGGTTACAGTGAGCTGAAATTGTGCCACTGCAATCCAACCTGGACAACAGAGTGAGACTCTGTCTCAATAAAATAAAATAAATTTGCTACTTATATGTGTATGTGTCTTCACACTGTATATCTGGGCACGCTCTATATTTTTTGAACCGATTCTTAAGGGTATCCCAATGATAGTAATGAAAATAAGCAGCATGAAATTTTATAGCCATCCTAGAACAATATTTCCTGTGTATTTTAATCCACTGGAATTGGGAAAGAAGGATTGATTATGTTGTTTTCATTTAATGTCCATTTATCAATCTCCATCTTTGTGTCAGATGTTTGCTAGGTGCTTGGGGGATGAGAAAGGGTCACCACATGACCATAATCCTCCTACCCAGAGATAACTACTCTAAACATGTTGATAGCCTTCTATATATATTTTTTGCACATGTAGTTTTTAATATAAAAAGTGACACAATAAAATACTTTCAAAAATTATAATTACAGAAGCAGTGGCTGTCATGGTAGGAGGAAACTAAAGCAAATCAGAGGGCACAAAACTGAAAACTAGGAGGATTCCCATTTCCTCCCAACCCCCTGCTACCCTCCCCAGCCCTACTCACTAGAGGCAACCACTGAGTGGTCCCTGATTTTCTTCTGGTAGTTAACATTATATTCATATAAAATATTTTAACTCTGGTTTTAGATTTATTAGCTTTAGACAGTATCTGTTAACCTTTTGCTATAAAATATGAAGAAATTTTTTATCAATTCAAGCTTGAGCCGTTCTTCTTCTCAGCTTCCAGTTTCTAAAACTGTTTTTACCTTGAAAAGGTCTCTGACATTTATTATTACTGGTGTATTATCTCTTGTGCTTTTTCATAGGCTAGTTTAAAAATGGAATGCATTATTGTGATCACATGTTACATGTGTATTCTCTTTAGAGCTAAATATATATGTATATCATTCTAAGGTACTAAACTTTGTTGTTTGACAAACCTGACAAAACAAGCAATGGGGAAAGGAAAGGGGAATCTTCTAGGCATCCCAGTCTAAAACTCTTCATTTCTATCCAGCTTTTTTCACTTCTTCCATTTCGACTGCTACTCTTCCTTGTATCTCATGTTATTATCTTCCTTGAATATTCTTTTTTTTTTCTTTGCTCTGTTGCCCAGGCTGGAGGGCAGTGGCATAATCTCAGCTCACTGCAAACTCCGCCTCCCAGGTTCAAGCAATTCTCGTGCCTCAACCTCCCGAGTAGCTGGGATTATAGGCACTTGCCACCACACCCGGCTAATTTTTGGGTTTTTGTTGTTGTTGTTTTTATTATACTTTAAGTTCTAGGGTACATGTGCACAACGTACAGGTTTGTTACATAGGTATACATATGCCATGTTGGTTTGCTGCACCCATCAACTCGTCATTTACGTTAGGTATTTCACCTAATACTATCCCTCCCCCAGCCCCCTACCCCTAACAGGCCCCGGTGTGTGATGTTCCCCGCCCTGTGCCAATGTGTTCTCATTGTTCAACACCCACCTATGAGTGAGAACATGCAGTATTTGGCTGCATAGTATTCCATGGTGTATGTGTGCCACATTTTTTTTTAAATTTTAAGAAATGCTCTTTTTTTTTAATATACTTTAAGTTCTAGGGTACATGTGCACAACGTGCAGGTTTGTTACATATGTATACATGTGCCATGTTGGTGTGCTGCACCCATTATCTTGTCATTTACATTAGGTATATATCCTAATGCTATCCCTCCCCACTCCCCCCACCCCACGACAGACCCCGGTGTGTGATGTTCCCCTTCCTGTGTCCAAGTGTTCTCATTGTTCAGTTCCCACCTATGAGTGAGAACATGCAGTGTTTGATTTTCTGTCCTTGCAATAGTTTGTGAGAATGATGGTTTCCAGCTTCATCCATGTTCCTACAAAGTACATGAACTCATCCTTTTTTATGGCTGCATAGTATTCCATGGTGTATATGTGCCATATTTTCTTAATCCAGTCTATCATTGATGGACATTTGGGTTGGTTCCAAGCCTTTGCTATTGTGAATAGTGCCACAATGAACGTACGTGTGCATGTGTCTTTATAGCAGCATGATTTATAATCCTTTGGGTATATACCCAGTAATGGGATGGCTGGGTCAAATGGTATCTCTAGTTCTAGATCCTTGAGGAATCGCCACACTGTCTTCCACAATGGTTGAACTAGTTTACACTCCCACCAACAGTGTAAAAGCGTTTCTGTTTCTTCACATCCTCTCCAGCATCTGTTGTTTCCTGTCTTCTTAATGATCATTGTTCTAACTGGAATGAGATGGTATGTCATTGTGGTTTTGATTTGCATTTCTCTGGTGACCAGTGATGATGAGCATTTTTTCATATGTCTGTTGGCTGCATGAATGTTTTCTTTTGAGAAGTGTCTGTTCATATCCTTTGCCCACTTTTTGATGGGGTTGTTTGTTTTTTTCTTGTAAATTTGTTTAAGTTCTTTGTAGATTCTGGATATTAGCCCTTTGTCAGATGGGTAGATTGCAAAATTTTTCTCCCATTCTGTAGGTTGCCTGTTCACTCTGATGACAGTTTCTTTTGCTATGCAGAAACTTTTTAGTTTAATTAGATCCCATTTGTCAATTTTGGCTTTTGTTGCCATTGCTTTTGGTGTTTTAGTCATGAAGTCCTTGCCCATGCCTATGTCCTGAATGGTATTGCCTAGGTTTTCTTCTAGGGTTTTTATGGTTTTAGGTCTTACATGTAAGTATTTAATCCATCTTGAGTTAATTTTTGTATAAGGTGTAAGGAAGGGATCCAGTTTCAGCTTTCTACATATGGCTAGCCAGTTTTCCCAGCACCATTTATTAAGTAGGGAATCCTTTCCCCATTGCTTGTTTTGTCAGGTTTGTCAAAGATCAGATGGTTGTAGATGTGTGATGTTATTTCTGAGGCCTCTGTTCTATTCCATTGGTCTATATATCTGTTTTGGTACCAGTACCATGCTGTTTTGGTTACTGTAGCCTTGTAATAAAGTTTGAAGTCAGGTAGCATGATGCCTCCAGCTTTGTTCTTTTTGCTTAGGATTGTCTTGGCAATGCAGGCTCTTTTTTGGTTCCATATGAAGTTTAAAGTACTTTTTTCCAATTCTGTGAAGAAAATCAGTGGTAGCTTGATGTGGGAGATAGCACTGAATCTATAAATTACCTTGGGCAGTATGGCCATTTTCACAATATTGATTCTTCCTATCCATGAGCATGGAATGTTCTTCCATTTGTTTGTGTCCTCTTTTATTTCGTTGAGCAGCGGTTTGTAGTTCTCCTTGAAGAGGTCTTTCACATCCCTTGTAAGTTGTATTCCTAGGTATTTTATTCTCTTTGTAGTAATTGTGAATGGGAGTACACTCATGATTTGGCTATTTGTCTATTATTGGTGTATAGGAATGCTTGTGATTTTTGCACATTGATTTTGTATCCTGAGACTTTGCTGAAGTTGCTTATCAGCTTAAGGAGATTTTGGGCTGAGACGATGGGGTTTTCTAAATATGCAATCATGTCATCTGCAAACAGGGACAATTTGACTTCCTCTTTTCCTAACTGAATACCCTTTATTTCTTTCTCTTGCCTGATTGCCCTAGCCAGAACTTCCCATACTATGTTGAGTAGGAGGGGTGAGAGAGAGCATCCTTGTCATGTGCCGGTTTTCAAAAGGAATGCTTCCAGTTTTTCCCATTCAGTATGATATTGGCTGTGGGTTTGTCATAAATAGCTCTTATTATTTTGAGATACATTCCATCAATATCTAGTTTATTGAGAGTTTTTAGCTTGAGGGGCTATTGAATTTTGTTGAAGGCCTTTTCTACATCTATTGAGATAATCATGTGGTTTTTGTCATTGGTTCTGTTTATGTTTCGGATTACACTTACTGATTTGTGTATGTTGAAGCAGCCTTGCATCCCATAGATGAAGCTGACTTGATCGTGGTGGATAAGCTTTTTGATGTGCTGCTGGATTTGGTTTGCCAGTATTTTATTGAGGATTTTCGCATTGATGTTCATCAGGGATATTGGTCTAAAATTCTCTTTTTTTGTTGTGTCTCTGCCAGGTTTTGGTATCAGGATGAGGCTGGCCTCATAAAATGAGTTAGGGAGGATTCCCTCTTTCTCTGTTGATTGGAATAGTTTCAGAAGGAATGGTACCAGCTCCTCTTTGTACCTCTGGTAGAATTCGGCTGTGAATCCGTCTCGTCCTGGACTTTTTTTGGTTGGTGGGCTATTAATTATTGCCTCAATTTCAGAACCTGTTACTGGTTTATTCAGAGTTTCAACTTCTTCCTGGTTTAGTCTTGGCATGGAGTATATGTCCTGGAATTTATCCATTTCTTCTAGATTTTCTAGTGTATTTGCATAGAGGTGTTTATAATATTCTCTGATGGTAGTTTGTATTTCTGTGGGATCGGTGGTAATGTCCCCTTTATCATTTTTTATTGCGTCTATCTGATTCTTCTCTCTTTTGTTCGTTATTAGTCTTGCTAGCAGTCTATCAATTTTGTTGATCTTTTCAAAAAACTAGCTCCTGGATTCATTGACTTTTTGAAGGATTTTTTCTATCTCCTTCAGTTCTGCTCTGATCTTAGTTATTTCTTGCCTTCTGCTTGCTTTTGAATTTGTTTGCTCTTGCTTCTCTAGTTCTTTTAATTGTGATGTTAAGGTGTCGATTTTAGATCTTTCCTGCTTTCTCTTGTGGGCATTTAGTGCTATAAATTTCCCTCTACACACTGCTTTAAATGTGTCCCAGAGATTCTGGTATGTTGTGTCTTTGTTCTCATAGGTTTCAAAGAACACTTTTATTTCTGCCTTCATTTCATTATGTACCCAGTAGTCATTCAGGAGCAGGTTGTTCAGTTTCCATGTAGTTGTGCAGTTTTGAGTGAGTTTCTTAATCCTGAGTTCTAATTCGATTGTAGTATGGTCTGAGAGACAGTTTGTTGTGATTTCTGTTCTTTTATATTTGCTGTGGAGTGTTTTACTTCCAGTTATGTGGTCAATTTTAGAATAATTGTGATGTGGTGCTGAGAAGAATGTATTTTCTGTTGATTTGGGGTGTGGAGTTCCGTAGATGTCTTTTAGGTCCGTTTGGTCCAGAGCTGAGTTCAGGTCCTGGATATCCTTGTTAACCTTCTGTCTCATTGATCTGTCTAATATTGATAGTGGGATGTTAAAATCTCCCATTATTATTGTGTGGGAGTCTTAGTCTCTTTGTAGGTGTCTAAGGACTTGCTTTATGAATCTGGATGCTCCTGTATTGGGTGCATATATATTTAGGATAGTTAAGTCTTCCTGTTGAATTGATCCCTTTACCACTGTGTAATGCCCTTCTTTGTCTCTTTTGATCTTTGTTGCTGTAAAGTCTGTTTTATCAGAGACTAGGATTGCAACCCCTGCTTTTTTTTTGCTTTCCATTTGTTTGGTAGATCTGCCTCCTTCCCTTTATTTTGAGCCTATGTGTGTTTTTGCACGTGAGATGGGTCTCCTGAATACAGCACACTGATGGGTGTTGACTCTTTCTCCAATTTGCCAGTCTGTGTCTTTTAATTGTGGCATTTAGCCCATTTACATTTAAGGTTAATATTGTTATGTGTGAATTTGATCCTGTCATTTTGCTGTTAGCTGGTTATTTTGCCTGTTAACTGATGCAGTTTCTTCATAGCGTCAATGGTCTTTACAATTTGGCATGTTTTTGCAGTGGCTGGTACTGATTGTTCCTTTCCATGTTTAGTGCTTCCTTTAGGAGCTCTTGTAAGGCAGACCTGGTGGTGACAAAATCTCTCAGCATTTGGTTGTCTGTGAAGGATTTTACTTCTCCCCCACATATGAAGCTTAGTTTGGCTGGATATGAGATTCTGGGTTGAAAATTCTTTTCTTTAAGAGTGTTGAATATTGGCCCCCACTCTCTTCTGGCTTGTGTGGTTTCTGCCAAGAGATCCACTGTTAGTCTGATGGGCTTCCCTTTGTGGGTAACCGGACCTTTCTCTCTGACTGCCCTTAACATTTTTTCTTTCATTTCAACCTTGGTGAATCTGACAATTATGTGTCTTGGAGTTGCTCTTCTCGAGGAGTATCTTTGTGGTGTTCTCTGTATTTCCTGAATTTGAATGTTGGCCTGCCTTGCTAGGTTAGGGAACTTCTCCTAGATAATATCCTGAAGAGTGTTTTCTAACTTAGTTCCATTCTCCCCGTCACTTTCCAGTACACCAATCAAATGTATATTTGGTCTTTTCACATAGTCCCATATTTCATGGAGGCTTTGTTGATTTCTTTTCACTCTTTTTTCTCTAATCTTGTCTTCTCACTTTATTTCATTAATTTGATCTTCGGTCGCTGATATCCTTTCTTCCACTTGGTCAAATCGGCTATTGAAGATTGTGCATGCATCATGAAGTTCTCATGCCGTGGTTTTCAGCTCCATCAGGTCATTTAAGGTCTTCTCGACACTGTTTATTCTAGTTAGCCATTCATCTAACCTTTTTTCAAGGTTTTCAGCTTCCATGTGATGGGTTAGAACATGCTCCTTTTGCTTGGAGAAGTTTGTTATTACCGACCTTCTGAAGCCTACTTCTGTCAACTCATCAAACTCATTCTCTGCCCAGTTTTGTTCCATTGCTGCTGAGGAGCTGCAATCCTTTGGAGGAGAAGAGGCGCTCTGGTTTTCGGAAGTTTCTGCTTTTCTGCTGTGGTTTCTCCCTGTCTTTGTGGTTTTATCTACCTTTGTTCTTTGATGTTGGTGACCTACAGGTGGCATTTTGGTGTGGATGTCCTTTTTGTTGATGTTGATGCTATTTCTTTCTGTTTGTTAATTTTCCTTCTAACAGGCCCCTTAACTGCAGGTCTGTTGGGGTTTGCTGGAGGTCCACTCCAGACCCTCTTTGCCTGGGCATCACCAGCAGAGGCTGCAGAACAGTAAATATTGCTGCCTGATCCTTCATCTGGAAGTTTCATCCCAGAGGGGCACCCGCCTGTTTGAGGTGTCTGTCGGTCCCTACTGGGAGGTGTCTCCCAGTCAGGCTACACGGGGTTTTGGGACCCGCTTGAGGAGGTAGTCTGTCCCTTCTCGGAGGTCGAATGCCATGCTGAGAGAACCGCTGCTGTCTTCATAGTTGTCAGACAGGGACGTTTAAGTCTGCAGATGCTGTCTGCTGCCTTTCATTCTGCTATGCCCTGCCCCCAGAGGTGGAATCTAGAGAGGCAGTAGGCCTTGCTGAACTGTGGTGGGCTCTGCCCAGTTTGAGCTTCCAGGCCACTTTGTTTACACTGTGAGCTACTCAAGCCTCAGCAATGGCAGATGCCCCTCCCCCTGTCAAGCCACAACGTCGCAGGTTGATCTCAGACTGCTGCGCTAGCAGTGAGCAAGGCTCCGTGGGCGTGAGACCTGGTGAGCCAGGCATGGGAGGGTATCTCCTGGTCTGCCGGTTGCAAAGACCATGGGAAAAGTGCAGTATTTGGTCAGGAGTGTACTGTTTCTTCAGGTACAGTCTCTCATGGCTTCCCTCGGCTAGGAAAAGGAAATCCCCCGTCCCCTTGCACTTCCCAGGTGAGGCAACGCCCTGCCCTGTTTCAGCTCACCGTCCATAGGCTGCACCCACTGTCCAACCAGTCCCAATGAGATAAAGCAGGTACCTCAGTTGGAAATGCAGAAATCACATATCTTCTGCATCCATCTCGGTGGGAGCTACAGACTGGAGCTGTTCCTATTTAGCCATCTTGGAAGCGACCCTTAATTTTTGGATTTTTTTCTGAGACAGATTCTCGCTCTCTTGCCCAGTCTGGAGTGCAGTGGTGCAACCTCAGCTCACTGTAACCTCTGCCTCCCGGGCTCAAGCGATTTTCCTGCCTTAGCCTCCTGAGTAGCTGGGATTACAGGCATGCACCACTACCCTTGCATAATTTCTGTATTTTTAGTAGATATGTGGTTTTGCCATGTTGGCCAGGCTGGTCTCAAACTCCTGACCTCAAGTGATCTGCCTGCCTCAGCCTCCCAGAGTGCTGAGATTATAGGCCACTGCACCTGGCTGAATATTTTTTTTTTTTTTGAGCCTGTCTCTGAGTACTTTTTTCATGTAGGGCTCTTGGTGGCAAATTTTTTTAGTTTTAGAAAGCCTCAAATAGCTTTATCTTCATATTTGCTTTGAAAGTTTAGATGAATATAAATATCCAGATTTTAAATTTAAAGAAATTGCTCCCGTTATCTTCCAGTATTACATTCAATGTAGATAAAGTCAGTAAGAGTCTGATTCTCATCCCTTGCTTAATGATGAATTTTTTCTTTCTCTGAGGCATTTAGAATTTTTTAATCCTTATTATAAAATTTTCAGCAGAATGTTTAGATGTAAATCTTTTCTTACTAATCTTACTCAGCATTTCATGAAACCTTCCCATATGAAGGTGCATGTCTTATTTCAGCGTAGGGGCATTTTCTTAAGTTATTTTATGTCATTACCTTTGTTGTTTGTATCTTTTGCACTTCCTATTTGAGCAGCTTTCAACTGTTAGGACATGGTCTCCGTGTTTTAAATCTATTTGTTTGTACTTTACATTTCTTGGTCTTTCTCATTGCTGTTCTCAGAGATTTCTTTGAATTTATCTTCCAGGTTTAAAAACTTGGTCTAGGGCAGGGCACAGTGGCTCACGCTTGTAATCCAAGTGCTTTGGGAGGCTGAGGCTGGTGGATCACTTGAGCCCAGGTGTTGTGACCAGCCTGGGCAACATGGTGGAACCCCATCTCTACTAAAGATACAAAAAATAAAAAATTAGCCAGGCATGCCTGTAGTCCCAGCTTCCCAGCAGGCTGAGGTGGGAGGATCATCTGAGCACAGGAAGGTTGAGGCTGCAGTGAGCTGTGTTCATGCCACTGTACTGCAGCCTGGGCGACAGAGTTAGAACCTTTCTCAAATAAACAATAATAAAATAAAAGCTTGGTCCTATACAGCATCGAATTTTAATTTCACCCATACAGTAAATTTTTCAGTGATCATATTTTTAATTTTCAAGATTTCTTGTTCTCCAGTTGTTTATTTCTTCATAGACTTTTCTTGTTTTAAGTCTGTCATATTCTTAATCTTCCTGAGGATACCAAATCGAGATTTTGCTTGTTTTAATTCTTTCCAGTTCTATTAGTCCATTTTCACACTGCTGATAAAGACATACCCGAGACTGGGCAATTTACAAAAGAAAGAAGTTTATTGGACTTACAGTTCCACATGGCTGGGAAGGCCTCACAATCATGGCAGAAGGCAAGGGAGAGCAAGTCACATCTTATGTGGATGGCAGCAGGTAAAGATATTGTGCAGGGAAATGCGCGTTTTTAAAACTATCAGATCTCATGAGACCCATTCACTGTCATGAGAACAGCACAGGAAAGACATGCCCCCATAATCCAGTCATTTCCCACTGGGTCCCTCCCACAACACGTGGGAATTATGGGAGCTAGAAGATGAGATTTGTGTGGGGACACAGAGTCAAACCATGTTATTCCACCCCTGGCCCCTCCCAAATCTCGTATCTTCACATTCAGAACCAATCATGCCTTCCCAACAGTCCCCTGGGGTGTTAATTTATTTCAGCATTAACTTAAAAGTCCACAGTCCAAAGTCTCATCCAGGACAAGGCAAGTCCCTTCTGCCTATGAGCCTGTAAAATCAAAAGCTAGTTAGTTACTTCCTAAATACAATGGGGGTACAGGCATTGGGCAAATACAGCCATTCCAAATGGGAGAAATTGGCCAAAACAAAGGGGCTACAGGCCCTATGCAAGTCTGAAATTCAGCGGGGAAGTCAAATCTTAAAGCTCCAAAATGGTATCTTTTGACTCCATGCCTCACATCCAGGTCACACTGATGCAAGAGGTGGGTTCCCATGGTCTTGGGCACCTCCTCCCCTGTGCTTTGCAGGGTACAGCCTCCCTCCCAGCTTCTTTCACAGGCTGACATTGAGTGTCTGTGGCATTTCCAGGCATATGGTGCAAGCTCTAGGTGGATCTACCATTCTGGGGTCTGGAGGACTGTGGCCTTCTTCTCACAGTTCCACTAGATGGTGCCCCAGTAGGGACTCTGTGTGGGGGCTGTGACCCCACATTTCCCTTCTGTACTGCCCTAGCAGAGGTTCTCCATGAGAGCTCTGCCCTGTAGCAAATTTCTGCCTGGACATCCAGTTATTTCCATACATCTCTGCAATCTAAGCGGAGGTTCCCAAACCTCAGTTCTTGACTTTTGTGTACCTGCAGGCTCAATACCACATGGAAGCTGCCAAGGCTTGGGGCTTGCATCCTCTGAAGCCACAACCTGAGCTGTACCTTGGCCCCTTTTAGTCATGGCTAGAGCTGCTGGGACACAGGGCACCAAGTCCCTATGCTACACACAGCGGGGGTCTACAGGCCTGGCCCATGAAACCACTTTTTCCTCCTTGGCCTCCCGGGGTGTGTTGGGAGGGGCTGCCATGAAGACCTCTGACATGCCTGGAGACATTTTCCCCATTGTCTTGGGGATTAACATTCAGCTCCTCGTTTTTAATGCAAATTTCTGCACCTGGCTTGAATTTCTCCTCAGAAAATGGGATTTTCTTTTCTATCACACTGTCAGGCTGCAAATTTTCCAAACTTTTATACTCTGTTTCCATTATAAAACTGAGTGCCTTTAACAGCACCCAAGTCACCTCTTGAATTATTTTCTGCTTAGAAATTTCTTCTCCCAGATCATCCTCTGCCTAAATCACCTCTCTCTAGTTCAAAGTTCCACAAATCTCTAGGGTGGGGCAAAATGCTGCCAGTTTATTTGCTAAAACAAAGCAAGAGTCACCTTTGCTCCAGTTTCCAACAAGTTCCTCATTTCCATCTGAGACCACCTCAGCCTGGACCTTATTGTTCATATCACTATCAGCATTTTTGTCAAAGCCATTCAACATGTCTGTAGGAAGTTCCAGACTTTCTCACATTTTCCTGTCTTCTGAGCCCTCCAAACTGTTGCAACCTCTGTCTGTTTCCCAGTTCCAAAGTTGCCTCCACTTTTTCAAGTATCTTTCCAGCAACACCCCACTCCTGGTACCAATTTACTGTATTAGTCCATTTTCACACTGCTGATAATGACATACCCGAGGCTGGGCAGTTTACAAAAGAAAGAGGTTTACTGGACTTACAGCTCCACATGGCTGGGGAGGCCTCACAATCATGGCAGAAGGCAAGGAGGAGCAAGTCACATCTTATGGGGATGGCAGCAGGCAAAGACAGAGATTGTGCTGGGAAACTCCCGTTTTTAAAACCATCAGATTTCATGAGACTCATTCACTATCATGAGAACAGCACAGGAAAGACCTGCCCCCATAATTCAGTCATCTCTCACCAGGTCCCTCCCACAACATGTGGGAATTACGGGAGCTACAAGAAAAGATGTGGCTGGGGACACAGAGCCAAATCATATCACCAGTGAATTGTATTTTTATCCACTTCCTCTATGGTACTTGTTCTGTTGGTTTTCTCAGTCTTCTCTTTCATACTGTCATTTTTCCTTATGTGTCCTCAAATTTTTCTTTAATGTGTTTGCTACTCATATATCTGACTGGAACATTACTCGAGTTATTATAATAGCAAGGATGAATTTCCAGTAGCTCAATAGGTCCTTTTTCTAGCAGACTCCTCCACTGAAGTTAAAAAATTTCTGGTGACCTCATTTTTTAACATTCACTATGTTATTAATATAACCATTTTCCGATGCCAAAAATTCTAACATACTAATTTTATTGGTTGCATAGTTTTTCATCATAGTACTGTTTACTCTTTCTCTTATTATTGGATATTTGATTTTTTCCAGCTTTTCATTAAATAACATCAAGAACACATTTGTACATGTATTTCTTCATGTATCTCTGATGGTTTTCATAGTGTTAATTCCTAGAGTGAAATTTATAGGTCATGAAAGATTTCTAATAGACATTGCTAAATTGTCTTTTGGAAGATTGTAACAAGTCTCTGTCTCATAAAAATACCCTTTCCCCGCAGCACTCTTGATAATGGCAGATCATGTTCTTTTTAATCTCTGCTAACTTAGCAATATACATATTACAATATATATATAGAATGTGAATATTTTCCTGTTTGAATTTACATATTTGGGTGTTTTCATGAGTTTCTTTTGTGAATTGACTCTTTATGTTCTTTGCCTGTTTTTCTGTTCACCATTTTGTTTCGCTTTGTCAGACTTTATTTTGGGAATGTTAAGTGCTCATTATAATTACTGTAAGTTTTTTCTCAGTTTGTGGTTTGCCTTTAACTTTTTTATTATGTGTCTTTTGCTAAATATATGTTTTGATGACATATATGTAAAGCCACCCACTCACCTGTCCAGAGATTAAATTTCATCTATATAGCTTGGTATGTTTATGATTTCTAGTTTTACATTAAACTTTTAAATCCATGTACATTTATGTTGGAATATGGCTTATATAGGGACACATCTTTGTTTTTTCTGAAATAACTAATTAGCTAGCATCTTTTTCATTGACTGGTAGTTCATCCTTTCCCTATTAATTTGAAATCTCACCTCTGTCATATACAAAATGTTTTTTATAAATATGTGTGTGTATCTGCCTAGAAATAACTTGTCCAGGCACATCTTACAATTCTTGACATTTCTAACAAGACCACTCTGTTACTTTACTGTTTTAGAAAGCACTTAAGTATAATGCTTAATCTACTGTATTAAAACTGTATACAACAGCCAGGCATGGTGGCTCATGCCTGTAATCTCAGCATTTTGGGAGGCTAAGGCAGGAGGATCATTTGAACCCAGGAGTTCAACAACAGCCCAGGCAACATAGTGAGACCTTGACTCTACAAAAAATTTAAAAATTAGCTTGGTGTGGTGGCATGCGCCAGTGGTCCCAGATATTCAGGAGTCTGAGGTGGGCACTCGCTTGAGCCTGGGAGGTTGAGGCTGCAGTGAGCTGTTATCACTGCCACTGCACTCCAGCCTGGGTGACAGATCAAGAGCCTGTCTCAAAAACAAAAAACAAAACAAAAAACTGTATCCAGTGCTTGTGTATTATCCTAATTTCTAAAAATCAATGACCCCCCAAAATATTTCCCTCATCAGAATGTTCTGTTATCAGCCAAAGATTTCTTTCTGTCAGCTCACATCCTGCCACAATAAAGGCAAACAGTGGTAGACAGGGTGAACCATTGTGATTCTGAAGCATTCTAAGTGGTTTCAGGGATATGAAAGTTTCATCATCCTGTTTTGTGGTAGGGGAAAAGGAAATATTGTTAAAGTAAACATTGAAATTTGAGGTAAATACCAGTATTCGAACTTTGAAAAAGTAGCCAGAATGTTCCTAAGGTGGCAACATTTCAGAAATTATACAATTTCTCAATGCCGCTAGTTATTGGAACAGTTCTAAGGCTCTGCCCATGTGTTGACATCACATTCCATCTCCCTTGTTCTTATAGGGCTTCAGCCACACAGCTGGTTAAGGTGCAATTTGACCATGACTTTCTTAAGAAATGAAAGGTACATTATGGTGCTGTAGGTCAAATGTGAAGTATGTGTCCTATTTTGTGAACTATTGTAGCAAAACTAAATCAATGAAGGGATTTTGCTGAGAAAGTAGTTACCAGCATTCACAAAGCTGGCTACTGGGTGAAAAACCTGAATTCTGAGTTTTGCAATTAACTGCATAACACTGAGTATTACCTAATAATGATTCCTTTGTTTTTTTCAGTTCCTTTTGCATTATATAGGTGTTTTCCCAAATGTGTTCTGAAAGACATTATTGCTGCAAGGTGCTCTGGAAGACATTTCAGGGACCATGGTTAAATCAGTTAAAGAAAAGCTGTGTACTAGATCCTTCTCTAAGAAATGCACTGGCTGGGCACGGTGGCTCATGCCTGTAATCCCAGCACTTAGGGAGGCCAAGGCAGGCAGATCACTTGAGGTTTAGAGTTCAAGATCAGCCTAGCCAAAATGGTGAAACCCTGCCTCTACTAAAAATACAAAAAATGTTAGCCAGGTGTGGTGGCATGCACCTGTAGTCCCAGTTACTTGGGAGGCTGAGGCTATAGAATCACTTGAGCCCAGGAGGCAGAGGTTGTAGTGAGCCGAGAGCATGCCACTGCACTCCAGCCTGGGCAATGGGAATGAAACCCTGTCCAAAAAAAAAAAAGCACAATATGTAGTCTCATACTAAAGGCTTTAAGAAGTCTTACAGAAAAGAAATTTAAATCTTTTGGATCTATTTCTTGACATCTGTAGGAACTGTTTCATAAAATCTACTTTAGGAACCTGTATTAGCTGCTGTCCAAGGTATCAAACGTCTATAATTCTAGTTCCAGTAAAAAGTTGTATATAAATAACTTACTTTATATGTAGTACTTTAATTTGTAATATCAGTATGGAATCTTCTTAAGGAAACACTGAAAAAAACCTTTAATTGTACAAGATCTTTGTACAGTATCATGGACTTTTAAACACAGAAACACAGAGAAGTATTGTTTTGTCCTGTGAATACCAAAACTTTGATTTGGATTTATTAGTGAGAAAAAAGCAGGATCAAACGTTTCCCTACTTTTTAGGAGTTCTGTGCAATACCTCAAATTCTATCCAGAATGTTCCTACAAAGTACAGTATGATGTTAGACACTCTTTACATCCAACATGTTTTCTTTTGTTTAATTTAATTTGAGCTATTATTGGCTCAAAATATATAGATTCTTAGTGATCTTTTATATTTATTGTTCATAAAATAATGTTCGGCTTCCTAATAAGAAAGTGAAGAGGAAAATCAAGGTGTTTTCATCTTGCTTGTAGGATGGGTGCTGCAGACAATATATATAAAGGACAGAGTACATTTATGGAAGAACTGACTGACACAGCAGAAATAATCAGAAAAGCAACATCACAGTCCTTGGTTATCTTGGATGAACTAGGAAGAGGGACGAGCACTCATGATGGAATTGCCATTGCCTATGCTACACTTGAGTATTTCATCAGAGATGTAAGTATCCGGTAAACTGTATTTAAAAAGAAATTAATTTGTAAATTATTATTTTTAAATGACAGTCATAATTGTGCCATATTTATGGGGTACAATGTGATGTTTTGAAACATATAAACAATATGGAGTGATTAAATTAACCTAATTAACACATTCCTCACCTCATTTAAATATCATTTTTTGTGGTGAGACATTTGAAATTTCTCTTAGTTATTTTGAAATATATATTATTACTGCTGTAGTCATAATACCGTTATGCAATCCCTGCATACCCTTTTGTACATGGATGATACATATTATACACATTATTTTCCTGATCTCAGTCTCCAAATACTCAAAATTATCTTTTTTATAATTGACTGCAGTCCTGCAAGTGATCATTAGAATGCTACACACTGAATTCAGACAGATTGACCCTAAATAATGTTTGTAGTTTTTTGATATATGTTCCTTTTTTTGCTGACTCAACATAAATCTGGTTGTACGAAAAAGGCCTTCCTGGCAATATTTTCACTCAGAATTATATCTTATTATCCTTGGTGAACCCTAAATCAAGAACAGGTACCATCCATCTACAGCCAAATTCCTCGAGGGAAAAACAAGGAAATAGTGCCATTTCCACTTTGTGAAATCCTTTTTTTCACCAACATCCTGAAGGATCTCACTGTGAGATCTTTGATCTCATCTCTTTGTGTTTCTATCTGATTCAGTAACATCATTCCTTCAATACATGTCTCCTTTTTTTCAGGGTGCATTTCTAAGCTTCAGTGTAAAATTTTGTTTGTGTCAAACTTTCTATCCCTGTCATTTCCATCTAACTCTCTCCTTTAGTTTACTTTCTCTATCTTGTTCATTTTGGTCTCTGCTTTTCAAATCTCCCCTTCATGGCACCTCTCCTTAGGTCTTTCCCTTCTCTGGTCTTTCTTTCTGTTTTCCCCCCCATTTTCTTGCTCCTTTGTCATTGTGTCTTCCCTCATTTTCATTTCTTTCTCTCTTCCTTAAATAGCCAATAAAATCATATTTTTAATATTTCTTTTCAAAAAGCAACACAAAAATAAAATGTATTTTTCTTTAACCTTTTGTTGCCATTGGTGTTTTGGGGTTTAGTTTTGTTTTTAAAGCTTAATTTCCATTTAATTTTTTTCCAGAAGATAGTTTTTCTTCAGTCTTTAGAGACTCAGCTCCATGAACAGGCTTTGATGGAGATCATGGGGCAGCATCCTCAGATCTAAATTGGAGCAGAGTTGTTTGGTCCTCTAGGCTTCATGAGAATGATTCCTGACTACCTTGCTGTGAGCGGCAGAACTTGTGCAGTAATACAGTTTCATACACTGTTTGGGAAGCACAGAGACATCAACGACACTCAATTTGGAAATGTCCCTGACAGCTGTACCTTCTACTATATTTCAAATGACAAACTTCTAAATAGCCTTGTCCTTAGGTGTGCATCCAACACAGTTTGTGCAGCAAATAGGTTGTACCTAGCTATGGCCCTTTTTGGCACAACCGTTGTTGTTGTTCCTCCTCCTCCTCTTCTTTCTCTTCCTCCTCCTCCTCTTTTTTTTTTTTTTTTTTTTTTTCTTTTTTGAAATGGGTTCACTCTGTCACTCAGGCTGCAGTGCAGTGGCATGATCATGGCTCACTGCAGCCTCGACCTACCTGGGCCCAGGTGATCCTTCCACTTCGGCCTCCCGAGTAGCTGGGACTACAGGCACACACCAACCATACCCAGCTAATTTTTGTATTCTTTTAGGAATGGAGTTTCACCGTGTTGCTCAGGCTAGTCTTGAACTTTCAGGCTCCAGTGATCCACCTGCCTTGGCTTCCCAAAGTTCTGGGATTATAGGCATGAGTTACCATGCCCAGCCTCCCTTCTTTTCTTTGTTATTTTGGCAGTGAAGACCCAAGAGTGACTCAGGTTTTGTTTAAACATTTATTTAGATTACATAGGTAATTATAACATTTTGTTTTTTTTAAGGAATTTTTTGTTTTGCTTTAAAAAATTTATTTGCAAAAAGATGTAACTCAGAAACTTTAATCATTATAGAAACTACGTAGGAAATGATGAGTTCATGTCCTTTATAGGGACATGGATGAAGCTGGAAACGATCATTCTCAGCAAACTATCGCAAGGACAAAAAACCAAACACCGCATGTTCTCACTCATAGGTGGGAGTTGAACAATGAGAACACATGGGCACAGGAAGGGGAACATCACAAACTGGGGCCTGTTGTGGGGTGGGGGGAGGGGGGAGGGATAGCATTAGGAGATATACCTAATGTTAAATGACGAGTTAATGGGTGCAACACACCAACATGGCACATGTATACAAATGTAACTGACCTGCACATTGTGCACATGTACCCTAAAACTTAAAGTATAATAATAATAAAAAAAAGAAACTACATAGGAAAGCAATTGACTTTTGTACATTAACCTTGGATCCTGCAACCTTGCTGTAATCACTTACTAATTCCAGTCTGTGTGTATGTTTGCCAATTCTTTTGAATTTCCTACATAGGCAGTCATGTCAGATACAAACAGACAGTTTCACTTCTTTCTTCCCCATCTATTTTTTTTTTCTTGTCTTATTGCAGTAACTAGGACTTTCAGTACAGTGTTGAAAAAGCAGTAAGAAAGGATATCGTTGCCTTGTTTCTGATCTTAGTGGGAAAGCTTTGAGTTTCTCACCGTTAAGTATGATGTTAGCTAGAGGTTGTTTGTGGATATTCCTTACCAAATTGAGGAAGTTCTCCTCTATTCCTAGTTTACTGAGAGTTTTTATTGAATGGGTGTTAGATTTTGTCAAATGCTTTCTGTGCATCTATTGATATGGTCATGTGATTTTTCTTCTTTAGCCTGTTGATGTGATGGATTACGTTAACTGGTGTTCAAATGTTGAATGAGTCTTACACACTTGGGATGAGTCCTACTTGGTTATGGTCTGTTTTTCTTTTTATACATTGTTGGATTCATTTTGCTAATATTTTATTGAGGATTTTTGCATCTATGTTTATGAGAGATACTGGTTTATAGTTTTCTTATAATGTCTTTGGTTTTAGTATTAAGGTAATGCTGGCCTCATAGAATGAGTTAGAAAGTATTTACTCCACTCCTGTCCTCTGAAAAAGACTATAGAGAATTGGTAAAATATCTTCCTTAAACATTTGGTGGAGTTCACCAGTGAAGCCATCTGGGCCTATGATTTTGGTTTTAGAAGGCCATTGACTCAAGTTCTTCAATAGATATAGACCTATTCAGAATTTCTGTTTTTTTTCTTGTGTGAGTTTTGGCTCATTGTGTCTTTTAAGGAATTGTTTTTCAAGAAATTTTCACCAAGGTTACCAGATTTGTGGACATAGAGTTGGTCATAGTATTCCTTTATTATCCTTTTATTTGTCCACGGCATCCGTAGTGTTGTCCTTTTCATTTCTGATATTAGCCATTTGTGTCTTTTCTCTTTTGTTCTTAGTTAGCTTGACTAGAAGCTTATCAGTTTTCTTTTCAAAGAACCAGCTTTTGGTTCTATTGATTATTTTCCCCATTGCTTTCTTGTTTTAATTTCATTGATTTCTGCTCTAATTTTTATTATCTCTTTTCTTTTGCTTATTTTTGCTCTTCTCTTTCTGGTGTCCTAAGATAGAAGCTTAGATTGTTTATTTTAAATTGTTCTTTTTTTCTAATGTGTTCAGTGCTATAAATTTTCTTTTTTTATTCTTTCTTTTCTTTCCATTTTTTCTTTTTTGAGACAGGGTCTTGCTCTGTTACCCAGGCTGGACTGCAGTGGCATGAACATAGCCCACTGCAACCTCGACTCCCTGGGCTCAAGTGATCCTTCTGCCTCAGCCTCCCATGTAGCTGGGACTACAGGCACATGCCACAACACCCAGCTAATTTCACTTTTATTTTTTATAGAGATTGGGGTCTCACTATGTTGCCCAGGCTGGTCTCGTATTCTTGGACTCCAGTGATCCTCTTGCCTTGGCCTCCCAAAGTGCTGGGATTACAGGTGTGAGCCACCGCTCCTGGCCTATAAATTTTCTTCTATGCACTGCTTTTGGTGCGGTTCCACAAATTTTGATAAGGTGTGCTTCCTGTTTTTACTTAGTTCCAAATATTTTAAATTTCTCTTTATTTCTTTTTTGACCCATATGTTTTTTAAGAATGTGTTGTTTAGTCTCCATGTATTTGGGGATTTTCCAGTTACCTTTTTGTTATGATTCCTAGTTTAATTCCATTGTGGTATGAGATCAAATATTGTATGATTTTTATTATATTAAATTTGTCAACATGTGTTTTATGGCCCAAAATGTGGTCTTTCTTGGTGAATGTTCCATGTTAGCTTGAGATGAATGTGTATTCAGCTGTTGGTTGAAGTATCTATAGATATAAATGATGTCTAGTTGATTGATGGTGTTGTTGAGTTCAGCTGTGTCCTTACTGATTTTCTGCCTGCTGGATCTGTCTGTTTCAGATGGAGGAATTTTGATATCTCTAACTATAGTAGTATGTTCATCTGTTTCTCTTTGTAGTTCTATCAGCTTTTGCCTCATGTAGTTTGACATTCTCTTGTTAAATGCATACATGTTAAGGATATTATGTCTTCTTGGACATAAGACATAATATCCTTTATCATTTTATCATTATCCCTTTATCATTATATAATATCCTTCTTTATCCCTGACAAATTTACTTGATCTGAAGTCTGCTCTGTCTCAAATTAATATAGCTACTCTAACTTCCTTTAGAAATTAATATAGCTGCTTCAGCTTTCTTTAATGTTAACATGATGTATCTTCCTCCATATATATATATATATTTTAGATAGAGTCTCACTCTGTCACCCAGGCTGGAGTGCAGTGGTACAATCTCAGCTCACTGCAACCTCTGCCTCCCAGATTCAAGTGATTCTTGTGCCTCAGCCTCCCGAGTAGCTGGGATTACAAGTGTGTGCCACCACGCCTGGCTAATTTTTGTATTCTTTTTAAATTAAAGATGGGGTTTCACCATGTTGGCCAGGCTGGTCTTGAACTCCTGGCCTCAAGTGATCCATCTGCCTCGGCCTCCCAAAGCGCTGGGATTGCAAGTGTGAGCCACCTCACCTAGCCCCTCCATATATTTTTAATATGTAGTTATTTTTATATTTAAGGTGAGTTTCTTGTAGACAACATACAGTTAGGTCTTATTTTTTGATCCACTCTGATAATCTGTCTTTTAACTGGTGCATTTAGATCATCAGCATTCAAAGTGATTATTGATAGAGTTGGATTAATATTTACCATTTTTTACTTTTTTCTATTTGTTGTTCTTGTTCATTGTTCCTACATGTGTCTTCCACTGTTTTTCTGTCTTATGTGGTTTTAACTGAGTATTTTATATTATTTCATTTTCTCTCTTTTTTTTTTTTTTTGTTTTTTGTTTTTTGGTTTCTTGGGGTGTTTTTTGAGGTGGGATCTTACTGTGTTGCCTAGGCTGGCCTCAAACTCCCGGGCTGAAGTGACCTTCCCACCTCAGCCTCCCAGGTAGCTGGGAGTACAGGTGCATGGCACTGTGCCCAGCTATTTTCTCTCCTTTCTTAGCGTATCAGTTATATTTCTTGTTTTACTTTTTCTAGTGGTTGTCCTGGAGTTTGCAATATACGTTTGCAACTAATCCAAGTCTACTTTCAAATAACACTATATTGCTTTATGAGTAATGCACGTATTTTTTAATAACAAAATAATCCTGATTACTTTCTTCTATCCTTTGCACCATCACTGTCATTTATTTCACTTATACTTAAGTGTACATAAGCATATATATATATATAAACATACATAATCGCATACACTGTTGCTATTATTATTGTGAACAAAATGTTATGCTAGATCCACTAAAAATAAGAAAAATAAAAGTTTTTCGCCTTCACTGGTTCCTTCTTCAATGCTGCACTTTTCTTTATGTAGATACAAGTTTCTGACCCCTGTCATTTTCCTTCCTTCTAAAGAACTTTCCTTAAACATTTCAGGATAGATCTGCTGGCTACAAATCCTCAATTTTTGTTTGTCTGAGAATGTCTTTATTTCTCCTTCAGTTTTGAAGGATTATTTTGCAAGGTACAGAATTCTAGGTTGGAGAGGTTTGTTGTTTTTTTTTTTTTTTCCTCTCAAAACTTTAGATATTTTACTCCACTCTTTTCTTGCTTTTGTGGTTTCTGAGAAGTCAGATGTAATTTTTATCTTTGAGCTTGTGTGGATAAGGTGTTTCTTCCCTCTGGCTTACTTCAGTATTTTTTTTTTCTTTATCTTTGGTTTTCTGTAGTTTGAATATGATTTGTCTAGGTGTGGTTTTGGGGACATTTATCCCGTTTGGTGTTCCCTAAGCTTCCCAGATCTGTGGTTTTGTGTCTGACATTACTTTGGGGAAATTCTCAGTCATTATTGTTTTAAGTATTTCTTCTGTTTCTTTCTCTCTTTATTTTCTCTCTGGTATTCTCATTAGCTGCATGTTATATCTTTTGTAGTTGTCTCAAACTTTTTGGATATTCTGAGGTTTTTTTCTAGTCTTTTTCTGTTTGCATTTCCATTTTGGAGATTTCTATTAAGATGTCCTCAAGCTCAGAGATTCTTCCCTCAGCTGTGTCCAGTCTACCAGTAAGCTCATCAAACACATTCTTCATTTCCATCACAGTGTTTTTGATCTCTCGTTTCCTTTTGGTTTTTTCTTAGAATATGCATCTCTGTGCTTACATTGCCCATCTGTTATTGCATGCTGTCTGTGTTAACCATAGAGCCCTTAGCATACTAATCAGTTGCTTCCAATTCCCAGTCTGATAATTCCAACATTCCTGCCATAGCTATGTCTGGTTCTGATGCTTGCTCTGTCTCTTCATATTTGTGGGTTTTTACTTTTAGTATGTCTTGCGACTTTTTCTTGACAGCTGGCTATGATGTATTGGGTAAAAGGAACTGCTGTAAGTTAGGTTTTAGTAATGTGCTGGTAAGGGTCTAGGGGAGGAGTCCTATGATTAAGTCTCAGTCTTACCTCCCTCCCACCCCTCAGGTGGGATAGGAAGGCTAGAGTGGGCTGGAGTTGGGTATTTCCTTTCTCTCATATGGAAGGCTAGAGGAGACTGGAGTTGAGTCTTTCCCTTCCCCCAGGTAGGTGAGGCTTTGATAAAACCCCAGCAGGTTAGGCTCCACTTAAGTAGTTTCTTCTGAGGGCAGACCTTGTTAAGAACAGAGTGCCCTGGTGCATTTCAAAATAGTTCTTTCTTTCTTCCCCTTGCCTGAAGCATAAGGGGAATTTACTCCAGTGTTTATTGTGAGAACCAAGTGGAACTCCTGGGAGTAAAACTCACAAAAGTGTGCCCCCTTCCCCCATGACTCGGTTCCCCTGCACTTTTTGACTCTCAGACTTGTTGACACTGAGCCTCCAGCAATTGATCAGTTCCAGTTCCAGTTTTCCTACCCTGATACTGGTTCCTTCAGAGGTTTCTGCCTCCATTTCAGCTCAGGAAAGTTGTGATTCTTTGTATCTGCTTGTCTGTCTCTAACTTGGGGGACAGTGGTTTGCCTGTGACTTCATTTTTCTTACAGATCTAAAGAGTTGATTTTTCAGTTGGTTCTACTTTTTCCTTGTGATGGAGAGGTAACCTCCAACCTTCTTATATGCTAAACTGGAAACCAGAAACTTCCCTGACCTTTTTATGGATGAAAATCTTTATTTTCATGGTTCCTTCTGATCTCTGGATAGGGAAGAGAGATCAGAAAGGAGCAATAAGGGAGGTCATGTGTTGCTGCTGCAGGCCGAGAACAGCCTTGAGGAGCACAGTGTCGGATCCCAGACCCTTAGGTCTTCCGGCTAAAAGTGCCTATCAGCTTGGAGAAGGAGCACCATGGAGATAGGTGGTCCTAAGATCCCTCGGGGCAGATTTTAAGCACAGCTTTTTAAAGAAATCCTGCCTTAATACGTTTATTTGTTATTGTTATCAGAAAGAAGGCACACATTCAGACTTTTAATAAGGTGAATGGCAGGTGAATCAAAACTGGAGTTCTTTGATTTAATTACCTCCTTCTGCCAATATTTAGGCTAAGATTGGTGTTAACTTTCCTCCAGATAGAGGTTTCCAGAATATATAAAATATGCCTTAAAATAATGCTTATTAAAGAATCCATGAGACTGGGTGCAGTGGCTGATGCCTGTAATCCCAGCACTTTGGGAGGCCAAAGCAGGAGGACCCCTTGAGCCCAGGTTCAAGACCAGCCTGGGTAACATAGTGAGACCCCTCTCTACAAAAAATAAAAACAAAAAATTAGCCAGGCATAGTGGTGCACACCTGTAGTCCTAGCTACTTGGGAAGTTGAGGTGGGAGGATCCCTTGAGCCCAGGAGTTTGAGGTTATAGTAAACTATGATTGTGCCATTGCAATCTAGCCTGGATGATAGATTGAGACCCTGTCTCTAAAAAAAAAAAATTTGTTAATTCATACTGACACTAACAAAAATAAACTTTAAAATGGTGGAGGTGAGTGGGGAAAAGTGAAACCTCTGCTTTACAGAATACCAACGAATAAATGTAGGAAGAATTTTTTAATCAACATTTAATAACGACTATAATAATAACTGATTCAGACAGCAATGATCAATAGATTATAAAACCTTTGGATGAAAGATTGTTGGAGAAAAGGATATTCATATATCTCAAAGTGTCATGCCACAGGTTATTTATTAATTACAAAGGGAAAAGGTATAGTGAAGAAATCTAGTGGGTACCCTCTTCAACCAGATAATCAAATTTGGCATCCCCAGTTATGTAAAACTGATATCACGTCCCACCTGATGTGATGCACTGGGAAGGACCCATCACCTACATATACATGGAATATTCCTGGTATCGACGAAAAGAGTCAAACTCTGTAAAATATTTGAAGAGATTTATTCTGAGTCAAATATGAGTGACCATGGCCCGTGACACAGCCCTCAGGAGGTCCTGAGAACATGCGCCCAAGGTGGTCAGGGTACAGTTTGGTTTTATATATTTTAGGGAGGCATGAGACATAAATCAAATACATTTAAGAAATACATTGGTTTGGCCGGGTGCAGTGGCTCACACCTGTAATCCCAGCACTCTGGGAGGCCAAGGTGGGTGGATCACGAGGTCAGGAGATTGTGACCATCCTGGCTAACACGGTGAAACCCCGTCTCTACTAAAAAATAGAAAAAATTAGCCAGGCGTGGTGGCGGGCACCTGTAGTCCCAGCTACTCAGGAGGCTAAGGTAGGAGAATGGCGTAAACCCGGGAGGCGGAGCTTGCAGTGAGCCAAGATCGTGCCACTGGGCAACAGAGTGACACTCCGTCTCAAAAAAAAAAAAAAGAAAAGAAATACATTGGTTTGGTTCAGAAAGGTGGGACAACTCCAAGCAGGGGCTTCCAGGCTACAGGTAAATTTAAACATTTTCTGGTTGACAATTGGTTGAGTTTATGTGAAGACCTGGGATTAATGGAAAGGAATGTTCAGGTTAAGATAAAGGATTGTGGGACCAAGTTTTATTGTGCAGAGGAATCTCTCAGCAGACTTCACAGAGAGAGAAGAGGTTGTAAAATGTTTCTTATCAGACCTAAAAGGGTGCCTGGCTCTTAGTTGATTATCTCGTGGATCTGGAAAGGAAGGAAAACAAAGGGTGAAGGGGATACTCTATAGAATGTGGATTTTTCTCACAAGAGACTTTGCAGGGCAATTTAAGGCGTGGCAAGGAAATATACTCCTTGGGGTTAAATATTTTTTCCTTGTCTCATAATGTTGTGCCGGAGTCATATTGAAAAGCAAGTCACAATATACAGGGTCAAATAAAACCCATCTGATGAGAATCCATGATATGTAGGGCATGACTCCCTGGACCCCTTAGGTAGGAATTTGGGTAAGATAAAAAAATCAGAGTTTAGTCCTCACTGGCAATGATGTTTGGAGGAAATAGCAAAGTCCAAATTGAAAGACATTATGCAAAACAGCATAAGTGCCCCCTCCACCCACACTCTATTCCTGTACGAAAGGATACTTGATACTTCAAAAATGTCCATGTCATAAAAGACAAAAAAGGAAAGAGACAAAAAGAAACATTGTTGGGAGAATTAGGGAGATTTAGGAACTGTATATGTTATATAATAATAATATATTTATTGAGTGTAATAATTGTATTCTAGTTATATAGGAGGATGTTTTGTTCTTAGAAGATAGAATCTTAAATCTTTAGTGATGAAGTGTCATGATGTCTGCAACTAATTCTCAGATGGTTCAGGAAAAAATGTCTGTGTCTGTGGAGGAGGAAGAAGAAGGGAAATATGGTAAAATATTAACAATTGATTATCTAGGTAAACAGTATATAATAATTGGTCGTTGTACTTTTCTTGTGACTTTTAGGAAGATTTAAAATTTTTCAAAAGAAAGTGGAAGACAGATTTTAATTACAATAAAATTTAAAAATGAAATAACATTTATTCTGTCTTATTGCTTTAGGTGAAATCCTTAACCCTGTTTGTCACCCATTATCCGCCAGTTTGTGAACTAGAAAAAAATTACTCACACCAGGTGGGGAATTACCACATGGGATTCTTGGTCAGTGAGGATGAAAGCAAACTGGATCCAGGTATGAAATATTCCTGCAGTTGGTACAAATATTGGTTTTCATGTTTGATAACTCAAAGTTTGTTGGAACATGAACTTACTGCTTATTAATAATGAAAGCTGTGAATGTGAGCTATAAATAACATTTGTCAGGATTCATTTTTGCTAAGCTTTAGGTCAAGTAGAATTTAGATTTATCCTTGCTATCTCTGAGTCCTTCTCTGGTCTTCCTTGTCTCATTTGTCGTGGCAACCCTTTTCTCTTTTTTTACAGGAATAGGGTGTGGGTGGAGGGGGCACTTAGGTTTTCCTCTTAGTGCCTTGTACTCTTACATGATTCATCTCAGTACAGATGACAGTCACCTGCAGAGTATAATTAGTCATCTTTTAAAAACGCCCAATATTTTCCCCAAAATATCATTTAACTTACTAAGGGCCATATACTGTACTGGACATAGGTTTTTATTTTAATATTATAAGGAAACTGAATCTCAGACAGGTAAAGTGGTTTGACCATGTCAACCACTTAGATGGGGGCTAAAATGAGCCTAGAATTCACTTCTTCTGCTTCTGGGTTCTCTTCTGTTCCCCTCTGCTAGAGCTGCTATGGAGGAAATCTACAATATTTTTCCTAGTCTTTCCAGTTACTGGTGTCACAGAAATGAGACATTTTATGAAAAAGAACACCGTTAGCCAATAGCAATACATTTAAGTGCCATAAGTAATACAGTAGACTTTAGCATTTTTTTTTCTGTTCAGTAGTAATTGTTTTAAGCCACCAGCCTGTAGTCCTGTGGTGGTTTGCGCAATTGGTATGCTGCAATGGAAAATCCATCATGCAAGATACCCCAGAGTCCAGATTTTATTTTGGAAAAGTAATAGGGATGGACCTGAAAAAGAAATCAGGCAGCTGGCCCAAATAAAACAAAGCACTGGGCCTAAGATAAATGTAATGTTAGGCAGTTCCTGCTTTTCACCACCATGCAATCTTGAAAAACACATCATAAATTCTCTTATGGAAGTAGTTTTGTATCTATTAATCTGCATCCAGGTTGACAAGAGGAGACTTAAGCTAAAACCCTTGGGACAAAGAGAATAGAGTTCACCAACAGGGAAGAAGAGGAGTCAGTGCCGCTAATACGCATTTGATGTGAACTGAAAACTAACCCAGAGCATTGTACCTTTCCCTTAAATGTTCTGTGCATTTTATTTTATTGATTTTAATTTTTGTGTTTTGTTGAGATGGGGTGTCACTGTCATCCAGGCTGGAGTGCAGTGGCACGATCATAGCTCACTGCAGACACAACCTCCCAGGCCCAGGTGATCCTCCCATGTCAGCCTCCCCGGTAGCTGGGACTACAGGTGCACACCACCATGCCTGGCTGATTTTTGTATGTTCTGTAGAGACAGGCTCTCACTATGTTGCCCAGGCTGGTCTCAAACTGTTGAATTCAAGTGATCCTCCTGCCTTGGCCTCCCAAAGTGCTGGGATTACAGGGATGAGCTACCTTGCCTAGCTGATTTTAATTTTTATCAATGAACATAATTTTTAAAATTCAATGGTGCTAAAAGGCTCCTGCTGACAAGCTTCCATCCCTTCAGTTCACGTCCTTCCCCATCCTAGTCCCAAGGCAACTACTTTCAACACTTCCCCTTTCTGTTGTATTTCTAAGTAATATCCGTATTTTCATGTCTCTTGCTTCATCAAGTTGACACATTATTGATGGACCTCTCATTGTGTTAATTGAGAATCTTCAATTTTCCCTTCCTCTGTCCTTCCAGTATAGTCATTTCACATGTATTGTATGTCATTCATACTTGTTGTTTTCATTATTATTGCCATGCTAAATATTGCTTACTGATGAGCCAAGTTTGGAGACAAGTACATTTCTTTCTTTTACAACGTTTTCTATTTTCTCAAAAATAAGAATTGACTGTCCTCATTTTTTCCATTTTGTTTTGTTTTGTTTTTGAGTCTATAGCTGAATCTTCCTGTACCCTCAGATAGCTTCGTAAAATGCCTCTCTAGATGTTTTTCCACACAACTGAACCTACTGGTTCCCATTTGTCCACTGGGGCCCTTCCTCCTGGAGCCCTTTGTCCTCCTGCTCATCTGAACTGGCTGCTGTCTGGGCCTGCGGCACAGCTGTCATCCTAAGCCTGCCTTGCTGGCATCCTAGGAGTTCCCTTACCCCTCTTCTAAGCATGTGATTGCAAGGAACAAAACACTCGGTCTCACACTGGCTCAGACAAAAGGATGCAGTATATATAATCCCATGTTCCATGACTTCCAGAGGAAGAGTGGGCTTCAGCTCCTCCTTTTTGTAATTCCCAGGCTCTGTCTTCCTGCCTGGCCAGCTTTATTATCAGGCTAGTGACAATGACTGCAGCTCTTCCTGGCATCATGTCCAGAATGTCCAAAGGAAGAAGAGACAAGCATTTCCTGTTCACTCTTTCTTAGAACAAGGGAACTTTTTCTCAGATGCCTTCCAGTATCTCATGATTGCCTCATTGCATTTTCAGAATTGAGTAACAGGCTCCTTCTTAAACCACTCCTTAGCAGAGGATGGCAGGGGTGACTTTGATGGGCCTAGATGAATCAGGATCAACTTCTGGAGCTGGCTTTGAAGACCCAGTCCCCTGAGTTAAATGATTAGGGAGTTAATTCCTTATAAAATCAAGGTTTTCTTAGGGGTGGAATAAATGTTGAATTAGGCTACTACTAATATCAACTAAAGGAGGTAAAAGTTTTGAGATTTTTCATGAATGAAAATGTTTCACATGCTTGTTGGCCATGTATATGTTGTCTTTTGAAAAGTATCTGTTCATGTCCTTTGCCTATTTTTTAATGGGTTTGGTTTTTTCTTATAAATGTAAGTTCCTTATAGATGGTGGATATTAGACCTTTGTCAGATGCATAGTTTGCAAACATTTTCTCCCATTCTGTACGTTGCCTGTTTACCCTGTTCATAGTTTCTTTTGCTGTGCAAAAGCTTTATAGTTTAATTAGGTCCCCTGTGTCAGTTTTTGCTTCTGTTGCAATTGCTTTTGGCCTCTTAGTCATGAAATCTTTGCCCGTTCCTATGTACAGAATGATAAAAGCAAAACATCACTGACCATTAGAGAAATGCAAATCAAAACCACAGTGAGATACCTTCTCACACCAGTCAGAATAGGTATTATTAAAAAGTCAAAAAATAACAGGTGCTGGTGAGGTTGTGGAGAAAAAGGAATGCTTATATGCTGGGTGAGAGTGTAAATTAGTTCAACTGTTGTGTAAGGCAGTGTGGTGATTCCTCAAAGACCTGAAGACAGAATTACCATTCAACCCAGCAATCCTGTTACTGGGTATATACCCAGAGAAATATAAATTGTTGTGTCATAAAGACGCATGCACACGTATGTTCATTGCAGCACTATTCACAGTAGCAAGACATGGAATCTACCTAAATGCTTATCAACGGTAGACTGGTTAAAGAAAATGTGGTACAAATACACTGTGGAATACTATCCAGCCATAAAAAACAATAAGATCATGTCCTTTGCCGGAATATGGATGAAGCTGGAGGCCATTTTCCTTAGCAAACTAATGCAGGAACAGAAAACCAAGTGTTGCATGTTTCACTTATAAGTGGGAGTTAAATGATGAGAACACATGGAGACATAGCGGGGAACAACATACACTGGGGCCTACTAGATGGGGGAGGGTGGGAGGAGGGAGAGGATCAGGAAGAATAACTAATGGATACAAGGCTTAATACCTGGGCGATTAAATAATCAGTACAGCAAACCTCCGTGACACAAGTTTACCTCTATAGCAAACCTGCACATGTACCCCTGAACTTAAAAGTTTAAAAAAAAAAACAACAACTCTATAGCTTCCATGTTCGAATTTATAGTTCAGCCAGGATTAGAATTTTAGATTGAAAACCATTTCACTCAGAATTTTGAAGCAGTGCTCCACTGCCTGCTGCCTTCCAATATTGTTCCTGGCTATATCTGTGCTTCATCCATTACCTCTTCCCCAACTTCTCCTCTTCTGTATGAGGTAGAGGCCATTGCGTAGGTCATCAGTAAAATGCCCCACAGGTCTTTTGGATGGCTTCTATAATACTCTATTTCCTATGATGTGATAGGTAAAACAATGGACAAACAGTTAAGAAACCTGTGTTTTAGTCTATTCCAATCTGTATGATCTTGAACAAGTCACCTAACTTCACTCACCCCTAAATTTTTATGAATCTGTTCTAAAAGCAACTTCAGAAATTATTTGTCAGTACACATCTCTTTAATAACTGCTTAGAGAAGTTTGGCTTAAATATAAATCTTGCTATGTTTCCCCATAATAAGCAGAAACATGAATTATTACTTCCACTGACTCAAAGCAGTGCCAGGTAAACATTTTAATAATGTCCATTTAAGAAATGGCCATAGCTTGTAAGTAGTTACATCCTCATCAAGAACTTTTGCTGTGAGCCTGTAAAGAAATAGAGTTTTTCTCATAAAACAAGTTTTATTCTCTCCCATGTGGCTTTTTCTGACTCCATATTTCCATCCTACCAGCACCCCCAACCCCTCTCGCACACAGAGGTTAAAGGAGTACATAATTACAGAAAGAGATCCCCCAGGCGATTATAGAAGAGTGGTTGCGTTCTTTACCTTGAAGATATGAGAACTACCATAATTTAAAGTGGAGACCAGCATATAATGATACACTCAGCAACTGTTTGTATGTTAACAAGGTATTCAGAGCAGTGAAATATTTTATGTAAGTTAGCTATATTTTGTAGCTATATTATACATTATATATATAATTATATAAGAACATTGTTACAACTATCTCTTGTGCACTCTTTATATATGTATACATATATACATATATATACATATATACATATATATATACATATATACATATATATACACACACACACACACACACACTATATAAAAAAATTAAAAGTCATTAATAGGCTGGGCATGGTGGCTCACGCCTGTAATCTCAGCACTTTGGGAGGCCAAAGTGGGCAGATCACCTGAGGTCGGGAGTTCAAGACCAGCCTGACCAACATGGAGAAACCCTGTCTCTACTAAAAATACAAAAAGTAGCCGGGCATGGTGGTGCATACCTGTAATCCCAGCTACTCAGGAGGCTGAGGCAGGAGAATCACTTAAACCCGGGAGGTGGAGGTTGTGGTAAGTCGAGATCATGCCATTGTACTCCAGCTTGGGCAACAAGAGCGAAACTCCGTCTCAAAAAAAAAAAAAAAAAAAATTCATTAACAAATTTTTGGATAGGGGGATTTTGTGGCATTTATCAGGCTCCCAGAAAATACTGATGGCTGGATGGATGGATAGATGGACAGACAGACAGATGAATGAATCTTGTTTAGAAAGGTCAGCATGGGATCTAGATTATATTGGAGAGCTGGAGACAGGGAGATCAGTTAGGACTAACACAGTTGAAGTGATAAACTATTTTTCTGTCTTAAAGTTAAGAAATGGCTTTTTTTGATTGCCTATTGCCTTTCACTTCACTCTTAGTCTTGTGAACTTTGAAGAGTTACAAAAAATTATCCAGGTTTGCAGGCACTGGCTTCTAGCTGCATCTTCCCTAATCTGTTCCCACCTACTTCCGCACCTGTGTTTCTCAACTTTCATTTGGGGGCAAAAGGTACTGTCAGTGCCTTGCAACGGAAGTTTAGGTCTGTGTTTCTGAGTGAGTTGGCATTCTTTCCACCTCCCACTTCAGCACCCACCCTTGGAAAGCTCTTATCTGTCTGCTGCCGAATTCTTAGAGGAGGGCCAGGAAAAATCCATTGTCCTTTTTCTCTGTCATGTTCAGTCTTTGGCTTTTTAAATTTTCACTGATAAAAGAAGAAAAGCATACACATCTATCAAATGAAATAATGATTGAGAAAAAGCTTTTAATAAACTCATAAGTATACTGGGATTGTAGAAATCTTTGTAACTCTTGTCCACCTTGGACATTTCTGCAGCACAGTGCACATTTTGCAGCACAATTATATTGAATTTCATAATAAAAGTTACATAATATCCTGAGCTGCTTTAGCTTAAACTACATGCAGTGGTTTATGATAATTATTGTACTTCATTATATCCCAGTTCTTTTAAAGTTTTAAGTTCATGTGTATGTATATATATGACAGGCTGGGTCCTCTAGGAGGCAGATTCTGAGATTTGCATTCAGGAGGTTCATTCGGAGTGCTGGGCTGTGTTATGGTCAAAAGGCTTCAGCCAGCCCTGCAGAGAACTCTGAGGCTAGAGTGGTCCTTCAGAGTTACCTCAACTTGGGGTGAGGGGGATAGACCTCTATACCTTTATTAGTTATCTCTATTAGTTTGGGGTAATTTGCAAACAGTGTGCAACAGATTACCCCCCAAAACATAGCGGCTTAGAACAACAAACATTTATTACCTCATAATTTCTGTGAGTCAGGAGTCCAGGTGCAACTTAGCTGAACACCTCTAAGGCTGAAAACTGTAGCCCTGTAAGAGACCCTCTAGTTCGGTTCCTCACAGGGCTACAGTCAGTCACTAATCAGGGCAGCAGCCATGTCAAGGCTTCCCAGCCCACACATGGCTCTTGCCAAGCCTCCCAATATCTGCTTCCAAGCCCACTCATGTGGCTGTTGGCATGCCTTAGGCTCTCACCAACTGTTGGTGGGAGACATCAGTTTCTTTCCATGTGAGCATCTCCACAGACAGCCCACAACATGGCGGCTGGCTTCCCTCAGAGCAGGCAGGCAACAAAATGAGAGTACCCAAGTCAGAAGCCACAACCTTTCTGTAACCTAATCTCTGAAGTGACATCTCATCACTTTTGCCGTATTCTGTTTGTTAGAAGTGAGTCACTGGTTAGGAATGATACAGAGAGGGAATGACACAAGCACGTGAACACCAGCAGGCAGAGGTCTTTGGTGGCCATCTTAGAGGCTGCCTACAACAACCAGTCACTGGCTGTAGGCTGCCCCAAAGCGGGATGTGGTCTTGGGTGAAGCCCCTCCCTTCAGCTGCAACAATTTCCAAAGAAGGCAAACAGTCGAGGGTTGCAGGCCAGCAATCTTTCTGACAGCTGAGGGAATAAACTCTTTAGTCCTAAGTGGGATCTGGGTGGTACTGAACAGAATCCGGTATGTATAGCTCTTAGTTAACCTGAATATTTAATAAACCAGACCATCTTAATCCTGTTATTTAAACTGGCCAACATGTAATATTTTCTTTTCTGTTTTTAAGGGAGAAATTATAGGCCTGGTATGGTGGTTCATGCCTGTAATCCCAGCACTTTGGGAGGCCAAGGTGGGTGGACCACTTGTGCCCAGAAGTTCGAGAGCAGCCTGGGCAACATGGCCAAAACCCCATCTCTACAAAAAAAAAATTAGCTAGGTGTGGTAGTATGCACCTGTAGTTTCAGCTACTCGGGAGGCTGAGATGGGATAATCACCTTGAACCTGGAAGATTGAGACTGCCAGTGAGCTGAGATTGCGCCACTGCACTCCAGCATGGATGACAGAGTCAGACCCTGTCTCAGAAACATAAAAAGGAGAAATTATATTGTATCAACCACGTACTAAGATCATTCTCATCCTGGCGCAGTGGCTCACGCCTGTAATCCCAACACTTTGAGAGGCCAAGGAGGGAGGATTGTTTAAAGCCAGGAGTTCGAGACCAGCCTGAGCAACATAGCAAGACCTGATCTCTACAAAAAATATTAAAAAATTAGCTGAGTGTGGTGGCATGAACCTGTAGTCCTAGCTACTTAGGAGGCTAGGCAGGAGGATTGCTTGAGCCCAGGAGTTTGATGTTACAGTAAGGTATGATTGTGCCACTGCACTCCAGCCTAGGTAATAGAACAAGACCCTATCTCTAAAAAAGTAAATAAATAAAAACATTCTCTTTTTAATATAGACGTTCAGTTCAAATTTGCAATGAATCATTGTTAAAAACTATTTTAAGTGAACTAAAAGATAGATCCTATATGCACACAGCAGTTTCAAAACAGTATTTACCCTTTTCTAGACATATCAAATTGATAAATGGATCTAACAGGCAAGTAGGAACAGTGATTTCAGATTGTACGATTTAATAAAGTTATGAGAACTTACATGTCCTTTTTAATCCTCTAATTTATTTCAGCTTTCAGGCACAGTTTTGATCTCCTTTCTTTATTTCACAGGCGCAGCAGAACAAGTCCCTGATTTTGTCACCTTCCTTTACCAAATAACTAGAGGAATTGCAGCAAGGAGTTATGGATTAAATGTGGCTAAACTAGCAGATGTTCCTGGAGAAATTTTGAAGAAAGCAGCTCACAAGTCAAAAGAGCTGGAAGGATTAATAAATACGAAAAGGTCAGAGTGATTATGCTGCATTTTTTCATTTGTAATGAAACCTTCTAAGTTGTCCAAGAAAGAGAGGAGCGTCCTAAAAATGAACATCAGGTCTACTTTTAAGCACCTCTTCAAATATTCTGAACCATTTAATTATGATGAAGTGAAAACAGCTCTTGCAAAGCTCAGGTGAATTCAGTCCATCTTCATTAGATCATTATTAAGTTGCTAAATTGGTTTTTCGGTCATTTTTATAAAGAATTAAGTTAACTCCTTAATATGTGCCACATTCATTACTTTAAAGATTCAGTATGCCAAAGGTTACTGAAGATATTGAGAACCTACAGAAGATTTCTTTTATTCATAGATTTTATTCAGATATGCAACGATTACATCCAGAAATTCTATCAGAGCATTAATGAAAATAATAGTATTACATAACAGGCAATCACAGTCAGTATCCACATGTCACTTATTTTGTAGATTGTGACAAATTTTTCATTCTAAACAGGCTGCTGTCACTTTAAATGCTTATGGGAATACTTTCCACCTTTACGCTTGCTATCCAGCTAGTATGTAGTCAGTACATAAATTAATCTTAATGTAAACCTGAGATACACTTTGAAAGAAAGATATTCCTAGAAAAATATCATATTAGTAAATTATACCCTTTTGTTTCCCAAATATAAAATTCTAAAACAACATAAGCTCCCCATCCACCTACTGCCCCACCCCTGCCGTACTTGGGGAGCCTGGTGTGCTGGGTACATTAGTACCCTGGTTGATAATCATATGACCATGATGAACAGATTGTTGATCGAATAGAAAATCTTGGCTGGCTACTGGTGGTCCCTGTGTTATACTCCAATAATATTCTTTAATATTTGGTTATAATTCTGGGAATTATTACCAAATTTCAATATTGAAATAGTAATGCCTATCATACTAGCTAAAGAAACAGTTGCTAACTTGTTTACCAAAGTACAGTAGTGCAGTTAACTTCTCTTTCTCTACCTCCTTCTCCTGTGCTTCCGCCTTGCACTCCTCCACTTCGGTATACTGTAGTTCACCAAGTCCAGAGTGCTGGACTCTACAAATGGCACACAGCCTCCTCTAGTGACACTCTTTTCTGGCTCATTTCCAAATTGCAATGCCAAAACAGAAGCAAAGTGGCATAATCAGTTTCAGCCTATTTCTGTTACAAGCCAGATTAATATAAAATTTTTCCTGAGGGAAAAGTATCTATGAGAATTTAAAAATAAACTTAGCCCTCTTCCTCTGCAAAGTCCAGAGACAAATTAAACTCTTTAGTTGCCATATTATTATTGTTCTTTTTCTCTGAAAAAAACCTAGAATAAAACTTTACTACAAAGGATATATATACAAGATAGTAATAAAATATGTCAATTTCTAAATTTGCTGTAGAAATATATGCAAGATAGCAATAAAATATGGCAATTTCTATATTTTCATATATTCTTGTTTCTGCTATATAGCCTATAAAGCAAGAGCAAAAAAACTCTCAGATTACTCATAAATATTTTAACTCTTCCAACTAGTAAGTGACATTTTGAACTCTATGAAGTTATCTTGACAAGATGAGAGAATTATTAGAAGACATTGCATTGGGATGGAATCTGATCATTTATCAAGATACTGTATTTGTTATTTTACCTTTTTTCTAAAAGTGCTTATCACATCAATTCCTTTGGCCAGATCAAAGAAATCAAACTGCATCTTGGGCCTTACTGTGGATTTGTTATAATAGTTGCTATTTGTTGGATGGTTACTGTGTGTAGAAACCATTCTGAGCAGTCATTTGCAGCAGCCTACACACTGTGCCAGCTACTCTTCTCATCACTTTACATACATTATCTCATTTCATCCTTATGGCAGCCTTATCCTCATGGTATAGTTGGGGAAAGTGAGACCAGCAAGGACAGGACACTGACCCAGAGTCACACAGCTACTTGATGGTGGAGCAGTAATTGGAACTCAGGTACTCTAGCTCCATACCCTAAATAGTCAATTGGGTTGCTATTCTGCAGAAAAAAAAAAAAAGTAAGTCTGTGTTATGCTGGCGTTTTACTCTTTAATTAGCTTCATTGTTTTCGGTTGGTGTTACTTTTCATCCTGGGAACACTTCATAGGAGTTTCTTTTCTCCAGGTACAAATAAGCACACACCACCAGCCTCTAGCAGAGTTTGAAGGAGGAGGAGGTCAGGTTCTCCCCTCTGGGGCTGGCAGGGGTAAGGATTTTAGGAGAAGGCACAAAGGTAATAGTGGCAATTGGTAACCTGGGTCCCTTGATTATAGTAGCAGCTCTGAAAGCTCCTTTCACTGGAAGGGTGACACTGACACAGCTTCCTAACTATAGAGCCTGCCCGGTATTCAAGTGTTATAGACTTTTCATAGCTTCTGATGAGACGTATTGTCTCCCAGCAATTTCATTTATTAAATAAGTAGTATTTGATTTTTCCCCAGAAAGAGACTCAAGTATTTTGCAAAGTTATGGACGATGCATAATGCACAAGACCTGCAGAAGTGGACAGAGGAGTTCAACATGGAAGAAACACAGACTTCTCTTCTTCATTAAAATGAAGACTACATTTGTGAACAAAAAATGGAGAATTAAAAATACCAACTGTACAAAATAACTCTCCAGTAACAGCCTATCTTTGTGTGACATGTGAGCATAAAATTATGACCATGGTATATTCCTATTGGAAACAGAGAGGTTTTTCTGAAGACAGTCTTTTTCAAGTTTCTGTCTTCCTAACTTTTCTACGTATAAACACTCTTGAATAGACTTCCACTTTGTAATTAGAAAATTTTATGGACAGTAAGTCCAGTAAAGCCTTAAGTGGCAGAATATAATTCCCAAGCTTTTGGAGGGTGATATAAAAATTTACTTGATATTTTTATTTGTTTCAGTTCAGATAATTGGCAACTGGGTGAATCTGGCAGGAATCTATCCATTGAACTAAAATAATTTTATTATGCAACCAGTTTATCCACCAAGAACATAAGAATTTTTTATAAGTAGAAAGAATTGGCCAGGCATGGTGGCTCATGCCTGTAATCCCAGCACTTTGGGAGGCCAAGGTAGGCAGATCACCTGAGGTCAGGAGTTCAAGACCAGCCTGGCCAACATGGCAAAACCCCATCTTTACTAAAAATATAAAGTACATCTCTACTAAAAATACGAAAAAATTAGCTGGGCATGGTGGCGCACACCTGTAGTCCCAGCTACTCCGGAGGCTGAGGCAGGAGAATCTCTTGAACCTGGGAGGCGGAGGTTGCAATGAGCCGAGATCACGTCACTGCACTCCAGCTTGGGCAACAGAGCAAGACTCCATCTCAAAAAAAAAAAAAGAAAAAAGAAAAGAAATAGAATTATCAAGCTTTTAAAAACTAGAGCACAGAAGGAATAAGGTCATGAAATTTAAAAGGTTAAATATTGTCATAGGATTAAGCAGTTTAAAGATTGTTGGATGAAATTATTTGTCATTCATTCAAGTAATAAATATTTAATGAATACTTGCTATAGATGATGGTATGTCCCATTGAATTTTGGTGTTTCCAAGTGTTTGGAAATTGTCATTTTTTAAGGTGTAATTATGAAATTAAGGTTACTGCTTTGACCAGCGCAATACACAGAAGTGAACTTGTTCATTTGGGACCTTTCTGTTCATTAACATATCAGGTGTATCATCTTCCCAGTAATGAGCCTTATAGCTTAGTTGATTCATAACAGTGCTCCCTTCCTGCAAATTTAGGGTAACACGTGCTCAACTGTGTCCCTGGGTTTTTTACAGCACTTACAATCTGGCTTCCCAGATCCATGTGTTCTTTTTGTTTCTAAATATATGATCTTGCACAAAAGCTCTCCATCCTATTTTCCTCTCTTTTATTATTTCTGCTCAGTTAAATGTCTTCCCCACATTTGATGGACATATTTTTAATTCCTTCTTCTGGATTATTATCTTCAGTGATCCCAGCAATGACCCCAGCCAGACACAGGAGTCAATACAGTGTCCCCAAGTTGTGGCTTCACTTTTGAGTCAGTCACTCTTTAGCTATCTGACTCTCAACCTTATTGGAGTTAGAGTGTGATGTAATTTGATTGATTCTACCACCCCTCCAGAAATATGAACGTATAGTCAGATTCTCAAAACTGTCAAAATAGTTAGTTGGAATGTACGCTTTAAATTTTAAAAAGAACAAAATTGTTCCAATACTCTATATAACTGTAAATGTCTTATATTTTTTCTAACAAGATTTCAAAGATAGTGCTGTAACCTCACCTCACAGGGAGAAAAGGAGATAACTCCAGGAATTTCATGCCCATGCCAGAGGGAGCTGCAGGGACCAGCAATCACTGGTAATGTCCAGGTGGACATCTGGAGCCACCTCTCCCTCTTGCTTGGTCCAGGCCAGCATCAACACTGAAGCAGGTAGGGGTTCCAGGAGCATTGTGTCCTGGCAGTGGCAGCACACAGTGTCTGGCAGCTGACAACGTGGAACTTTACAGGGTAGATTGTCCAGCATGATCAGGAAGCCAGCCAGGCGGCCAGCTTGAGGGAAGGCAGGCCTCCTCCAAGCTGGGGAAGAGATCAGCACAGCTGAACTGCATTTCCAAGTGAGACTCATCCCCAGCTGGGTTACTGAGATATTGGAGGAAACGTTGAGGCCAAATCCCAGTCATAAAGACTGCACAAATGCCATGGGGAGGTAGGCAGAAAGTTGCAAACAAGTGGGTTTGTATTTCAGATAACCATCTTGGGGCTGCAATTCTAAAGTTAGATATAATCACACAGGTGAGAATAGGGCTGCTGGTGCATGGCAAGCGCCCTCCACATTCCCTCTGGTACTGCATAGGCATGAGCCTGCAGGCTAAATGTCTTCCATACTTCAGACAGAGGCTAGGGGAGACAGGGCTGACTGGTGGCCAAATGTCAAGGAAAGTAACTTTTTAATACGATATATTCCTTTAAGTGACTTGTCCGTTTTTAGCCATCAAATTACAAATTAAGAGCTAGTGATTCTGCAGTAACACACACCAATTCCTCGAAAACCTTCTAAAGTCACACCAGTTTAATAATTCCAACCTTAGGGAAACAAAGCCAAACATATTTTAACAAGTTTGAACTTTGACCTTTCTATTGCTTCATCTCTCCTCAGTGCTGTTTATTCTATATAGTTTTTAAAATAGTGTTATTATATAACTAGTATAAAATATTTGAAAATCCATGGGACTATATAATTTAAAAAGAGAAAAAAGGAAAAATGAATTTTTAAAATTAAATTTTGTAAGGTAAAAATAAATTTAAAGGCTGGGCGTGGTTGCTCACACCTGTAATCCTAGCACTTTGGGAGGCCGAGGTGGGCAGATTGCCTGAGCTCAGGAGTTCAAGACCAGCCTGGGCAACTCGGTGAAACCCCGTCTCTACTAAAATACAAAAAATTAGCCAGGTGTGGTGGCATGCGCCTGTAGTCCCAGCTACTCGGGAGGCTGAGACAGAAGAATTGCTTGAACCCAGGAGGTGGAGGTTGCAGTGAGCCAAGATCACACCACTGCACTCCACCCTGGGCAAGAGAGCAAGACTCTGTCTCAAAAAAACATTTAAAGGAAAAAAAATATAAAAACCTCAGCATTTGAGTTACTTAATTTATCTCAATGTTTCTCAGTGCTGAATATGAAAATCAAATGATTCCCATTTGAATCATAGACTTTTGGACTGAGATCCAAGCTTAGTATTCTTTTATCAGCTTTATTGACATAGTTTACATACTGCACAATTTATTTAGAGTGAATAATTCAGTGGGTTTTTGTGTATTCACAAGCTTGTACAACTGTCACTACAATCAATTTTGGAACATTCTTAATCACCCTAAAAAGAAATGCTGTACCTATTAACTGCCAGTCTGCATTCCTCCCCAAGATCGTCAGCCCTAGACAACCCCTAATCTTCATTCTGTCTCTATAGATTTGCCTATTTTGGACATTTCATATGAATGGAACCATAGAATATGTGGTCTTTTGTGTCTGGTTTCTTTCACTTAGATGCAAGATTCATCTGTGTGTCAGAACTTCATTCTCTTTAACTGGTAAAAAGTATTCCATTTTATGTATACCTTACATTTTAATTTATCCATTCATTAGTTGATGCACATTTGGATTGTTTCTATTTCTAGCTATTATGAGTAATTCTACCATGAATATTTGTGTATAGGTTTTTATGTGACGAGGCATAATATTTTTTAAAAAGCTCCCCTAGTAATTCTGATGTGCAGTCAGGTTTGTGAACCATTAGTCTCAAAGATGACAGATGACTAAACAGTATTTTTAATTGAGTTGACAATCATTTGGTCTGTTTGTCCACTGCTTTATCTGTCACTTAGGGCAGAGTGTAGCATACTGTAGACCCTAATTAATATTTGTTAAAGTGGAAAAGAAAAACCAAACTCCTTCAGCTTAGAAACCCAATGAAAAGATGTTTCTTTTCATAATGAAGGCACCATTTCACTAGGGATTCAAGATCCATACAGAAGTGTGCTATATCTTTAGAAAAAAAAACTTTTTCAGACAATTTTTCCAAGTTTGTGCCTGTCGTCATCATGGTGATGGTGTTGGGGCTGGTGAAACACTGCCCACTGCATCAATTCCAGAGTAAAAACTAGATTGAATCCAAAATTTTCTATAAATTAGTGTTGACCTTTACTGAGTTCTGAGATCAATATTAATTACTGCTGTGCTTTGTAATTATAAAAGGGCTATTTGATGTTTCACACCAAGGATATGGGTGGAGAGAGAAAAGAACTTGTATTAACACCATCTGTGGTTTCTAACTTTGTAATTAAGGCCAATTCCTCTGTGGAACATTTTAGTTATTATATATCATGATTATTCGGTCTATTAATATCCAGGGAAGTACCACAGTTTGAGAGCCATTCATTCTGGTTTACTTGGGGAGTCCTATTCTATACCTGTTTTGCTGGCATAATTATTAAAAGCCTCTTTAACTCAAAAGTGTCCTGTTTTGGATAATAACTCATACAGTTACCCCAATTATAGGTGCTATTCCATGAGCACAGTTACTGACTTGCTACATTTTAAATGTCATCTAAAAAATTTTTCATTTTTTTCTTACCCATTGGATGAACCAGTTTTTCCCCTAAAGACCTGCCAGTTGTTTTTGCCTGTTCTTGATAAGTGCTTTGTATTGTGGCATTTAGAAGCTACAGCTCTGCTAATTGGTGTGTTAGAGCTTTACTACTTAATCTGTTGTTGAGGCTAAATCCCCAAAGATAACATGTCATCTGCCTCTTCTCCACGAAATCATGGTGAGGAATGTGCACCTACATGACTTTGTGAGACACGCAGCAAGACTGTCTTCTTGCAGAAATAATTATTCCTCAGGAGGAGGAATTGCCTCTGGTTCTTTTGTCCTTTGCTCAGATCCTCTCTTCATTGCCTTTGGCTATCTTTTTTTTATTTTTTTGACAAAACAGTATTTTATTTTCACATCAGAAAAGAAATATTGTCTGCCATTTTCACCTCTTTTTCAACCTCAAGCCCCTTTTTCTTAATCCTACTTCCAGAAAGCTCCCATTTGGAGGTAGGAATGTCTTGCCCTCTTATCAGAAGCACCAAAGGAGTTTCTTAAATGTGGATTTCTAGGCCCCGCCTTAAAGCTACTGAACCTGAATCTCTGAAGTTGGGACACAGAAATACCAGTGTTAGTTTCTGTCATCCCTTCATCACGTTCTCTCACCTTTTCCTTCCTCATATGGCCAATGATCTGGCCTCCAAAGAAATTTGTTAAAAATCATATTCCTTGGTTCATGACTGCTCTTTACGATTCTGTCTGATTTACTGCATCTGGTGTGGGGTCTAGGGAACTTCATTATTATTTTTAAAATAGACTATTTCTTAGAGCACTTTTAGATTCATCACAAAATTGAATGGAAAGCTCAGAGAGGTCCCACATACCCTCTGCTCAAACACACCACCTCCCTCACTATTGACATCCTGCACCGTGGTGGCATGTTTGTTACGGTTGATGAACCTACATTGTCACAACACTATCACCCAGAGTTCGTAATTTACATTGGGGCTCACTCTTGATGTTGTACCTTCTATGGGTTTGGACAGATTTCTAATGACATGTAATCACCATTATAGTATCACACAGAATAGTTTTACTGCCCTAAAAGTCCTCTGTGCTCTGCCTATGCATCCCACTCACCCCAAACCACTGGCAACCACTGATCCTTTCACTGTCTCCATAGTTTTGCCTTTTCCAGAATCATACAGTAGGTAGTCTTTTCAGACTAGCTTATTATTCACTTAATAACATGTACTCAAGCTTACTCCACGTCTGTTCATAGCTTGACAGCTCATTTCTTCTTAGCACTGAATAATATTCCATCATCTGGATGTACCACAGTTTATCCATTCACCTACTGAAGGACATCTTGGTTGCCTCCAAGTTTGACAATTATGAATAAAGCTCTGTAAACATCTGTGTGTAGCTTTTTACGTGGACATACGTTTTCATCTCATTTGGATAAGTACCAAGGAGTGTGATTGCTGGTAAATGTTGTTTTGTAAGAAACCACCATACTGTCTTCCATAGTGACACTACCATTTCACATTCCCATCAGCAATGAATCAGAGTTCCTGTGGCTCCACATCCTTGCTAGCATTTGGTGGTATCAGTGTTATGGATTTTGCCATTCTAATAGTATGTTGTGGTATTCCATTATTTTATCTTGCATTTCTTGGATGACACGTGATGTGGAACATCTTTTTATATGCTTATTGGTCATCTATATCTTATTCGGTGAGGTGTCAAGATCTTTGGCTCATTTTTTGATCTGGTTATTCATTTTCTTATTGTTGAACTTCAAGTATTCTTTGCATATTTTGGATAACAGTCCTTTATCAGCTATGTTTTTTGTCATCTGTGGCTTGTCTTCTCATTCTCTTGACAGCGCCTTTCATGGAGCAGAAGTTTTTTATTTTAATGAGGTCCAGCTTATCAGTTCTTTCTTTATGGATCATGCCTTTGGAGTTGTATCTAAAAAGTCATTGCTATGGCCAGGATCATCTAGATTTTCTCCTCTTCTATCTGCTAGGAATTTTGTAGTTTGCATTTTACAATGGTCTATTTGATTTTTTTGTGAAGGGTGTAAGGTCTATATCTAGTTCTTTTTTAATAGACTTTATTTTTTACAGCAATTTTAGGCTCACAGCAAAATTGAATGGAAATATAAAGAGGACACTTGATTTTTAAACTGAGTATCCTAAGTGATTCCTTTGCAAATAAAGACTCAAGTTTTAAAAAGCACAGCCATATTGCCTTCAAAATGTTATTCATCAGAAGAGGTCACTTCTGCAAATAACAGTGGGCCTTTAATTTCTCCAAGCTTTTTAGATTACTTTTTAATGGAATATCAGGCAAAAGCAAACATTTAAATTGCATTTTTGTGTTATGAGATTTAAAGGAGTGTCTATGAAGAGGAGGCATAATACTTCAATCTTTTGATAAACTCTACAAGAATAGTATTTTGTATTTTCAATGATATTTCAATCATTTTACAGCATTATCAGGAAAGGAGGTAACGAAAATATTCCCAAGCACTAACTCTGCTTCATGACCTTGAGCATTAAGTTTTCCAGCAATCAGTAGCTTTGGTATTAGCACACAAGCTAGGTTTCTAAACTATTATTTCACTGTGGGTACAAAAGCATGATAGAAAAGAGTGGTTGGCCAGGTGTAGTGGCTCACAGCTCTAAACTGCTGGGAGGCTCAGACAGGAGAATTGCTTTAAGCCAGGAGTTTGAAACCAGCCTGGGCAACATAACAAGACACGCTGTTTTAAACACAGGAAAAAGAGTTGTTAATGAATCCAGGAATTAACTCATACTTTGTAAGCAATAGGCATATAAGTCCCTGTGTAAATGGATGCTGATCAGCAGTGGTTTAACTTATACTGCAATATTAAATGCTCCTAAAACAATCACTCCTATATTAGAAGACTTGGAGTAAGGTTTGAATTTTAAAAAAAAAAAAGAAGAAAGAAAAAGTCCTTCAGTTCTCTTGCAGTGGGAAAATGCAGTTTCTTTTTTGTGGGAAGGAATAAATTGAATAAGTTGAAATAGTAACTTTCTTTTTTCTTTTTTAAGGTTTTTCCTTTTTTAGGTTCAGGGGTACATGTGCCGGTTGTTATATAAGTAAACTCTTGTCATAGGGGTTTGTTTACAGATTATTTCGTCACCCAGGTACTAAGCCTAGTACCTTACTAGTACCTAGTAAGCTCTCCCTCCTCCCACCCTCCACCCTCAAGGAGGCCCCAGTGTCAGTTGTTCCCCTCTGGGTCCATGAGTTCTTATCATTTAGCTCCCACTTATAAGCAAGAACATGCAGTATTTGGTTTTCTGTTCCTGCCTTAGTTTGCTAAGGATAACGGCCTCCAGCTCCATCCATGTTCCTGCAAAGGACATGATCCTGTTCTTTCTATGGCTGTATAGTATTCCATGGTGTATATTTACCACATTGTCTTTATCCAGTCTGTCATTGATGGGCTTTTGGGTTGATTAGTAGCTTTTTGAATGGTAACTTTTCTACAGAAGTACCAGAGACTTCAAACTATCTGATTTAAATGTAAAAAAGACATTTGTTAGTGGCAGGTGAGTGTAGGTCATTAATTGCAAGACACCTAATTATATTCAGGCAGTTTGTGACTGGCCCTAAACCAGAAGAGAAAAATGTTATATAAATGCTCAACCATAGCTAAGACATTGTTAAACTAAAATGACTCCTTCACAGTGGCAATTTATCATAAATCTGGTCTAAATGAATAATTGCAAACTTAGTTAATAGTGATAGATTCTCTTAAGTTGCAAGAATAGAAACAGTGGCCTAACCTGGGCTTATGGAAGAAGAGAAATTGGAGTCATTTTCAGAATACAGCATAGTTTGATTTCTGTTAGTCACTCTATCCACAACAAGCTTCCTTTCTCACTGCCTCTGTTTCTCCAGGCTTGGCAGCTGTTCCACCATTATAGAGAATCAGTTTCTCTCTGTCTTCAGTTTTGCTGCATCTGCCATTACTGACTTCCTGCTCTGTTGTCTCTTTGTTTTCTGGCCTTTTGCTTTCCTCTGGCTTAACTGCCTTCTTTCCAAGTGTCTCTGTTCCTGCCCCCTCTACCAATTTACCAATTTCTTACTTCCTTTGTCCTTCAACTGTTTAGGAAGGCAGACCTGATTGGTTATGTTAATGATGGTAGTTCCTGTTGTACAGGTTTTTTCTGGGGCCTCCACATGGACAGCCAGCTAGCCTGGAGAGTAGCAACCTCTGGCGTGGAATTCCCTGCCTATGGCCTTGTAAATTGATGATTGAAAGGTCCTAGCAGCCCAGTGTGTCCTTCACTTCTTTCTGTATTTGCTGATGCTGTTTCTCCCTTCTCTCTTAGTGAACAATTTATAACTTCGTACGTGGTGTCTTTTGCACCTGCCTGTACCCATCACCCTCTCACATGCTACTTCCCACTCCTCTATCTTTTCTTATTGTCCCAAACCTATGATGTTTGTTTCTCTGAAATGCCTTTCCTCTGGCTTCCCAATGACTCTGAACTTGCTGAGCAACTTATAGCTTTGGGGTAGAAAGGATTAACTTGAATTCAGTGGGTTGTCTTAGGGGTGTGTGTGTGTGTGTGTGTGTGTGTGTGTGTGTATTTTAGTCACTGAGTTTCACTTTACTAGGAAGAGGATCTAAAGGGGAACCAGAAGGGCCATAATTTTTTATGACATCTATCTTTCACTGTATTTGGAGGAAAGAAAAATTCTTCCCCTTAGGTCATGATTTCCACCCAAAGTGAGGATATGCAAAGAGAGCACTAACCAGCCTTTCTTTAGGCTCCAAAGATACTCATCGGACTGTGACTCATCTGATCATTGGTTGAAATATGAGTGACACAGCATATGATATACATTCAACTGAGGCTTCATGGCTCAGTACAAACAGCACTTCTAGTGCTGGCCCTGCCACTTAGTACCTTTAAAAGAGTTACAAAGATTTAGACAGTTGTAAAACCTTCAAGTGGTTGGGGTTGTTTTGAACAAGTTCTTAGTTACAGACAACAGAACATACTCCCCAGTTTATGAAGACAGGAATTTATTATGGGGTCTATTTAGCTTTCAGAGTTTCTGAATGAGCTAGAGGATCAAGCCTAGATATTTTATGAGAAGCAGTATGGTCAGGATCAATGACCCACTGTACTGTGCCAGTAAAAAGTTCATTGCTACCACCTCTCCTTTGCTGCTCACAAAGATAATGACTAGACACCAAAACACTCCACTGCAACTGTTGCAGAAAAACCAAACTCCCAGATGATACCTGCCTGAGCAGCCATGGTCTTCCCTTACAAAATTCAATTCTGCTTCCAAGTCTCTCATAGATATGTGTCTTTGGTGAAAGGCAGGCCCTTACAGAACCTTAGTCTCAAGGGAATGGGAAAAATGCAGACTTTGGCCTTCTGGCTCTTGTCCACAGGAAGGAATCTGACAAATGAGTTAGAGTCCTATTGATTGAGCTGCTCTGTTATATCTGTCAAAGAAGTTATTTTGTTTCCTCTTTTGTTATTGAGTTTTATTTCATTGTGGTCAGAAAATATCATCTATACCATTTTGACTATCTTAGAAATTCTCCTGTTATATTTCTTTAAGTGTTCCCTGAGTGCTTGAGTAAAAGGTGCATTTCCTGTCCTCAGGATATAAAGTTGTATGCATGTATATGTAAAATTTTATACCATTAGATCAGAGGTGGGAAAACTATAGCCTATGGACCAAATCTGGCCCACTGCCCATTTTAGTAAATAATGTTTAGTTTGATTACAGCTATGACCATTTGTTTCTATAGTGTCTGTGGCTGCTTTTACACTACAGTTGAGTCGTACAGCAGAGACCATATGGTCTGCAAAGCCTAAAATATTTATTATTTGATTGACCCTTATATCAGATCCTATGTCAATTGATTATATTAATCACATTTTCTATGTCCTATTTTATTTTATTTTATTTTATTTTATTTTGAGATAGAGTCTCACTGTCACCCAGTATGACTGCAGTGGTGTAATCAGGCTCACTGCAGCCTTGACTGCCAGGCTGAAGCGATCCTCTTACTTCAGCCTCCTGAGTAGGAGTAGCTGAGACTACAGGCACATGCCACCATGAGCAGCTAGTTTTTGGTGTTTTGTAGAGATGAGTGTCTCGCCATGTTGCCCAGGCTGGTCTCAAACTCCTGGATAGAAATGACCCTCCCACCTCAGCTTCCCAAAGTGCTGGGATTATAGGCAGGAGCCACCACGCCCAGACCCTATTTTATATGATTTTAATCATATGAATTATACTCTGCAGATTATCTATATAATTTTCCCTCAAATTTGTTCAATTTTTCTAGAACTAAGAAGCATATTAAACCTGATACTTCCTTATTTATGAAGTTTTTGTTTTATGTACTTTGATGCTTTATTTGCCACATAAAGGTTTATGCCAGTTATATATCTTCATTATAGATTACACTCTTCATCATTCTACTGTAACCCACATTGTTCCATTTAATGCCTCTTGCGTTACATTCAACTTTGCCTGATATTAACATGATGACCTACTTTATTTGGGTTTGCATTTGCCCAGTATATCTGTAACAGTACTGTTTGGGTTTTTTTTGTTTGTTTCTTTGTGTGTTTGTTTGTTTTTTAGTTCTAGTGACTTCACTATGTCTCTTGAAGACAGCAGATAGTTAGAAACTCTGACCCTTTTTTTTTTTTTTTTTTTTTTGAATAGGTGAACTTGTCCTTTATACATGAACTGATACAACTGATATACTTCTGGGATCCTATTATTTTTCTTTCTTTCTTTCTTTCTTTTTTTTTTTTTTGAGACAGAGTCTCACTGTGTTGCCCATCCTGGAATATAGTAGCACGGTCTTGGCTCACTGCAACCTCCACCTCCCAGGCTCAAACAATTCTCAGCCTCAGCCTCCCAAGTAGCTGGGATTACAGGTATGCACCACCACGCCCGGCTAATGTTTTGTATTTTTAGAAGAGACAGGATTTCACCATATTGGCTAGGCTATTCTCAAACTCCTGACCTCAAGTGATCCGCCTGCCTCAGCCTCCCAAAGTGCTGGGATTATAGGTGTGAGCCACCGAGCCTGGCCCTATTAGTTTTCTTCTTACATATCTCTGTGAAGGTTTTTATTCTTCTGTTTTTCTATATGGCCCCTTTTTGTTTTGCCCATCATCCCATTAGTTCTGTTGGGATTGTCTTTATAACCGAAAACAATCATATGTTTCAGTTTTTCTTCTTAAATACTACAGCCCGGGTACAGTGGCTCGTGCCTGTAATCCCAGCGCTTTTATGTTTGTTGTTGTTGTTGTTGTTGTTGTTGTTGTTGTTCGGGATGGAGTCTTGCTATGTCACCCAGGCTGGAGTACAGTGGCACAATCTTGGCTCACTGCAACCTCTGCGTCTCAGGCTCAAGTGATTCTCCTGCCTCAGCCTCCCAAGTAGCTGGAACTACAGGCACACGCCATCATGCCTGGCTAACTTTTGTATTTTTAGTAGAAGTGGAGTTTCACCATATTGGCCAGCTGGTCTCAAACTCCTGACTTCAAGTGATCCGCCCACCTCGGCCTCCCAAAGTGCTGGGATTATAGGCGTGAGCCATCATGCTCGGCTTAATTCAGAGCTTTGGGAGGCCCAGAGAGGCAGATCCCTTGAGCCCAGGAGTTCAAGACCAGCCTGGGCAACATGCTGAAAACTCGCCTCTACTAAAAATACCAAAAAAAAAAAACAAATTAGCTGGGTGTGGTGGTGCATGCCTGAGTCCCAGCTACCGGGGAGGCTAAGGTGGGAGGATCACTTGAGACCAGGAGGTCAAGGCTACAGTGAGCCATGATCACACCACTGCACTATAGCCTGGGCAACAGAGTGAGACCCCAGGTGTGTGTGTCTGTATGTGTGTGTGTGTATGTGTGTATAAAACTACAGAAAAATATGTGCTGCCAATTCTCTTACACTGATTTCCTCCTATCTCTTTTGGCTCCTGTTTTGTTGATGTATTCTGGATTTTTTTCTAAGTTCATTATGATTGAATTATTCTTTCTCATTTTAACATTAGCTTTTCTTCAAAACTTTATTACAGTTATAGTCTATTTGGTATCTATACTTACACGTATTTTTGTGTTTATGTTTAACTGGAAGTGATGCTTATTTCTAGCTTTTCCATATCAAAACTTTCCTGCGAGTTCTTTATTGTGATGCATCAACTTAACTGGATTATGTCTTCAGTATTTTTTAGAAAGGATTCATGGTTGCTATATTTCCTGAATTCCCACATATGTGAGCCTGGCTTTCTTTGGTTTGTATGTGTGAATGGAAGCTTGGCTTTTTAGGGTCTCGTTTCATTCAAGCCTTGTGAACTTTGCATCATTGCTTTTTGGCACCTAATGTTGCTAAGGAGAAATGTAAGGTCAGTCTGATTTATTTTTCTTGGGGATTACATTTCCTTATGGTGGATAGATATTCTCTATCCTTGAAGTTCAACACTATAACCAGAATTTGTTTTATTAATGAGTAAGTTCTATTAATTTTCCCTAAAACACAGCCCTTTTATTCTACTTAGTCTAGCTTTCCTTTTATACAGAAAAATTTTCTTCTACTGTGTATTTGAGCATTATTTTTTTTTTCTGTTCTCCTCTTTAGAAAACTATAGGCCAGGTATGGTGGCTCATGCTTATAATAACAGCACTTTAGGAGGCTGAAGTGGTGGATCCCTTGCACACAGGAGTTCAAGACCAGCCTGGGCAAATTGCAAAACTCCGTTTCTACAAAAAATTAGCTGGGTTTGGTGGTGTGTGCCTGTAGTCCCAGCTACTGCAGAGGTTGAGGTGGGAGCATCACCTGAGCCCAGGAGGTCAAGACTGCAGTCAGCCGTGGTCATGCCACTGCACTCCAGCCTGGGCTACAGAGCGAGACCCTGTCTCAGAAAAGAAAAGAAAAACTGTTACCACATGTTGACGCTATTGAATTCTATATGGGACCTTTTTAGTAATAACTTTTATCTCTGTAACCCCAGCTATTCTTATCCTCCATTGCTCTCCGTTTCTCTTTCCATTTGTTTTCTTCAGATCCTAAGATATCACAGCCCATGTTTTTTCTCTAAAACTTTAAAAGTTTTCAGGAGGAATCTTCAAATGTATTTTCTTTTTTTTTTTTTTCCAAAATAGGGTCTCCCTCTGTTGCCCTGGTTGGAGTACAGTGGAGCAATCATGGCTTGACCTCCTGGGCTCAGGCAGTCCTCCCACCTCAGTTTCCCAAGAAGCTGAGACTACAGGTGTGTACCACCATGCCCAGCTAGTTTTTGTATTTTTCGTAGAGTCAAGGTTTCACCTTGTTGCCCAGGCTGGTCTCAAACTCCTGGGCTCAAACAGCCCTCCTGCCTCAGCCTCCCGAAATGCGGGGATTATAGGTGTGTGCCATCACACCGAGCTTCAAGTGTATATTCTGCATTTATCTTTTTCATGTTATAGCCCTTAATTATAAAAATTATTTTTGCATAGGTTGCATACCATCATTTTCCTTATCTTTGAGTGGGGACAGTTCTGCATAGACTGATATTTGCCCAGTGTAGTAAAAGTAAGTATTAATGCACCTGCCTTTTCCTAATGCTTTTACCTTGTAATCTGTGTGGTTATTCAGTTACTTTCAGCGGAGATAGGCAGGGAGCAGCAGAGAATAGTGATGCTGAGCAGCAAATCAGCCAGCCCACTTTAGGTATGCTATCTCCAAGCATGCAATCACTGTTATCTGTTTCTTTTTTTTTTTTTTTTTTTTTTTTTTTTTGAGACAGAGTCTCACTCTGTCGCCCAGGCTGGAGTGCAGTGGTGCGATCTTGGCTCACTGCAAGCCCCGCCTCCTGGGTTCACGCCATTCTCCTGCCTCAGCCTCCCGAGTAGCTGGGACTACAGGCAGCTGCCACGACGCCTGGCTAATTTTTTGTATTTTTTAGTAGAGATGGGGTTTCACCGTGTTAGCCAGGATGGTCTCGATCTCCTGACCTTGTGGTCCGCCCACCTCAGCCTCCCAAAGTGCTGGGATTACAGGCATGAGCCACCGCGCCCGGCCTGTTTCATCTTTCATCACTAGTGTATGTCTAGTCTGGTGTAAGGGGAGAGTAGTGGACAGTCCCAGGTTTCTCATGCTCTTCAAATTGGAGGACAGTGTGAGGTTCTGTGGCTCCCTGGCCATTTATTTAAAAGGTCCAGTCTTACTTATTTATATTTAGTCATCTTTGCTCTACAGCAAGCTGGTTCCCTCTGCTGCTCATCTCTTGACCTCTCTCCCTGGTTAGGAAACTACACAGGAGGAAATAAAAATGGCATGACCAATGGACATAACCATACATACTGTATGGCTATGTATGTATGACTCCACGTATACCCAGAGTAAAAAGAAGCAAAACCAACTTACCCCATTAGAAAACCTCCTTTGGTGAAGGACAAGGCAGCCTTCTGTGGTGATGGTAATATCCTGTATCTGGAGATTGTTACCACGTGGAAGGTCTTAACTATAAGTTGTCCTGGTTCTTGATAAATTGAACAAAACACAAAGCAACAAAAGAATGAAGCAACGAAAGCACAGATTTACTGCAGCAAAAGTACACTCCACAGAGTGGGAGCAAGCTGGAGCAAGTGGCTCAAGGGCCCCAACTGCAATGCTCTTTAGGGTTTTTATTAACTAAAAGAATTTGGTTATACCCCTAAGTACCCTTTAGAGGCCTCTGATAGGTTATACACTATGCAAATGAAGGATTGGACCAATCAGAGGCTGAAGTGGAGGCTTGTCCTGTGACCATTCAGAGGCATTTCCCATTTGTGACATAGGGGAGAGGAGGTTATGTAGAGGGAGGGACCTCTGGCCCCTTGTCCCTTGGGCATGGAGAGGTGGGGTTTTCCTTTTGGTCCAATTTCAAGAAGTCAGCCACAGATTGGCCTTAGGCTCCCTCTTTCCAGACCTTATTCTCCTGCTTCATTTCCTCCTAAGAGACATGATTCCCATGAATCTTTATGGGAGACAAAGGAATCGACGGCCTTTCTTCTGTAACTGCTTCATGATGATTGGGGCGCAGTCCCTACCTATTGGGGACCATGGAACTCTCGCCCCGTTCTGTCTAGTGGAGACAGGATGACTTCTTGATGACCGGGGCTGGCATTGTCACCTGGAACTGGCAGGAAGTCCTGCTACATGATCATTTGAAGCTTAATGGCCTCAAGGCAAGAAGAAGTAAATCTGGTTAAAAGATTTAACAAACATTGTCCAAAAATCAGTACAAGTATAATTATTAATAATGGGCCAGCCAGGGGAAGGAGCCATGAAGCCCACCTTAGTGCCCTTGACCAGGAGCCCCATGACTTGGACAGCTGTTGTCGTATTTCAGAGGCCTGCTCAGCTAATTGTCAGCCAAAATCCCTTACTAATCCTGATTTGGTTGATATAAAATCAGCATTCTTCCTCTACGGAAAGACATAAGCCACCTTTTTCAGCAGTTAGGGTATCCAGTCCCCTTCTATTTTGTAAAGCATCCACTGCTAAGGAGTCTATCTGATTTTCTATGGTGACAATGCTCTGGACAATGTTTTCCAGGCTGTCTGAAAGATCCTTGGACAGCATTGGTAATAGGATAGGGAAGTTGCAAGCCTGGTAACTCCTGTTTCTACTCCTGCAGTTATTCCTAACCTCATACTAAAAGGGGCATGAGTTGGATGGTTCATTTGTGCCTGGCGGTTGCAGTTATAGATATAATGAAAGACTGGTTATTGGGAGGCATATTGATCTTGGAGCTAAATAAACAAGTGTACAGATTCGAGTCCAATTGGCTGGTAAACATAAGTAGGAACTAGTCTCACATGGGAAAAAGGCTTCTTGTTTTTCAAGACAAAAATTGTTCTCTATGGTGAACGTATGAGTTAGCTTGTTGTTTTCACTTTCCCAAGTGGTTAAAGTCCTTGCTAAAGTGGCCCCGATTAAAGGCTGGAAGGAGCCTTGGGAAGTATCCTGAGTTGCTCCAGTGGTTTTGTTCTTCCCTCAGTGTAGGTAGTTATGCTTAGTATCCACCAACAACCACCTAGAGGTATTTTCATAATGGGGAACTAAAAGGCAGCTAGATGTCTCAGAGTTAGTACAGTCTTCCCAAGGGAAAATGTGAACACAGCTGGTGGGCCTACCCTGACAGTACTTAGACAGTACTTAGTACTTAGACTGTGAATCCTTTAAAGTACCCTTAACTAGGGGTGGTTTCCCTGAAAACTGTACAGGTTTCCTAAATGATGCAGTCTGGGTAACTGCATAGCTTACATGATCATGTGAGGGGTTAATACCTAGGGTATAGCTGCATTGATGACTTTTCAAAATTTTTGCTTCTTTTAATACAAAGGGCCTGACCAAAATTTTTGCTTCTTTTAATACAAAGGGCGCATGGAATCTTAGTTCTGTGTGCATTGATATTGAGCCCCAAATGGGTTTTTGAGGGGATGTGACCCCAGAAAGGTTGCTTTGGTAGGACTGGAGAAGGTTTACTGTTTATCCTGTCATTGTAACCTTTGTCAATTTTGTAACTTTGGAGTCATATAAGTCATCCAGGTTCATTAATTTGAAGGGGATTCTTCCCTTATGGTTCAGGTGAGATAGGTCATTTTTTCAGAGGCCCAAGATTGGGTTGGGATTGGGATGGCAGCATATTTGGATGATGATGGAGATAGACGAAGCCAACAGTGCTTTGCCAAAGGTGGACTGGTGGTATTTAACAGTCTTTGTGTTTAATTAATGTTCTTAATAAATAACCAGAATTCACTAATTGCCGGAGGGGTAGGGTGAGCCCCACTGAAAAATTAAGCTAATTCCCTGTATATACGGTCCAGTATACACAGGCCATGGCGAATCATTATGGGAGCCAAAAGCACTTAAGTGTTATTTTGTCCTTTTGAATAGGAACTTCAGGTCTTCGGGTAGTGGTGATGGGAGCTTCAGGTTCCAGGTCCAGGACTTCAGGTATGGCAGACTTGATCCTGGAACGAGGTATCCAACTATCTAATGCTAGTACTTTGACTGCAGAAGGCATAGCCAACACCACTGAAAAAGGTCCCTTCCATTTGGGTTGTAGTTGTTGAGTGGGGGACCCCTCTTTCCGTGTTTTAACAACTACCTTATCTCCTGGCCTGACCTTGAATTGCTGGTTAGTTCCTGATGTGGGAAGCCTTTGAGTTCCAAACTTTTGTAGTGCCTGCTGAAATTGTCCTAGGTTAACTAGGTACTGTATTAAACCAGCCATTTCTGGATCAGTAATTAGATCATTAGTTAAAAATGGCCTCCTATATAGCATCTCATATGAGCTCATATGTATTTTTGCTCTCTAAAAGTTGTGGATTCTTAAGAGGGCTATGGGCAGTAAGCTGACCCAAGTTTCTGATGTTTCCTGGCATAGCTTAGCTAACACCCATTTCAGAGTTTGATTAGCCCTTCTTTCCCAGAGGATTGAGGCCTCCGTGCTGAATATAAATAGTATTTGATTCCGAGAGCCTTAGCAACCCCTTGAGTAAAGATGGGCCGTTATCACTTTGGAGGCTTTGGGGTTACACAAACCAGGGATTATTTCCTTTAAGAGAACCTTTATAACTTCATTAGCCTTCTCTGTTCTGGTAAAGTAACCTTCAACCCAGCCAGGAAAGGTGTCTATTAGTACTAACGATAGAGACAGGAGACAGCCAAATGCCACCCAGATCATTGTGCACAGGGAGCTTGCCTAAACATGGCCACGTTGAAAAATTCTGTCCCTTAATACATGCACAGTAAGGGAAATAAGTCAGTGTGGAGTGGCTCAGACTAAGGGCCCCCCTGCACACTGTAAGAATGGTGTGGAGCACCAGGAATTCACACCTTCTCTCAGGAGGAGCCTGGCCTCTTCAGCCCCTGTGTGGTGGCCTGGTATTCAGTCTGTGAGGTGGGAGCCTGTTGGCAGGACCCCCTCTTTCTTTGCTGAGAGCTTTCTTTTCACCTAATAAATCTGCCCTCCTCGCCCTTCAATGTCTGTGTGCCTAATTTTTCCCAGATGTGAGACTAGAACCTGGATTTTAGCTGAACTAAGGAGCAGAAAATCCTGTATCACTAGCAAGAACTTGCATCCTCTGCAGGCTGGCATATGGGGAAAGTCCAATTGCCTGGATGAGTTCACCTTCTCTGGACTGGTTCCATTAGAGGAGGCATTTTGTTTCCTGAGTTGTTGAATGCACACAGTGAGCAGGCTTGACAGACCTGCTTAATCACCAAAGCTAAGTTAGGCCCAATAAAGAGCCTGTTTATGATGGCCAGAGTAGCATCTCCCCCCATACAGAAAGATTCATGCAGGGTGTTTAGGCTGGGCACTGTGGCTTATGCCTGTAATCTTGCCACTTTGGGAGGCCTAGGTGGGTGCATCACTTGAGGCCAGGAGTTCAAGACCAGCCTGGCCAACATGGCGAAACCTCATCTCTACTAGAAATAAAAAAAAAAATTAGCCGGGCATGTGGTCTGCACCTGTAATCCCAGCTACTCTGGAGGCTGAGGCAGGAGAATCGCTTGAACCCAGGAGGCAGGTTGCAGTGAGCCAAGATCATGCCACTGCACTCCAGCCTGGGTCACAAAGCGAGACACTGTGTCCAAAAAAAAAAAAAAAAAAAAAAGTCATGCAGGGTTTTTATAACTTTCCATTGGGCTGTTTGAGGGAGATATATACTTTTGATCCTGTATGCCACCAGGATCCTTGTTTTTGTCCCCCTCGTTCTTTTATTAACTACTCTTCTGTGATGTGTATTCAGATTCTACTGGGAATCATAAAAATGGAGGCAGTGCTAAGATTTGTTGAGACTGCACCCCATGGGCTGCTGCGTTGGCTTTCTTAGTCTTTTTGTTCCCGTGTGCTATACGGGTTAAGTCCTTTTGATGCCCCTTACAATGGATTATGGATATGACTTTTGGCAAGTGTATCGCTTCCAATAGTTGAAGAATTTCAGACCCATGCTTTATGGGGGAATGTTTACTAGTTAGTAGTCCTCTTTCTTTCCAAATTGCAGCATGAACATGAACCACAAGAAATGCATATTTAAAATCTGTATAGATGTTAACCTTTTCCCCTTTTCCTAATATCAGGGTTTGAGTAAGAGCAATTCTATCAGCTTTTTGTGCTGACATGCCTGGGGGCAGCAGCTGGAAATCAGTAATGGTATTGTAATTTAATACTGCATATCCAGCCTGGCATTCCCCACCCCCACCCCACCCTGCATTTGACATGAAGCTACTGCAATCTATGAATCTGTCATCCTCTGAATCTGGGAGGGGCTGATCTTTTAAATCATGTCGGATGACATATGTGTATGTGATGACCTGCTCGCAGGAATGATTAATTATTGGGCCTCTGGGAAGCAATGAAGCCATATTTCAGGGTGTTATAGGTTTAAGGGTAACCTCTGGATTGTCCAGGACCATAGCCAGGTATTTGGTTAACCTTTCTCCTGTCATCCAGATACATCCTTTTATTCCTAGGACTGACTTTACCTGATGTGGGCTTAACACTTCCAGTGGTTGACTCAGGGTGATTTTAGTGGCTTTCTCCACTAAAATAGCAGTGGCTGCTACTACTGCCCACAGGCAGGTTGGCCACCCTGAAACCACTCCATTCAATTTCTCTGAAAAGCAAGTGGTTGGTCTGGGTTCTGATCCCAATTTCTGGGTTAGCACTCCCACAGCTATACCCCAAATACTGGACCTGTTGGAGGGTGAATTGAACCTTCTTTTTGGACACTTTGTATTCAAGTAAATTCAAGTTTCTCAAATGTCTGCCAGTAAATTCAAGGTTCTTACAGTATTTTGGTCAGATGCGTCCCAGGTTGGACTACACACAAGAAGGTCATCAGCATACTGGAGTACACTCCCGTTTCCCAATTGCAGATCCCTCAGATCCCTTTTTCTTTTCTTTTTTTTTTTTTTTTTTTTGAGGTTGAGTTTTACTCTTGCTTCCCAGGCTGGAGTACAGTGGCACGATCTCGGCTCACCACAACCTCCGCCTCCTGGGTTCAAGCGATTCTCCTGCCTCAGCCTCCCGAGTAGCTGGGATTACAGACATGAGCTACCATATCTGGCTAATTTTTTGTATTTTTAGTAGAGATGGGATTTCTCCATCTTGGTCAGGCTGGTCTCGAATTCTCGAATTCAGGTGATCCGCCCTCCTTGGCCTCCCAAAGTACTGGGATTACAGGCATGAGCCACCGCGCCCAGCTCCCTTAGATCCCTTTCTAAGGCTCAGGCAAAAAATAAAATAAAATAGGGGCTATCCCAAAAGCCCTGAGGGAGTACTGTCCAACTAGTTGTATTGTCATTGTTCTCTGCCGTTAGGATCTTCCCATTCAAAATAAAAAGGTATTGAGATTCTAGGGCCAGAGGAATGGAAAAGAAAGCATCTTTTAAGTCTAGGACTGAGAACCATTCCCCGGCCCTTGAGTTAAAAGAACATATGGGGCTGGGCACAGTGGCTCACGCCTATAATCCCAGCACTTTGGGAGACCGAGGCGGGTGGATCATGAGGTCAGGAGATCGAGACCATCCTGGCTAACATGGTGAAACCCTGTCTCTACTAAAAATACAAAAAAAAAAATTAGCCAGATGTGGTGGCAGGTGCCTGTAGTCCCAGCTACTTGGGAGGCTGAGGGAGGAGAATGTCGTGAACCCAGCAAGCAGAGCTTGCAGTGAGCCGAGTTCGTGCCACTGCACTCCAGCCTGGGCTACAGAGCAAGACCCTGTCTCAAAAAAAAAAAAACAAACAAACAAACAAACAAAAAAAAAAACGGAAAAGAATATATGGATCTGCCACTAATGGGTGGACAGGTATCATGGCTTCATTAATTGCACCGAGATCCTGTACTATACTGTGTTCTGAAGGCTTTAAAACAGGTAAAATGGGGGTATTGTAGGGAGAATTTCAGGGTTTTAGAGTCCTTGGCCAAGCAACTCCTTAACTACATATGCTAAGCCCTTTCGTGCTTCCAGCTTAATTGGGTATTGTTTTTGGTTGGGAAAACGACTGGATTCTTTAAGCTGTATTTTGGAGCACTGCCATTCTAGCTCTTCCAGGCCTCCCAGTGTACCATGCTAGTGGTTGACATGTTTGTTGACATGGCCTGGAACATTGTCTGCATCACTTAGCGTTAGCAATCTTGATGGGTGGTACTTAAATTGTAGCAGTGCCCCTATTTTAACCATAATATCCCTTCTCAAGGGGACTGGGCAGCTTGGTACTATTAGAAACTCCTGTGGGAAAATGTGTTTTTCAGATTGGCAGGTTAAAGGAGAGATAAAATGCCTGACTTTATTTTTCCCTTCCATTCCTATAATAGTCATGGTCCTAGTTGAGGGTTTTCCTGAATAAGCAGTAAGGGCAAACTAGCTTGGCCGTGTATTAAAAAGAAACTGAATTTGGGCCAGGAGTGGTGGCTCACACCTGTAATCTCAACACTTTGGGAGGCCAAGGCGGGCAGATCAGGAGGTCAGGAGATTGAGACCATCCTGACCAACATGGTGAAACCCCGTCTCTACTAAAAATACAAAAATTAGCCAGGCATGGTGGTGTATGCCTGTAATCCCAGCTATTTGGGAGGCTGAGGCAGGAGAATCACTTGAACCTGGGAGGCGGAGGTTACAGTGAGCTGAGATCATGCCACTGTACTCCAGCCTGGGTGACAGAGTTAGACTCTGTCTCAAAAAGAAAAAAAGAAAAAAAAAGAAAGAAACTGAATTTGTTTGCCCATCACATCCACAGTTACCCAGGGCTCCTCAGTAGTAATAATGATGTGCCTGGACAGGGGCAGTGAGGAAGTCCCAGGCCCCTTCAGTCTTCATCTAGCTCCTTCTTTTGCACTGCTAGAGTCTTGACTGACTGAGCCCCTTGGTGGGAGCCAGGGCAGTCAGTTCTCCAGTGCCAGGGGTCATGACTGGTGCTTTCACACTGATGGCAGCGGCTTAATGCAGTCCTTTGCCCAATGTCCATTTTTCTTGCACTTGAAGCAAGAGCCTTGTTGGCATCATCCTTATGGCCCTTTGGGTTTCCCTTTAATGCTCTTTGGGCACTTAGCGCGTTGGCTGTGATGGCTACCATAATTTTGGTGTGTCATTTTTTCTCTACTCTGTTCTTTTTTCCCCTCCTCCAGGTCACGATTGTTATATACCATAAAGGCAGTATCAGGAAACTGATTTTGGTTATTAGTGGTCCCATATTGCAATTTTTGGAGCTTGCACCTGATGTCCAGAGTGGACTGGCTGATAAAATGCTGTGCCATTAGCACAATACCCTTGGGAGAGGAAGGGTCTAAATTTGTATATTTTCTGAAGGCCTCTTCCAACCTGCCATAAAACATAGCTGGGTTTTTCTCCTTCCCTTATGTGACTTCCCTGACCTTATAATTTATGGTCTTGGTTATCCCCTTTTTCATCCCTCCAAGGAGTGCCTCAAGAAACTTTGCTTGCCTGTTTATTTCCACAGGGGTATTATAATCCCATTTAGGGTCAGTGGTGGGCACTGTGTCTGGGCCCAGGTGATTGCCCTGGGGATTTCAGGCAAACGTATTGTCTGCCTCACAGTGGGCAGCTTCAAAAATGCTTTCCTTTTCCATAGGGGTGTAGCAGCATGCTAAAATAAATTGGATACCTCTCCCTGATAAATTGAAGGCCAGAACCAAGGTCTGGAACCCATCTACAAACTTGCCAGGGTCGTCAGAGTATCTTTTCAGTTTTTCTTTACATTGTTGAATATCAGTTATGGCAAATGAGACTTGCACTCAAAGTGGCCCTTCTGCTCCTGCTACTTTCCCTAAGAGGCAGTAGTGTCAGGGGAGCTGCTGAGTAGGGTGTTCCACTTCGGTTATGTTGGGGGCTGAATATAAGTTTTTTCCTTCTCTGGGTGGCCTTGCATGGTTGGAGCATTTGACAAGGGGTTATATAGGGGTGGCTGTGGTTCCCCCTGAGAGACAAGTGACCCTTGTGAGAGAGGATCATCCACAATGTCTGGCTCAGTCTTGGGGCTCTCCATTTGAGGGCAAGTCTTGGGAGACTTACAGATGGAAGTATTCTGATACAAAGCTGTAAAAGCTTGAATGTGTATGGTATTTCTGACCATTTACCCTGTCTTTTGCAAAATAAGTCTAATTGCAGAATAGTGTGTCATAGTTAAGGCACCCATTGACTGGCTGTTATTCCTGACTGTCCAGCTGATACTGGGGCCATGCAATATTACAATGAAAAATCAAGCGTTTCCTTTTCAGATTGTCAGGGTCAAATTGACTCCAGTGGTTTAGGATGCAGCCAAGAGGGGAATCAGGTGGAATAGATGGGGTGCTTCCCATAGCGGTCTGGAAGAGAAAAGAGATCCTCAGGAGGGCTTATTTGTTCATCCACAATTTCTACCTGGGGTATCCTCGAGGGGAAGTCTTGGGTTTGGCATTGGATCCCCAGGGGGATCCCTTTAGGTCAAGTCTTAGAGTGTCAGACATCTCTGACCTTAGGTGGGCACTGGCACCACTTTCTGTGTTTTCCCTTGGTAGGCAATGGCCTACCGTGAGCTTCTCTTTTGTTCCTGGGTATACTGTCTGGCGTTTAGCATCCCACCAATTTAGATACACCATATCTTCTTGCATTCCTTGTAGGGTTATGGTAATAGCCAAAAATCTTAATATCAATAACATTAAGGTTGGTGGAGTATTTCTTGTAGCCAGGAAGGATGGAGGGTGGTATATGAATCCCTGCGGCTGGTAATTTACTTTGGGGTCTGGACAGGAAAAATAATGTTTAAGAAGCCCCAAGATGTGGGGGTCTTCTCTAAGCTTGTTCTTTTTTGCACTTTCCATGTATAAACAAACAGGGCATGCAGATAAGTAATGGGGGGCTCAAATGCAACAACAGTTTTGCAGTCCCTGGCCCCCACAAAGCATCTGCAAGGCAAGGGTAGAAATTAGAAGGTGAAGGATTAAATTATCTCAAAGACATTATTGCTGCACATACGCAAACCTGACCGTTGCATGGATTTGTCTTGTGCTTGGCAGGATCTAGATGTCCTGTTCCATGACTAAGTTATCATGTCATGGGAGACTTCAAGCGGTGGATGCCCTAGTGGCTTTTAACTGCCCCACCCATGCCTGCAAATGGCAGCCTTGATAAAAAGAAGGAGAAAAAGAAATCTAAACTCCTGGCAATTGTGCTTACTTCCTGGCTGGCTCGTCAATATATGTTACCAGATGGAAAGTCTTGACTGCAGGTTTTCCATGTTTTTGGCATGTCGAACAAAGAATTGAACAAAAGGCACAAACAAAGCAATGAAAGAATGAAGCAATGGAAGCACAGGCTTTTTTTTGTTATTTTTGTTTGTTTGTTTGTTTTTTTGAGATGGAGTCTTGCTCTGTCACCAGGCTGGAGTACGTGGCATGATCTTGGCTCACTGCAACCTCCGCCTCCCAGGTTCAAGCAATTCTCCTGCCTCAGCCTCCCAAGTAGCTGGGACTACAGGTGCATGCCACCGTGCCCAGCTAATTTTTGTATTTTTAGTAGAGATGGGGTTTCACCATGTTGGCCAGGATGGTCTCGATCTCCTGACCTTGTGATCTGCCCACCTTGGCCTCCCAAAGTGCTGGGATTACAGGCATGAGCCACCGCACCCGGCCAAAAACACAGATTTTTTGAAGCGAAAGTATACTCCACAGAGTGGGAGCAAGCTCGAGCAAGTGGCTCAAGATCGCCAGTTGCAATGTTCTTTAGGGTTTTTATGAACTAAAATAATTTGGTAACACCCTCAAGTACCTTTTAAAAGCCTCTGATAGGTTACACACTATGCAAATGAAGGATTGACCCACGATCAGTCAGAGGCTGAGTGGAAGCTTGGCCCATGACCAATCAGAGGCTGAAGTGGAAGCCTGTCCTGTGATCAAAGGCATTTCCCATTTATGACGTATGGGAGAGGGGGATTTGTAGAGGGAGGGACCTCTGGCCCCTTGTCACTTAGGCATGGAGAAGTGGGGTTTTCCTTTCTGTCCAGTTCCAAGAAGTCAGCCGCAGGTTGCTGTTAGGCTCCCTGTCTCCAGACCCTATTCTCCTGCCTCAGGATAATGCTAGTTACATGGGTATGTCCACTTAGTGCATTTTTGTATGTATATTAAACTTCAATAAGATTTGTTTTCAAAGCATGCTGAAAGGTTATTCTTCAAACTTTCTTCACCTGCAAGCTGGGTATGCAATGAGTGCTCACCACGCATGCTGAGTTCATGCATATCCCACTCTAACCATATCCAGTGTAAGCATTGTTGAGAGGGCTCACTGCACACTCCCTGTATCTTGCATAAGATGAGTGTCAAATATCAGCACGCTCCTTCAGTTTTTTGGTCCCCATTTCATTGTATTTGACAGACGTTCTTCAGAGTCTATTCAGTGGAATTGTGGCTGTTCTGATTTCATTATAGATATTTCCTTCTCAGTGTTTGCTTGGCCTTGTTTGTTATTTCTCAGGGGAAGAAGTGGAGGAATACATTTTATGTCCCATCCATGTTTCCTGGAAGACTCGTCTTTCCTTTTTTAGAAATGATGAATAAAATTGGGCATAATTTTGACCCTAAACCTAATCTTAGCCATACTTTTTGGGACTGGCTCATTTTTAAAAACAAAAAGTTAGCCTATATTCCTGCTATTGAATTATTTAAATAAGTACCCAATTCATATAATTTCTGAAGGCTATAAGATGTGTTCAGAAGAAGCCTTTAAGAATTCTTCTTTGTCTTCTGCTGTCTCTTTGTAGCTGCACCTTGCCTGGTGGAACAGCACACAGAGTTATTTCTTTGTGTAAAATGCATATTTAGTCATGCATTTTTTTTATTGTTTTTGTTTTGTTCAGGCTCTGAGGTATATTTGTGAAGGTTATGAATCAAAAATAAAGTAGGGGTATAGCAGTTTCTGATGTATCAGGGGAACCAGCCTCCAGTATCTCAACGTAGGTTCTTTTCTATTTTCCCTAAGTGTTGGCCGGTCTGAGAAATAAAGAGAAAGAGTACAAAAGAAAGAAATTTTACAGCTGGGTCTCTGGGGGTGACATCACATGTTGGCAGGTTCCTTGATGCCCCTTGAGCCACAAAACCAGCAAGTTTTTATTAGGGATTTCAAAAGGGAAGGAGTGTACGAATAGGGAGTGGGTCACATGCTTCAAAGGCAATAAAATATCACAACAGCAGAGAGGCAGAGTGAGATCACAAGGCCAGGGTGAAACTAGAATTACTGATGAAGGTCCATGTCCTGCTGGGCACACATTGTCATTGATAAACATCTTAAGAGGAAACAGGGTTTGTGAGCAGACAACCAGGCTGGAATTTCCTAATCCTAGCAAGCCTGGGGGTGCTGCAGGAGGCCAGGGCATATTTCATCCCATGTCTACAACTGCATAAGACAGACACTCCCAGAGCAGCCATTTTAGAGACCTACCCCTGGGAATGCATTCGTTTTCCCAGGGTTATTCCTTGCTGAGAAAAGAATTCAGCGACATTTCTCCTATTCGCTTTCTGAAAGAAGAGAAATATGACTCTGTTCTGCCAGGCCCCACAGGCAGTCAGACTTTATGGTTATCTCCCTTATTCCCTGAAAATCACTGTTATCCTGTTCTTTTCAAGGTGCTCAGATTTCATATTGTTCAAACACACATGTTTTACAAACAATTTGTGCAGATAACGCAATCATCACAGGGTCCTGAGGCGATATACATCCTCAGCTTACGGAGATGACGGAATTAAAAGATTAAAGTAAAGACAGGCATAGGAAATTATAAGAGTATTGATTGGGGAAGTGATAAATGTTCATGAAATCTTCACAATTTATGTTCAGAGACTGCAGTAAAGACAGGCATAAGAAATTATAAAAGTATTAATTTGGGGAACTAACAAATGTCCATGAAATCTTCACAATTTATGTTCTTCTGCCGTGGTTTCAGCAGGTCCCTCCGTTCAGGGTCCCTGACTTCCCGCAACACTGATGACCAGAAACAAAGAAGAAAAGTCAATGATGAGGAAATCTTAGCTGTGTCTTAGGAGCTCACAACCTGTATGGGTCATAATGGATTTGTCTGTGCTCTGTTGTATTGATAATTATTTTAACAATATCTAATATCACTTATAATATTACTATCAATAGTAGTAAGAAATGATAAAGTATCTTATTACTTTCATACTTACTTCCCAACAACTTTGTTTCTCTGATTCAGGAATAGTATCAAGTAGCTTAAAAAATAAAATAAGCTGGGTGTGGTGGCTCATGCCTGTGATCACACCGCTTTGGAAGGCTGAGGCAAGAGGATCACTTCACCCCAGGAGTCTGTCTGAGACGATCCTGGGCAACATAGTGAGACTCTGTCTCTACAAAAAATAAATTAGCCAGGTATGAGGGTGTGTACTTTTAGGTCCCAGCTACTCTGAGATGGAAGGATCGCTTGACCCCAGGAGGTCAAGGCTGCAGTGATCCTTGATCGTGCCACTGCACTCCAGCCTGGATCACAGAGCGAGACCCTGTCTCAAAAATAAAATTAATTAATTAATTAAAAAGACAGTTGAGACTTTAATTTCCAGTTCAAATGGAGTAAGCAGCACATACCACTTTACCTTTCCCAATGATTACAACCAAAAACCCTTGAAAGAAAACATAAAACAATTAGGAGTCTGAAAAGTAAATAACAGGCAGACTGGGGAGGGAAGTAAAGACTGAGGGATAATCCATACAGAGGTGAGGTCCTGGGTTTTTGTGTGTTTCTCCTTCCTCCTGTATCTCCTGGCCTATAGACTAAAATGTCTAGTGCACAGTGGGTGTGGACAGAAAAAGCTCTAAGAGAAACCTTCTTGTTACAGGACTAGGAAGGGAGACTTCCTGTGAGGTGGATATAGTTGGAGAAATCCTCTGGGATTTTTCCTCTCCCAGCCCTTCCCCAAGTCAAACCACAGTCCTGCAACTTCCCTCCTGCAGTGGCAGAGATAGTGGTGGCAACAGCAGCAGCAGGAGATACACGGGCACCTAAAACTCTGAAGGAGAAATTCTCTCTGACCATAAGAACTCATAAATGGGGCCCTGTTATTTCCGTTATTGTTGTTGCTCTCTGTTCTTTCAACACTTTACACTAGACGTGGACTCAGTCATGAAAAGTGGACTACAATGCAAGGGGGATAAAACTTTGAATTTCTACTTTTCTAGCCACACAAGCAGAAAAAGAGGCTCTTGGCAGCAGGAGAGTATGGGGGAAATCACAGAAAAGAGGAAGCTCAAGGAAAAGTTCCTAAAAAGCTGTGTATAAAGTCCTTGGCTCCACCCCCAGCTGCTCATGCATGGAGCTGACCCAAAGCAATATACCAAAGGCTCTGAGAACTGGCTGTGGTGTAGACTACCACCAGAATGACCACCTGGGTGATGCACATGTGAGGCAGATCCAAGTAGCACTGCAAAACCTTTGGAAACTGAAGTGACACTAAAGCCACAGCTTACTAAAGGTATGTCCAAACTTATGATCTGAACCAACCAGGTTAATTGGCAGCTAAAACAACAAAGTAAACATTCACCAAAGGACTTTAACAAGACTCAGAGACTTGTAAAATATATGTAACATTCAGGAATAATCTAAAATTGCTCAACATATAAGGAACCAGGAAAATCTCACCAACTTGCAAGAAACAAGCCAGTCCCAAAATGATTCAGATGTTAAACCTATCAGACAGTGACTTCAAAGCAGCTATTACAGCCAAGTTCCAGGTATAGCTACTCACAGGTCTGAGGTGGAAGGATCACTTGAGCCCAGGGTGTCAAGGCTGCAGTGATCCTTGATCATGCTACTGCACTCCAGCCTGGGCAACACAGTGAGACCCTGTCTCAAAAAAATTAATTAATTGATTGATTAATTAAAAAAGGAGTTCAGACTTTAATTTCCAGTTCAGATGGAGTAAGCAGCACATATCACTTTATCTTTCCCAAAGATTACAACCAAAAACCCTTGAAAGAAAACACAACTAGGAGTCTGAAAAGTACATAATAGCAATAAGAGAGCAGTAAGAAGAGAGAACACTCTTGAAATGAAAGAAAAATTATCTGCAGAAAAATAGAAGCTACAAGAAAGTGCCATGGGGAGTGGGGAATGGAGAGTTGTTGAATGGATATGGAGTATCAGTTTTGCAAGGCAAGAAGAGCTCTAGAGACTGCTTGCGCAACAATGTGAATGTACTTAACACTACTGAACTGTATACCAAAAATGGTTAAGATGGTAAATTTTATGTTACATGTATTTTACCAGAATAAAACTAAATTGGTATGTACTTACCTAGAAAGATGTTCATAATATAGTTCTAAGTAAAACTAAATTATGTTTCACAGTGAAGGAAGGGAAAGAAGGCAGGAAGGAAGGACAAAGCGGTTATGTACAAACTGAAAACTACATAATTGAAATTAAAACCTTTGCTGGATGGACTCATTTGCCGAATGGAAATGATAAAATAGTGATCTTAAAAGGTCAAGATCAAGATATATTATCCCATTTGAAACAGAGAGGAAAAAAGATTGAAAAAAATAACAGACTTGCATACCTGTGGGACAATATCAGAAAGATTAACATTTATGTCTTTGGTGTCCCAGATCAGGAGGAAGATACTGCTGCAGATGAATATTGAAAAAAATAAAGGATAGAAACTTTAAAATTTGGCAAAAGACATGAATGTAAAGATTCAGGAAGTTCAGGAAACCCCCCAAACAAGATACACTAAAATCAACAACAACAACAAAAAAACTACATTGAGATGCATCCAAATTTACTTGCTGAAAATTAAAGATTTTTAATTGCTGAAAAATTTTAAAATGTGGGCAGGTGTGATGACTCATGCCTGTAATTCCAGTACTTTGGGAGGCCAAGGCGGGCAAATTGCTTGAGCCCAGGAGTTCAAGACCAGCCTATGGCAAAGCCCCCATCTCTAAAAAAAAAAAAAAATACAAAAATTAGCCAGGCATGGTGGTGCACACCTGTAGTCCTAGCTACCTAGGAGGCTGAGGTGGGAGAATTGCTTGAGCCTGGGAGGTGGAGGTTGCAGTGAGCCGAGATTGTGCCACTGCACTACAGCCTGGGCGACAGAGTGAGACACTGCCTTAAAAAAAAAAATTGAAAAAGAAAAATGACACATTACATATATAAAGGCGAAATGACTAAAATGACTGGATTTCTCATCAGAAATCATGGCGGTCAGAAAGCAGTAGAACATTTTTTTGATGCTGAAAGTAAAGAAGTGTCAACCCAAAATTCTATATTCTGTAAAATTTTCCTCAGGAATGCAGGCAAAATAATTCCTTCCCAGAAGAAGGGAAAATAATGCAGCTGCACTAAAAGAAATGCTAAAGGGAATTCTTCAGGTGGAAAGGAAGTAATACCAGAAGGAAACTCAAAACTTCAGGAATGAAAGAAGAGCAACAGAAACAGTAAATATATGGATAAATATACTTTTTACTCTTCATAATTTCTTTAAAATATGTATAATGGGTGCAAGCAAACACTGTAACATTGATGGTGGGATTTTTGGTGTATGTAGATAATAATACACATGACAACTGCAACATAAAGGGTGGAATGTAAAAGGACCTGTATTGTTGAAAGTTCCCCACATTTTATTTGAAATGATAAAATATTCTTAGCTGGTTTTAAAAGTTAAATACATATATTGGAATCCTTAATCATTAAGAATATTATTAAAAGTATATAGTTATTTTTGGCCAGGCGCAGTGGCTCACACCTGTAATCCTAGCACTTTGGGAGGCCAAGGCAGGTGGATCATGAGTCAAGAGATCGAGACCATCCTGGCCAACATGGTGAAACCCCATCTCTACTAAAAATACAAAAATTAGCTGGAGGTGGTGGTGCGTGCCTGTAGTCCCAGCTACTCAGGAGGCTGAGGCAAGAAAACTGCTTGAACCCAGGAGGCAGAGGTTGCAATGAGCCAAGATCATGCCTTTGCACTCCAGCCTGGTGACGGAGCGAGACTGTCTCAAATACAAAAACAAAACAAAAAATATATACAGTTATTTTTAAAGCCAAGAGATAGAAAACCAAAAGATATTCAAATAATTCAAAAGAATCCAGGAAAGAGCCAGGCACGGTTGTTCATGTCTGTAATCCCAACAGTTTGAGAGGCCAAGGCAGGCAGATTCTTTGAGCCCAGGACTTAGCAGCCTGGGCAACATGGAAAGACCCCATCTCTCCAAAACAAAATATTAAAAAATTAGCCAGACATGGTGATGTGTGCATGTAGTCCCAGCCACCCAGGAGGCTGAGGCAGGAGGATTGCTTGAGCCTGGGAATCAGAGGTTGCAGTGAACAGAGATCATACCACTGCACTCCAGCATGAGCAACAGAGCAATTCCCTCTCTCAAAAAAAAAAAAAAAATTCAGAAAAGGAGAAAAAGGAATGAAGAAAAAAAGGAGAAAAACAGAAAACAAATAATAGAATGATAGATCCAACTATATTAACAGTTACATTAAAGGTAAATGTTCTAGAAACACCATTTAAAAGCCAGTTTGTCATTTTGGTTAAGAATACAAGACCCAACTATATGCTATATATTAGAAGTCCACTTTAAATGACGTAAGTATGTAAAAAGTAAAAGGATGGAGAAAGATATACCATGTAAAGATTGGCTGAGCACAGTGGCTCATGCCTGTAATCCCAGCACTTTGAGAGGCTGAGGCGGGCAGATCACCTGAGGTCAGGAGTTCGAGACTGGCCTGGCCAACATGGTGAAACCCTGTCTCTACTAAAAAAAAAAAAAAAGCCAGGTGTGGTGGAGGGTGCCTCCATGAGAGGCTGAGGCAGGAAAATTGCTTGAACCCAGGAGGCTCACTAGCCAAGATCCTGCAACTGCACTCCAGCCTGGGTCACAGAGTGAGACTCCATCTCAAAAAAGAAAAGATACACCATGTAATGACTAATCAAAAGGAAGCTGGAATGGGTATATTAATCAGATAAAATAGACTTCAGAACAAGGAAAATTAACAAGTTTGTAGAGGTAAATTGCATACTAATAAAGTGGTCACTCAAGACATAATAATTCTGTATGTATGCAGCTAACAACAGAGTGTCAAAATACTGTACATAAAACAAAAACTAATAAAATAGGAGAAATAGATAATTCTGCAATTATAGATGGGAATTTCAGTTTTCCTCTCAGTAATCAATAAAGCAAGTAGACAGAAAATCAGCAAGAATGTAGAAGGCTGGAAAACCATTAGCCAAAAAAGAAAATTCCAGGCTCAGATTTAAGGAATAAATAAGACCAATTCTATACAATCTCTTACAGAAAATAGAGGAGAAAGAAATAATTTGCAACTCATTTTAAGAGCCAGCATTACCCTAACATTACTAGAGAAAGATATTTCAAAAATAAGATCAATATCTTGAACACAGACGCAAAAATCCCCAACAAGATATTGACAAATTGAATACAGCAATATATAAATAAAATTTTCTTTCAGGAATGCAAGGTTGTTCCCACATTTGAAAATCAATGTAGTCCACCATATTAACAGATTGAAGCATAGAAACATGATTTTATGAATAGATGCAGAAAACCCATTTGACACAATTCAACATCCATTCTTTTTATTTATTTTTTTAAGACAGGGTCTCACTGTAGCTCAGTCTGGAGTGCAGTGGTGGCAATCACGGCTCACTGCAGCCTGGACCTCCTGGGCTCAAGCAGCCCTGCCTCAGCCTCCTAAGTAGCTAGGACTACAAGTGCCCACCACCATGTTTGGCCAATTTTATAACTGTTTATAGAGACAGGGTCTCACTGTGTTGCCCAGGTTGATCTTGAACTCCTGGGCTCAAGCAATCCTCCCGCTTCAGCCTCCCAAAGTTCTGGGATCACAGGCATGAGCCATTGTGCCCAACCTCTACATTCTTTATTGATAAAACTCAATGGAATATGAATACAAGAGAACTTCCTTAATTTAATAAATTGAACTATAAAAAAAACTTGGCAGCTAACATAATTCTTTTTTTTCTTTTTTGAGATGGAGTTTCACTCTTACTGCCCAGGCTGGAATGCAATGGTGCGATCTCAGCTCACCGCAACCTCCGCCTTCCGGCTTCAAGCGATTTTCCTGCCTCAGCCTCCTGAGTAGCTGGGATTACAGACATGCGCCACCATGCCTGGTTAATTTTGTATTTTTAGTAGAGACAGGGTTTCTCCATGTTGGTCAGGCTAGTCTTGAACTCCTGACCTCAGGTGATCTGCCCACCTTGGCCTCCCAAAGTGCTGGGATTACAGGCATGAGCCACCGCGCCTAGCCGCTAACATCATTCTTAATGGTGAAGGGCTGATTAATTTGCCTAAGATTGGGAAAAAGGCAAAAATGTTCTTAGCATTTCTGTTTAACATCGTGCTAAAAGTCCTGGCCACTGTGATGAGGCAAGAAACAGAAGTAAGAGGCATACAGATTGGAGAAAATAAAACAGAACTTTCTCTATTCACAAACAATGTGAGTGTTTATGTAGAAGATTTGAAGGAATCTGCAAAAAAACTGCTAGAACTAATTAGCACAGTTAAAATATAGAATGCATGATTAACATATAAAAATCACATTGCTATATGTTAGCAATGAGCAATTCAACGTCATTTTTTTATTTTAATATCACAGTTTTTATTTAAACTGTACTTACAGTAACAAATACAAGCAGAGTTAAGACCAAACACAGTTGGTCCTTGACAAATATATAAAACATATAACTCAACTGATGTAGCTCTCAGCTCTGCTAGAGAGCAGTGTACAGCAGCAAGCAGTTAGCATATGGGGGACTTCAGTCATTGTGGCAGTTGGGGGTAATTGGGTAGTTGACTGCTTAACTCAGGGAATTGGAATATATATCTGTTAATCGGGGTAGTTGGTTAAATGGGTTGCTTAAGAGTTTCTAGTCTATCTTGTTCTGCCCACTTCTTGGTCTTTCCAGCCCCTGGAATTGTATAGCAAAGCACTCCCTCACTCTCTGGATCATATAGATCTCATGTTTAACTTCTTCAGAGTGTACATTCTTTGTCCCTTATTCAGCTTTGTATTTTCAATGTAATATTGCTTACACAGTTTTCTAACATTCTGAGACTTAGTGAAGATTTGCAAGTATAGTACAAAGAACTACCCCTGCCCAGCTGTTTGAGAGTAATTTACTGACCCGAGCGTCTTCAGTGTGGAGTGCTTGAGTTTGTGTTTCCCACAAACAAGGACATTTCATGTTAACTATAATTGAGCTCTCAGAATCAGGAAGCTAAACGGGATACATAACTACCATATAATCCTCATACCCCATTCAAGTTTTTTTAAATGTCAACATCAACATTTTAAACGAAGTACTATTTATAATAGTTGCCCCAAAATAAAATACTTCGGTTTAAGTCTAATAAGATATCTGTGGAATCTATATGCTAAAAACTAGAAACACTGATTTAAAAAATCGAAGATCTGAATAAATGAAGAAATACTGTTCATGGATTAGAAGACTCATCCCTAGTTATGATTTCAAATCTCCCTAGTATATCTATAGTATTAGTGAATTCTAAGTCAACTCCCAAGCAAGACCTTTTGTAGATATAGACAAGATTGTTGTAAAATTTAGATGAAAAGGCAAAGTAGCTTTGAAACAAAAAATTGGAAGACTCATCTTACTTGATTTTAAGATTTACTGTAAAGGTACAAGAATTGAGATACTGTGACACAAGATGGTGTGACACAAGACGGTAACCACGTAGATTGGTGAAAAAGAGTCCAGAATTAAACCCTCACAAATACAGTCAATTGTTTTGTTGTTGTTGTTGTTGTTTGTTTAGAGACAGGATCTTCTCACTGTGTCACCTAGACTGGAGTGCACTGTTGTGATCATGGTTCACTGCAGCCTCGAACTCCTGGGCTCAAGCCATCTTTCTTGCCTCAGCCTCCTGAGTAGTTGGGACTACAGGCATGTGCTACTGCCCTGGGCTAATTTATTTTTATTTTGAGACAAGGTCTCACTTCGTTGCCCAGGCTGAAGTGCAGTGATGCAGTCTTGGCTCACTGCAACCTCTGCCTCCTGGGCTCAAGCGATTGTCATGCCTCAGCCTCCTAAGTAGCTGGGATTACAGGAGTGCACCACCACACCTGGCTAATTTTTTGTATTTTTAGTAGAGATGGGATTTCACCATGTTGTACAGGCTGGTCTCGAACTCCTAGCCTCAAGTGATTTGCCTGCCCTGGCCTCCCAGAGTGTTTGAATTACAGGTGTGTGCCACTGTGCCCAGCCCTAATTTGTTTTGTTTCTTGTAGAGATGGGGATCTTGCTTTGTTGCCCAAGGTGGTCTCGAACTCTAGGCCTCAAACAATCCTCCTGCCTCAGCCTCCCAAAGTGCTAGGATTATAGGCATGAGCCACCACGCCCAGCCTATGGTCAACTGACTTTTCACAAAGGAGAAAAGGTAATTTTTAGGAGAAAGGATAGTCTCTTCAACAAAAGATTAGTTAGAACAACCCGGCAACCACATGTAAAAACCTCAGGTATACCTCACTTCTTGTACAAAAATTCACTCAAAATGAACTGTAGACCTACATGTACAATGTAAAACTATAAAATTACTAGGAGAAATTATGACCTTGGGTTAGGCAAATAATTTTTAGATATGACACTAAATATAATGAAATTTTTAAATGGATAAGTGGGTCTTCATAAAAATAAACTTGTCATCTGCAAAATACACTGTTAAGGGAATGGAAAGATGACTTGGAAAAAAATACTTGCAAATCACATATCTAACAAAGGGCTTATAGCCACAATATATAAAGAACTCTTAAAACTTAGCAATAAGGGAAAACTGAATAAAGAATGGGCAGCAGATGTGTACAGACACTTCATGAAGGAAGATATATGAATGACAAAAAAAATCACATGAAAAGATGAAGAGATGTACACCATCATTTATTAGAGGAGTGCAAAAGAAAACCATGAGATACATCTGCACACTTATTAGAATGGCTCGACACACACAGCTGACAGTACTGGAGTCCTGGAGATGATATGGAGCAACTGGAACTCATAATCACTGGTGGAAGTGCAAAATGGTACAGCCACTTTGGAAAACCATTTGGTGGCTGCTATTAAACATACAGTTTCCATGTGATTTAGCAGTCCCACTCCTAGCTATTTACCCTAGAGATATTCACACAGAAACCTGTACATGAATGTTTATAGAAGCTTATTCATAATGATCCATAACTGGAAACAATCCAAATGCCTTTCAATTGTTGACTGGATAAACAAACTCTGGTACCTCCATACAGTGGTATACTTTTCAGCAACGAAAAGGAACAAACTTTTTTGTTTGTTTGTTTTTTGAGATGGAGTCTCATTGTGTCGCCCAGGCTGGAGTGCAGTGACACTATCTCGGCTCACTGCAACCTCAACCTCTACCTCTCGAGTTCAAGTGATTCTCTTGCCTCTGGCTTTCTAGTAGCTGGGATTACAGGTGCGTGCCACCACACCTGGCTAATTTTTGTATTTTTGTAGAGATGGGGTTTCGTTCATCATGTTGGCCGGGCTGGTCTCAAACTCCTGACCTCAGGTGATCCACCTGCCTCAGCCTCCCAAAGTGCTGGGATTACAGACATGAACCACCACACCCGGCCAAAAAGGAACAAACTATGGATACACTTAATGACATAGGTACATATTTACATGTATTGATTCCATTTATGTGACATTCTGGAAAAGGCAAAAGGGAGGAAGAACTGATTAGTGGTTAGCCCAGGGTTAGAGTTGGGGAGAGGATATAATGAGGGAACTTTTTTGGATTCTGTACCATGATTATGATTACACAAACCTATGCATACATTGAAACACATAGAACTATACGTTGAAAAAAGTGAATCTGCCTGTATGTAAATTTAAAAGAAAAATATTTTTTTAAAAAAACAGATGCTTCTTAACACATTATCATCTATGTCAGTTTAACAGTTAGTAGACTTAGGCCAGGTGTCATGGCTCACTCCTGTAATCCCAGTGCTTTGGGAGTCTGAGGTGGGACGATCTCTTGAGACTAGGAGGGAGTTTGAGACAAACCTAGGCAATGTAATGAGACTCTTTCTCTACAAAAAATTTTAAAGTTATCTGGACATGGTGGTGCCTGCCTGTAGTCCCAGCTACTTGGGAGGCTGAGGTGGGAGGATTCCTTGAGCCCAGAAGTTCAAGGCTACAGTGTGCTATGATAGAGCCACTGCACTCCAGCCTGGGCAACCAGGTGAGACCTTGTCTCTAAAATGAATAAATAAATAAATAAAACAAAAACAGTTAATAGAGTTAAAAAGTAAGGAAATTCTGACACATGCTACAACATGGATGAACCTTAAAGACATTACGCTAAGTGAAACAAGTCAGTCACTAAAGACAAATGCCATATGATTCCTTATCTGAGATACCTACAGTAGTCAAATTCATAGAGATAGAAAGTAGGACGGTGGTTGGGGGAGTGGGGAAAATGGGCAGTTAGTGTTTAATGGGCACAGAACTTCTGTTTCAGATGATGAAAAGTTCTGAAGGTGGATAGTGCTGATAGTTGCACAACAATGTGAACTTACTGAATGCCACGGACCTAACATTTAAAAATAGTTAAATGGTAAATTTAATATTATGTATATTTTATCACAATTTTAGAAAGTTAATAGATTACATAATATTGCTTATTCACAGGTCTTGATTTAGAAATGCAGGAAAAATATCTTTATGTACTCCTCATTTTGCTCATTTTGAGTTCTTTAAACATCAAAAAAGTTAATCCATTAACTATTTCAAATAAGTCATATATGATTTCTGTATAATATGTTGCCATGGAATTTTGTTAATCACAGAGTAAGTTAAACTATGCTATAAGAGCAAAAAGCTTGCTTTGAATGCTTCTGCAAAGCCCTAGGCAACAGGAAAAGCAATATTTCCTCCCTTAATTATTACAGGGAGGTCACTGATCGTTACATAATTGCCCCGATTCTCATCCTGAGGATACAAGAAAGAATGCTCTGGAAGAGGGCTGCTTTGCAAGGACATGATCAGGCTGTGTCCTGGGAGGACTACAATAGAGCTTTAGAAGGTATAGGGTTTGCCCACAGTTTAAACTAGCTTCTCAACAATAGAACTCTATGCTTTTTCCAACTAGGACATATGTGAACTGTGCAGGTTAGGCTATTGTGGTTGTGTGAGAGCTCTCCCTTGAGCCAGCCTAACTCTAGATGAAAAACAGAATATGAGATGTTGAGAGGATAAAGTCCTTCCTGCATTCAGAAGGGCTTAAAGCCGAGGAAAGAAAAGAGAGATGTATCCCAGGAAATGGTATTTTTTAATGGCCATTTCAAATCGTTTTAATATTGTTATATTGTTTATTCTATCAAAAATATTTAACAAAGAGGAAAATAATAAACGTTGTACGCTGACTTTGTTCTTCAGGCAGCATATCATCATAGGATAAATGGCAAGGTCTGCCTGCTGTGCTTTTAATGGCAACAGAAAAACTGAAGCAAGACTGCTGTCATAAAGCTTAATGCTAATTTTTGTATTTTTAGTAGAGACAGGGTTTTGCCTGTAATCCCAGCCACTTGGGAGGCTGAGGCAGGAGAATCGCTTGAACCCAGGAGGTAGAGGTTGCAGTGAGCCATGATCGTGCTGCTGCACTCCAGCCTAGGCAACAGAGCAAGACTCCATCTCAAAAAAAAAAAAAAAAAAAAAAAGCTTAATACTGAGTCACAAATGTTCATGACCGTATTTAAGAGAATGAAGGCTAAATGACACATCCATCTTTTTGGTAGGTTGCATTATCATTTGAAATATTTGTTGCCCCTCCCTGAGTTCACCTTCCTGCAGAAAGATGATAACTTACCTGGCTGTTAAGGTCTAGCACACTCAATTTGCTTGCTCTATGCCTAGAGCATTGTGAGGAAAAGTGACATATGTCACTTTGGAGGAGAAACATTAAGAACAAGCACCTGGTTTGCTGCATCTTTTATTCCTCTACTATAAGACCAGCTACAGCCAAAATAAGACCTGCTCTATGAGTCTGGGTCTATGTGTGGAGCAGATTTGCAGCTGACCCATAATAGGCGTATGATGTGAGCCGGAAATAAACCTCTGTTTATTTGGGGTTGTTTGTTCCTGCATCATTACTTTAGCTTATCCTGACTGTTGCATTTTCCATCCAAATAACAGCAGCATCATAAACATTTATATAATTTGTATAACAGTTTGCTTAGGCTTCTTATGTACCTATTTACCCTTTCCCAAAATCCAAATTTACTCAGTTTCATCTTCTTGACAACAGAATCCCAACTTCATTCCAGCTGCAATATGCCCAACCCCAGCATGTGTCCAACTACAGTTCAATTATTCTAAGCCAATCACAGCAACTCAGTTCTCCCTTGAAAGTCATTGGCCTAGGGGTTAGCATATGAGTCAGTTCTGAACAATGAGCCTTAAGGAGAATCTGCCTAAGATTTCAGGAGTATCTTTCTTTTCTGATAAGAGCAGCATGCAAAGTCAGAAAGCCTTTTTTGTCCTCTTCCCATCACTTTCAGCTTTAAAAGCCATAATAGAAGAATGTGGTGCTCGAGCTCTGACCATGAAGATAAACACCAGTGTGCCCTGAAAGCAATGGAGTCAAGGATAGAAAGAGCTGGATCCTTGACATAACTGAACCATCCACTCACCCACAGGACTGCCTACCTGGACTTCACAGTGAACTGTTAATGTCTTTATGGTTTAAGCCATATGTCTGATTTTTCTGTTTCTTGCTGCCAAAATCATCCTAACTGACAAAACCTTCATGGACACAGCATTGTTCACATGGCCCATTTCACAAGGAGTTCATCTTTATGACTGCCCCAGATAGGCCTTGAATTTACCAGTTACTTAAAAAAACCACAATGAGAGTCAAAGGAATTTTGGGCCTTTGCTTAATTTGACTGCTCTAAACCCAGCTCAGACCTTGATGAAGTCCTCTTTAATATGCATTGAACAAAACCATCAGCTCCCTGTGGTCATTTATTGTAGGTCCTTTGTCTCTATAAGGTCCTAGGAGCTACCTAGTCCTGTTTCTTCCCCCTGCCCCACCCCCTCCCCATCTCTACCACCAAACCCCAATGTACAATTTCAACAGCAAAACAAAGTTAAGCCAGAAGAGCTGCCAGTGTCCCTGTCTTGAGCTCTCCCTATTGTATCCTAATGCTGCAATAAGATGAGTGCAGAGGGACCTCATGGCTTAAGCCCCAAAGAGTACTATGTGCATCGATCCTCAATCCTCGCTCCCAGTCACCGAGATGAGCAGCAAATGCCTCAGGGTAGATCATGGATTTGGGCAAATAGGAATGCATCTAAATGCTCAACAGAAGTTTGGTTTTTTCAGTTTCTTGGAATAGTCTCCATGTTGGCCTTCTGTTATCATCTATTATTTCCAGATGTTCCTTGTTTTGTTTTGTGTCTAGTTTTCTACTTCCCAAACCATGTTTTGCTACTCAACCTTTTTCTTATGTCTGTGTTTGTGGACCCTAGAAAAGGTCTCAGAAATGTGATCTTCTTTTAATTTTTCTTGGTATCTTTTTTCTTTGTGTCCTCGCAGTGTGGTTTCTGGACACCATGTAGGAGTGTTACTTTGATTTCAGGTTTTTGGAAACACATAACAAATATCTCAATTTTTCTGGCACTACTTTCTTTTCATCTTTGTTTTACATCGTGTATTTCACTTCTGCCAAAAATGTTATTTTGATACTTGGTGTCCCTTTTTATTGTCTTTGCTACCATATTCTTGTTAATAAGAAAGAAATATACAAAACTTGTACGGTTACTTAATCCTGGTGGCTGCTTTGAAAAATTCCACTCAGAACAGTTAAGCTGCTGTTAAGCTAATACAGTTTTTTTGTAAATGGTCCAAATTGATCTTCATTAAATAACTTCCTGTTTTTAATTTGTACTATCCTATTTTAATTTGCTTAGTATAAATTAGGTAGTAATTGGCTATGAGATATTTGCAGTCTTTCTCTACTTTCTATTTCCTGCATTTTATAGTTAGACTGCCCCTAGGTCAAGTTTTGTTGTTACTCAGCACCTGTGAGTTCTTAGCATTCTTTCTTAGATTTATGCTTTGAATTAGAAAAGCTTTACCAAAAAAAAAAAAAAAATCTGTTTTCTGCATGTTGTCCCATAAAATTTTCTTTGGATGCACGAATGCACGAAGCTCTTACAGAGTTTAATGGTTACTTCACCTTGTTGATTTATTGTGGTTTTTTTGCTGGAGCATTTTCATTCTTCTATCAGCTTGCAGAAACCTTGAAACATCTGTGTGGCAACATGGAAGTGAAAAGCACATTTAACTGCTTTGTTGCTGCGTATCATGTGGCAAATAAAAGCCATAGGCCTTCAATGTCCCAGGCAGCCAGTGTTGTACAAATGGCTTGTATTCTAACAGTCTATGCTAGCTGGTTATTTGAAGTGCATTTCCCCATGGAAACAAGGATAAGAGGGGCACTTAAGTTTCTAGGTTAGTTCATAAAAGCCTGTTCTACCCAGAATATAACTAAAATTATGTGCATTGCAATGAATAAGAGCAGAATATTGTAATATCGGTAACCTAAGTAGCCAGAAAAGTCACAAAACTCAATAAGAAAGAAGCTTTTAAAAACATTTACTGAATGGTGATTGTCAAGGAAAAACAAATTTAGCTAGATAGGGATGTAGAGAAATACTCTTATCATTCCAACAGGGATGATTGAAGGACGTGACACTAGTTTTATTTATTATATATGTTTCTCTTTAAAATAAAAGTAAACAACTTGGCATAGTTTCAAAATATTCTTCAATATACTTTTTTAAATAATCAGGTAAAAGATGATAAATGTAAATTTAATAAGAACTTCTTTTGATTTGTTTTGTTTTGTTTTTTTGATAGAGTTGTGCTCTCTCACCCAGGCTGGAGTGTAGTGACGTGATCATGGCTCACTGTAGCCACGATCTCCTGGGTACAAGCAATCCTCCCACCTCAGCCTCCCGAGTAACCGGGACTACAGGTGTGCACCACCATGCCCTACTGAATTTTTTTAATGCTTATTTTTTAGTAGAGACGAGGTCTCCCTATGTTGCCCAGGCTGCTCTCAAGCTCCTGGGTTCAAGTGATTTACCCACCTTGGCCTCCCCAAGTGCTGGGATTACAGGCACGAGCCACTGTGCCCGGCCAAGAAAGTTTTAAGAAGTGAAAAACATCGTGGTTTCCTTCTTGTTTGAGAAAGTTATATCAAAGACACTTTTTATTTCATTTAGCAGCCATGACTTCACCCTCCTTTGGTCCTTTCATTAAAGGAACAGATGAGGGTTCATTGTCTGCTAAGTGACAGGTGCCGGGTGGAATATGGCAGCAACAAGAGAGACCAAAGAGTGGCACATTGGTTTATTGAGAGAGTGAACAATATCTGTGGCAGAGATTTTCCAGTGCAAATGGGGGCAAGAAAGAAAAAAGTGAAGGAGGAAGGGAATTCCTAAAGACGTAGATGGGAGAAGATTTCCTGAGAAGGAATGAATTGAGCTGGGAATGCAAAAGGACAAGATGGAGAAGGTAACTAGAATATTGGACTCACTGGAGAGGAGACAAGAAAGTAGGGAGAGAGACAACTTAGATCAGACAGTGATCACCCAAGCTGAGGGGTGACGTTGTCCACCCCAAAACAACTTCTTGTGACCTAAGGTGAGAAGAGTGAGAAGGGATGGGGAATCAATTTCAGCACAATTAAAGGGAAGGAGCTGTTTTGCAAGATGGATGTTAGAAGCTATAGGAAGTAAAGCACAGGAAAAAGGCTGATTTGGCAGAGATTTTGCTCAGATAAATTCCATGGTTTCCAAGAGTCAATCATAAGAGATCCTTTGAGAAATGTCCAGAAGTTGCCATTTTTATCTATTTCTTCGCAACAAAATGCTGTTTCACATTTATTATAAGGTGATAATGTGTGATAATAAATTGACTAGTTTATTGAGGGGACAGAGTTGGAAAGAGCTAAGTAACTGGGGCCCCTGGAAACACTGAATCAAGAAGTGTCACTCTCTGCAGGGAGGGCAGGAGCTGAGCTCATGAACTAATACCTTGCTCACCCCATTCCTAGCCTCCTTGAGTTGCAGATGCTTTTGGTGATATATCCTCATTTTCACTTTAAAGAGTTCTTAACATTTGTTGTAAATGTATTTAAAAGATTCACCTAGTTAGACCTGTACCCAGTCCCTGCACCCCTAGAAAGATAGCCCATCACCCGTAATTCCCTTAAAGGGCCAGACGAGCTCAGAGACTAAGAGCCGAGAGTGGAGCCAGAACACCTGGGTTTGAATCCGGACTCAAATGACACAGTCATTTCCCAGCAGTGCTGTGTGACTTTGGGCAAGTTACTTAACTTCTCTGGGCCCAGTCTTCATATGTAAAGTTGTATAATAATAGTACTTAGATCATAGGGTTACTTTGGACATTGAATGGGTTAACAGATGTGAAACTCTTAGAAAAATGCATGGCTCCAACTAGTGTTAACTTTAAAAAGCAAAACAAAAGAAAACAAAACTTAAAATTCCTTTGCCGGTTACTCATATTAACAAAAACAATTACATATGTTGCTGTATGTATATTCATTTACCTTCAGAAGCATTCTAGTAAATGCGAGCCATCATGTGAATGGTAAGAGGCTGGCTTAGCCCCTCTGGCTTAGCCCCTCTGGCTTAGCCCACCTCCAGCACCAACTGTCAGAAGAGCTCTAAGACTAATGGATCTAAACCTAGTTCACTTTAAGTCATTGACCAGCTTTGTTGATTGCATTTTGCTGTAGCAATGTTAGAAACCATATACATTAAATGCTCCTGATCTTCCTCAGAGATGGCCCTGCTCAAAGATGCTGATAATATTTATCTGTGTGTGGATGTAGCTAAATTTCTTTTAAGTAAGTCCATGGAGGAAATAAAAAATACCTCATAACTTTCCCTTTCATCTTTGGATGCCTTCCTTCCAGCAGAGTTTATGTGGAACAAAAACCTGTCTTTCTAGCCAGTTCTGGCCCCACACAAGCCAGTGATGTAATCAAAGTTCATCCTTGGGGCACTTCCTACCTGGGCTTTAACCCCTAGTCTGATCTCTGTCACCATACCTACTCTATACCCTCATCCTCACCTCTGTCTTAATGAAAATATATTGAACATATTTTAAACAGGTAAATAAATGTTAGAGGCCCAGTGTATAGCTCCTATCCTGGGAAAAGCCTGCCTGTCGCTTATTCTTCTCCCATGGAAGGCCTTCTCTACATCCTATCTTTCTGCATTTAGATAAAATATGCCTAATTCCAAGGGATTTTGTGAGGGGGGGCAGGAGGAGTTATCAATAATATAGTGGACATAAAATGGGATATTTTAAGGGAGAAGGAAAAGAGGAAAAGGTGTGGAAAAAAAAAACCCAAGAGCAACAAAGTAGTGGGGGAAACCACAGCAGAAAAGGCATTAGAGAAGGAAAGAGAGGCGAAGTAGAGAAGAGAGTTAGCTCCTTTTGTGGTCAGCGTCATGAGAAGCAAGTTGAACAGGGCAAGGTTTAGGAAAGGGTCCTCTGGCAGATTTAGGAGGTCAGGTAGGGAGGATTACTGAAAAGCCTTAGTTGTGAACTACACTGAGGCAACAATATGGTCCATCCAACTGGGGGCATGGCAGAGGTGTTAAGTCAGATTGGCAAGTGGCCCAAATTGTTGGTCAGGCTCTGGCCAGGTAAGCCAATTGGCCAGAGGTCAGCACCATGGATAGTCCCAAAGGATTTGTGGACTCTGGAGAGAAGTGAAGAGAACCCTACATATTTGGTGACAGACTAAAGTTTGGTGTTTTTTTTAGCTCAGCCCCTAAGGCTGTTTTGGTTCTACCTATATTCAAAAACAACATTTATTGAGCACCTATTGTGTGCCAGACACCCTTACTAGTTCTGGAGAATGACAAAGAAATGAGATGATACTGTCTGCCCTTAAGAAGCTTACTACTCCCTGGATAAACTAGAAATTTTTAAAAATGAAAATAATGATATGGCCCTCTTGAGGGAGGAGGGTGGGAAGAGGGAGAGGATGAGAAAAAAAATAATTGTTGAGTACTATGCTTAGTACCCAGGTGACAAAATGCTCTGTACCTCAGACTCCTGTGACATGAGTTTGCCTGTATTAACAAACCTGCACATGTACCCCTGAGCCTAAAATAAAAATTAAAAAGTGAAATAAAGAAAATAATAATAGCTAATATTTATTGAGCAATTACTATATACAAAGTACATAATTCTAACTGCTATACATAAATTATTTTATTGAATTCTCTCAACAACCTTATGAAGGAGGTATTAGTATCCTTATAGATGATGAAGCTGAGGCACGTAGAATTTAAGAAACTTTCTTTGTTACGTACCTTGTTAGAAATAAAGCCAGGATTTAAACCCACACACTCTGACTCTGTGTCCATGTTTTTAATTACCACACTATCTTGTCTGCAGTTCGTAACAATAGTAATAGATATCATCTATTACCTGCACCGTGCAGCGATACATGCAAAGCATAGGGGAACACGGGAGGTGCGCTTAAATCAAAACTGGGGCTGGGAACAGGGGACAAATTCAGGGAAGTTATTTACCAAAGGTGGTGCCTGGCCCGAGCCTTGAGAAAAGATGCATGTGTCATGGAGAAGGTGTAGCAGAAAGCACAGCATGCTTAATCTGACAGTGCCAGGCCTGTTGGAGGCCTGAGGTGCCAATTAACTGCCCCCTCCATGCCTCAGATTCTGACTGGTGGATAAGGGATTGAAAAAGCTAAACAAGGACCAAAGTGTGAGATGTACCTGATTCCTTCCAAAACACAGAACTCCCCTGCGGAGGTTTGGAAAACAGTGATAGAATGAAAGATGTGTCATTTTGCCTTTGCATTCCTGTACCTCAATCAAAGAGGAATTGAGATTTTAGTACAGTTTTTGGATACAAGGTCAATATTCAATAAGCAGTACCCTTTAGACATGGAAATCCTCAACAAAATATTAGCAAAAGTAAATCCAGTAATATGTAAAAAGGATAATACATCATAACTAACAGGAGTTTATTCTGGAAATAAAAGGTGGATTTAACATTTGAAAACTAAACAATGTACTTGGCCATATTAACAGACTGAAGAAGAAATACCATATGATCATCTCAGTAGATACTGAGAAAGCATTTGTCAAAATTTAACACTCATTCATGATAAAAGCTTTCAGCAAGCTAGGATTAGAAAGGAACTTCCTAAAACTGATAAAGAGCGTCTTCTTAAACATTTACAGCTAATAGTCTTTTTTTTTTTTTTTTTTTTGAGACAGGGTCTGTTGCCCAAGCTGGGCAGTGCAGTGGTGTGATTGCAGCTCACTGCAACCTCTGCCTCCTGGACTGAAGCAACCCTCCCACCTCAGCCTCCTGAGTAGCTAGGACTACAGATGTGCCACCATGCCCGGCTAATTTTTGTATTTCTTGTAGAGATGGAGTTTTGCTATGTTGCCCATGATAGTCTCCAACTCCTGGGCTAAAGCAATCTGCTATCTCAGCCTTCCAAAGTTCTGGGATTACAGGTGTGAGCCACCATACCTGGCCAATATTCTTAATTATAAAAAACTGAATACTTTCCCCCTAAGATGAAGTGCAAGGCAAGGAAATCTTTTCTCACCACTTCTATACAATATCATACTGGAAATCTTAACCAAAGCAAGAAGGCAAGAAAAAGAAAAGGGGTACAGATTGGAAAGGAAGAAATTAAATAGTTTCTGTTCACAGATGACATTGTTGTCTATAGAAAACCCAAAGGAATCTACCAAAAAAAAAAAAAAAAAAAAAAGCCCTAGAACTAATTGACGTCAGTTTTGCAAGTTGTGGGATACAAGGTCAATATACAAAAATCAATTGTATAAAATTTTATACTTTTTTGTTTGATACAGGGTCTCACTCTCTTGGTCAGGCTGGAATGCAGTGGCACAATCATAGCCCACTGGAGCCTCAAACTCCCAGGCTCAAGTGATCCTCCCATCTCAGCCTCCTGAGTAGCTAGGACTACAGGCATGCACCACCACATCTGGCTAATTTTTAAATATTTTGTAGACACGGAGTCTTATTATGTTGCCAGGGCTGGTCTTGAACTTTTGGCCTCAAGCGATCCTCCCAAAGTGTTAGGATTATAGGGTCAGCCACAGTTTTTGTATTAAAAAATAGAAATCCGAATCAGAGGACAGCACCATTTACCACTAAAAATAAAATACTTAGGTAAAAATCTAACCAAATAGGTGTTGAATATTTTATACTGAAACTATTAAACATTGATGAAAGAAGTCAAGAGACCTGCGTAAATGGAAAGATATTGTGCTCATGTATTGAAAGACTTAATCTTATTAAGATATCATTTCTTCCCCAAATTAACCTATAGATTCAATACAACCCTAACTAAAATCGTACCAGGTATTTTTGTAGAAATGAAAGGCTGATTCTAAAATTTACATGAAAAGGCAAAGGAACTAGAATAGCCAAAACAAATTTGAAAACAGAAGAACAAAACTGAAAAACTCTGATTTGAAGACTTTCTATAAAACCATAGTAGTCAAGACAGCATGTTACTGGCAAAAGAGTAGACATATAGATCAGTGGAACAGAAAAGAAAGCCCAAAAATGGATGCAACACAACTGTAGTCAATTCATTTTAGACTAAGGTGCAAAGGCAATTTAATAGGGAAAAGATAGTATTTTCAACAATTAGTTCTGTAAAAATTGGATATCCACTTGCCAAAAAAAAAAGTACTTCCACACATACTTCATTCACACTTCATATAAGAACTGACCCAAAGTGGATCGTAGGCCTAAATATAAAACATTATACAATTATTAGAAGAAAATACAGGAGAAAGTTCTCTTGGGTTGAGCCAAGAGACTTTAGATATGGCATCAAACCATGATCCATAAAAGAAAATTTAGGTAAAAACCAGAACAGACACTTCACTAAAGAAGTGACTGCATCATTTTATATTTCTACCAGCATTGCTTGAGGGTTCCAATCCACATCCTTGCGTACACTTATTTTCTGTTTTTTTTAAAAAATTATTATAATCATCATAATGGTGTGAAGTAGTATCTCATTGTAGGTTTGATTTGAATTTCCTAATAACAAACGATGCTGAGTATCTTTTCTTGTGCTTATTGGCCATTTGTATAACTTCTTTTGAAAAATGTCTATTCAAATCCCTTGCTCACTTTTTAATTGGATGGTCTTTTTTTGTTCGGTTTAAGTGTTCTTTATACATTCTGGACACTAGACCCTTATCTGATATATAATTTTGTGTGATAAAGAATTTGGCTGGCTTTTGTCTCTAGCTCCTGGGAGGTAGCATTGAAACCCTTGGAATTTCCCAGGGGACAAGAATGTTTTTGTTATTTATGGTGGGCACCTCAGACCATACCTGATAGTTTATGCTATGGAGGTGATTCATGGTAGACTCCTTAAGCTAAAATACACTCAATCTTTTTGATATGAACCATTGGACCAAATACATCTATTATGGACTTAATGGGGTTATATTCCTTTTTCAGTTACACATTCAAGTTTAGAGACATTATAAATGGCATTTAAATAACAATGGTTTGCAATTGGTAAATAAGTAGGTTCACCACAATTCCTCATAATAACCTTTTATATCTCAAAGGCAGTTTTTGTCACCTCTTAGCCTTCTTAATCCAGGCAAAATAACTGTGAGGCCTCTTTCCATTTCTTTAATAATTCTGATGTATGTCTTTTTTCAAAAATTGTAAAGCCTCTTTCAATTTCTGTAATAATTCTGGTGTATGTCTTTTTTTCAGTGCTTAGAAGATTATATTCTTTTAAATTGTAAACATTGGCTCTAAATTCATGTTTTGTCGCAATTCCTTAGAATAGTATGTTATGAGAGGTAAAAACTGCCTTTGAAAATATGTAAGTAATACAGTCATCCCCTCTTATCTGCTGTTTCACTTTCCATGGTTTTAGTTACTGGCAGTACAGTACAATAAGCTATTTTGAGAGAGAGAGAGAGAGAGAGAGAGAGAGAGAGAGAGACTACATCGATATAACCTTTATTACAGGATATTGTTATAATTGCTCTATTTTATTATTGTTGTTGTTAATTTCTTACTGTGCCTAATTTACAAATTAAAATTTATCATAAGTATGCATGAATAGGAAAAAACAGTATATATAGGATTTAGTACTATCTGCAGTTTCAAGCATCCACTGGGAGTCTTCAAATGCATCCCCCCTATTGTACATTGGTTTGGATTATAGATGCAGTCAGCCAGTAGCATAAATAGAAAGCATGTATGCTTGACCTTTTATTTGCTTCTCAGACCCTCAACATTCAGCAGGAATCTGCTCTCTATATAAGAAATAAAATCTGTCTTTATCTGGAGACTAGGACAGTTTCACTGGGTTTAGAAAGACAGCATTTTCCACCTTGCACTAACATTTATAGTCATCCTCCATGCCCTGAAGTGTCCCATTTCTTTTGATTATCTGATCAACACAATGATATTATTTTGAACACTGAGTTTCCTGGGTACAAAAGGAGAAGCTGTCAGTTTAGTTGCACAAAGCAGTTTAGACTGATGATTGCAATAGATTCATGTGAATTTGCCAATACTTTGACCTTAATCCCTCTTCCTCAAAAATCAATGAAACTAAAATAAAACGATATTGGCAAACTGGCCTGTCATTCACAGTTACCATTTCTGAAAGATCACTGTAGAACTACCACAGTGCAGAGGAATTTAGATTTTTATAAACCCTTCATAATTAACCCATTATTCCTAGGTAGATTACTTGTGATTTTCATTCTATTTTATTTATGGTACTATTTTTGTGGTTTTTTTTTTTTACAATGAACATCTACTTTTTGGTGTTTTTAATTGTGGGAAAAATACTGAAAATCTACTTTTATAATTAGTACTTTTATAATTAGATATTTCCATTTTAGAATGGGGTCTATTGGCTTTTTATGATGAAAGAATCTTTGCTGAGATTTGCATTAAGACAAGTTCATATAAGGCACAACAGAGTAAACATCCACATACTCCTGATGATCTGATCTAGTTTTTGTTATTTTAAAAATTGGGTGTCAGATAGTGTTTTCAGTCTCTGCTAAATGTGCTTATGACCTCTTTCTCTCCCCATTTGTATTATCCTGCATTGGTCACCCAGCCTCAATGGGTGTCAGTTTCCTACTCTGTAAAACAGAACAAATGTTACTTTGTTATGAGGTTCAAAGCACTCAATAGAGCACCTAACAAGTAGATGGAAAAAAAAGGAGCTTTTTTTTTTTTCTGACTGAGAAAGACCAAATATTTTGTTCAGTTACTTATATGGCTTGATACCGAATTTCATTTGACATTTTGGATTCTGGTCACTACCTTTTCCTATGTTTAATGCTTCCAAATGGTCAGAGCCTTCAGTTTTCCTCTACATCTTTCTCATGATGTTCATGACAACTGTGTTATAAAGAAAAGAAGTAAAGATGTGACTTTGATGATATTGGAGCTGTTTATTCAACAGAGATTTACAGTGACATATCTAGGTTGTGCATTGGTCCAGTTTGCATAGAGGGAATATCAAGTTCCCAAACAGCAGCTTATCTGTTATGAGTTGTCCAGTGCCTGGGTTTTTTTCCACTCCTGACTGAGGCTTGAGTATCACCAGACACAGGGTTGGATCAGGCTTGGGAAAGGTGTTGGAGCTACTCTGCCAGAAGGTGAATAAGGGAAGGAGACTATTGACTTTCTTAGACCGAGCTGATAGGCAGTACATGTGAGAGAAAGATGAATAACAACAGAGTAAGGGTCAACTCCCACCCCCACCCCACCCACCCACACACACACACACATTAATTGTATGTAAAGGGCTGGTGCTAGCTGCTTTGAGAATCATAAAAGGAAGTGAAACAGAATGTCCCACCCTTAAGGAACTTATTCAAGATAGGCATCAAGGATGAGGCACATGAGTTAAACAGAGTTCACAGTTAAATATCAACATTAAAGATTCCAGTAGGCAGCCTCCGAATAGAGTTGACTGGTATAGAACCTGCTATGGTGACCCAGAGGAAAGAGAGAAAGCTGTGGGCTGATGGAATGAGCAAAGGTTTCACGGAAGACATGGGATTGGACACGTGGCAGAATTCAAATGGAGCTGAGCAATGGCATGAGAGCAGGAATGGCCAGATGTGTTAGGTAAGGATGTGCAGAAGCATTGTGGGAGGCAGAAGTGGGGCTGAGGCTGCAGAGATGGCAGGAATACGTGCCTTTGTATAAGTCAGGGTCCTGTTTCCTCATCCTCCTGAGAAGATGGAGCACACATTCCGCACCCTCCTTACCGTTCTGACCTTCTGTAATCCTGAGAGCTGACCTGTGGATAACAACTTGCTTTCAAAAGTGGGGATCTATTGGCTTGTGTGACTGAGAAGGACAAGAGCAGATCCAGGGAGGCTGTGTTACAGCTTGTCTACCTCCTGTTCCTCCACCTGGAAAGGCAGTTACGATGGGGTGGCTGAGACTGTGGGCTCCTCCCAGGCTGCCAGGGTTCACGTTTGGCTCCTCCTCTTTCTGGCTATGCTTCAGTTTTATCCTCTGATATAAAGAGTGACAATCATGGCAACTACCTCCAGGGTTCTTGTGTGAGAGTGCTCAGAAGAATGTCTGGTGCATAGGGAGGGCTTAATACATGCTAGCTATTAGTCTAATCTATGCTTGGCTGACTCTCTCAAGCTCCAACTACATTCAGGCTTCTGCTGCAGAGGAGAAAGCGGAAGCTGACCCCAGGTACCATCTTTATGACTCAGCCTTACAGCCAGGAGGCAGCCCCAGAATCCTATCCTGGGACATATGATGAGGAGCCTGGGGTGGAAAAAAATGGAGTGTTAGGTATACAAAGAGTGCTCCTCTGCACACACATCTGATCCTCACAACTGAGTCTATGGAGAAGCAAAGTATGTACTCTACATTTTAAGGGTGAAGAAACCAAGGTATTAAAAACTCAAGAGATTCCTGGGAAAATGACAAAACCAGGAATCCACCCAGGCCTGCCGCTCTGTTTCACTGTTATCACCAAATCTCAAAATGATTTGTTCCCATGAAATATAGAGTGCCTTTGATGTCCCCTGGAGATATTTTCATTATGAATGACAGCTGCTTCGGAGTCAATGAACAAGTGTTTATTGAGCACCTACTGCATTCAAAGTGCCAAACCCTGTCAGGAAATCAAAGCACAGTCAAGGATGAGTGACATATGGCTCCTGCGTGTGCAGGATTCATAAATGCAGTGCAGAAGACAGCACACCCAGGCTTACTTGGATACAGTGTAGCTTGGATCAATGGATCGAAGTTGCTTTTTAATGGGGTTTGGGGAGTAGAGTAGAACTTGGATTAGATAGATTGTTGATTCTTTATTTTGCTAAGAATATTTTTTAAAACACCACTATCTACAATCACTATCATTTCATAGAAAAAGAATATTTTAATTCCTAAAATAGGAAAGGCCAAAATTTCAGCATAAAGGGGGCCCTCTTAATTTTAACACTGAAATTGTACTACAAAATTACATTGTCCTTTTGTCATTTCACAGAGGACCAGTGAAGCTTTTTATAATGTTTTGAGAACCAGCGTCTAAATGACTTCCTAAATGTCATTCCTGCAAGATGACATATGGCCACATTTTGATATTTTTGAAATTAAAGCTTACTAAAAACACAGGGTAGTGTTATTGTATTATTCCCTTTTCCAAGCATGGCCCCATCAGTTACTCTAACAGGCATATTCCAATGGTCCAGGCCTCAGTGGTCAATGGCTCTTTAGGATGGGCTTAGAATGTGCCACAGATGGAGCTAGGTGTAACCCAGGAGAAGTCTAGCTGTTTCCCTTGGGGTCAGGTCAAAGGTGACCAGAGAAGTGCCTTTGATAAAAAACTTTTTTTTTTTTTGAGACGGAATCTCGCTCTGTTGCCCAGGCTGGAGTGCAGTGGCGGGATCTCAGCTCACTGCAACCTGCGCCTCTCTGGTTCAAGCAATTCTCCTGCCTCAGCCCCCCTGAGTAGCTGGGATAACAGGTGCGTACCATCAGACCGGCTAATTTTTGTATTTTTAGTAAAGATGGGGTTTTGCTGTGTTGACCAGGCTGGTCTCAAACTCCTGACCTTAGGTGATCCACCTGCCTCAGCCTCCCAAAGTGCTGGGATTACAGGTGTGAGCCACCGTGCCCGCCAAAAAAACTTTTAAAAATAGTTTTTGTTTTTTATTTTTTCAGAGCCAGGCTCAGTGGCTCACACTGTAATCCCAGCACTTTGGGAGGCTAAGGCAGGTGGATTGCTTGAGCCCAGGAGTTTGAGACAAACCTGGGCAACATGGTGGAACCCCGTCTCTGCAAAAAGTACAAAAATTAGCCAGGTGTGGTGGAGGGCGCTTGAGCCCTGGAGGTTGAGGTGAGCCCTGGAGGTTGAGGTTGCAGTGAGTCATGATGGCACTAATACACTCTAGCCTAGGTAACAGAGCAAGACCCTAAACAAAAACAAACAGACAAACATTTCTTTTCTTGACTATCATAACAATTTAGAATGAAAAATGCTCAAGGGATAGTGTTACTATGTTATAAGCAAAATTATTAATATAGTCTACTCAATGACTGGAAATCCAAAATTTCCCGGTGTCTCAATTGTGCCAACCCTAATGACGAAAACTTCCCCTTTCTAAACACACTGAAGGCCCCTGCTGTGCAACCCTGCACAAGTATCGTTTTTTCTGAATCTTGATTACAAAGCGATTTCAATAATAATTTTTATTTTTTAAAAAAAGAGCATATTCCTCACCAGTAAGACAAGTGAATATACTTTAAATGTTCCTGTGATCTTTCAGTTTATTCCTGTAATAACCTGAATAACTACAGTAATGACACTGGAAATAAAAGCAGAAGATCAAGAGTAAAATTCAACTCTTTAACCCCCAAATACAATATTAACAGAGTCAAGAGTGGAGCCCTGGGGCTCGTCTTGGGTGGAGAGGTGGGGCATGTCTTAGTCCATTCCTCCTCTGATATAACAAAATACCTGAGACTGGGTAATTTTTAAACAATAGAAATTTATTTCTCACACTTCTGGAGACAGGTAAGTCCAATATCAAGGTGCTGGCAGATTTGGTGTCTGGTGAGGGCTACTCTCTGCTTTCAAGATGGTGCCTTGTTGCATCCTCTGGAAAGGAGGAATGCTGTGTCCTCATCTGGTGGAAGGAATTGAAGGACAAAAAAGACTAGCATGAATTCCATTCGTGAGGGCGGGGCCCCCATGACCTAATCCTCTCCCCAAGGCCCTACCTTCTAATACCATCACCTTGGGGTTTAAGTTCTAACATATGAATTTTAAAGGGATATTTACATTCAAACCAAACAGGTGACTTCCAGTTTTTCCTCAGATGCTATTAAAAAATAAGGTTTAAAGTATCCCCAGGATATTTTGTTTTCCATGAAGGCAATCTATAATCCAGCTTCCTCGTTCTCTTCCACAATTAAAGTGCTTGCCAATTTGTATTTGAGATTAAAATAACACAAACATAGATATAGTCTGTGAGTGAAAACCTGCTAGGTTTGCCCATGGGAGCTAATTTTGTCATAAATAACAATCACAGCGGTAGATATCAGCATCTACAACATGAGAGTCACATAAGTAAACTCATTGACAGTTAACTTCACACAACTCATGCAAACAAAGGCAAATAAAAGTAAATGAAAATGTATATGCAATATGATATAAAAGCTCTCAGGCTTGACTCTTCTGAAGTTATTTCCCGTAACAGCCTGCAGCATACTGATTTCTGAGGCTTCCTTTCTAATTTCTGTGGTCCTCATTGCCTTCTTAATAAAACATCACAGAATTTCTAGACTAGGCCAAGACCTAGAGATTGATGCTACATAGAGACCACATTCTATAAAATGAGTGTGCATTTTTATTCCAGCACTAAAGGAGAGCAGAACTGTAATTTGAACGAAATATGATTATTGAATTCTACAAGAGAAAATGAAACATACTCCAGGTGCCAACTGCCAGGCAATGTTTCTGGCTCCAAAGGACAGCCTGAGGCAATGCCAGATGGTCCTTTTCAGGAAATTGAGCTTGTCCCCAGTATAGGAAATCTGAATGACTCTATCTCACAGGAAATGCTTTATTGTACATTACCATTAACTTGGTGACAAATAAAAGAATGAGGGTGGCAATAGCTGACCATTGATCAAAAAAATGAGCTTGTTAATAAATAATTGAGACAGGCTGGGCTCGGTGGCTCACGCCTGTAATCCTAGCACTTTGGGAGGCCAAGGCAGGCGGATCATGAGGTCAGGAGTTCGCGACCAGCCTGGCCAACATGGTGAAACCCCGTCTTTACTAAAGATACAAAAAATTAGCCAGGCGTGGTGGCGCATGCCTGTAATTCCAGCTACTGGAGAGGCTGAGGCAGGAGAATCACTTGAACCCAGGAGGTGGAGGTTGCAGTGAGCCGAGATCGCACCATTGCACTCCAGCCTGGGCCATGAGGTGAGACTCTGTCTCAAAAAAAAAAAAAAAAAAAAAAAAAATTGAGATTCCTGCTGAATTTCTTGGCATTTTGGCTAAGCTCAGGGACTGTGAGTAGAATAATCACAATCAGGGATTGTGAGTAGATAGCTCACTAATGAAAAAATACTATGTATCTAGCAATGTATGAAAAATCTATATGCGTTAATCCTTTCAACAACCTCATAAGGTCAGTGTCATTATTACTATCATCATCATTGTCGTCGTCATCATCATCATCATCCCTACATACAGACATGGAAATCAATAGACACATTTCCATTGGATTTTGAGGGGGCTAGCTTATAGTGTTGCCTAAGGTTTTTTGATGAATGGCAGAGCCAGGATATGAATCCTGTCTGTTTGATTTTAGTGTCTGAGATTGATATTAAGCATACTAGTACCATGACTACCCCTGGCATTTATATAAAACAATACTGCTTCAAATATGCTATCTTTTGAGTGTTAGGCAGCTGCACTGTGGCTTGGCTTTGCTCAGATAACATTTGCTGGGGAGCTTCTCTATTTTGCTTTTTGCTTTCCAAGCCCTTACTGAAGTGTCTTATACAGGCTTGCCTTCCAAAGGTACATCTCTGCATCAATTCTGCCCCCACATCACTGTCAAAGTTCTATGCATTACTTTCCTGAATAACATGTCAGGAATGCTATCTTTAGGGCCCCATTCAAATGAACAAAGATGAGGTTAGCAATTTTAATTATCTAGTTGGCTGTGTTAATTTGGGGCCTAATTTACTATATGACAAACTTTGTAAAATTGGTATTTATCTTTATTCTCTTAAAACCTTTTTTTTTTCCCCCACCAGATGGGGTCTCACCGTGTTGCCCAGGCTGGAGTGCAGTGACTATCCATAGGCTTGATCATTACATGCTATAGACCTGAACTCCTGGGCTCAAGAGATCCTCCCATCTCAGGCTCCTGAGGATAGGACTACAGGTGCACATGACAGTGTTTGGCTAAGACCTATTTTAATAAGCCCAGAGACCCTAGAGATGAGCTCAAATATCCATAGAGTGTTGAATTGAGAGAAAGTGCTGTGGTCAGGGCCAGGGGAGGTTCTGCTCAGATCCTCTATCCTCAGAACATTCCTTTGCCTAGTTATTGGCACATTCCCTTGGATACTGAGAATGCACTTCATCCCCCCCACACTGGCTGTGACACTTAAGCTTAGGCATGGAAACTGACGCATCTAGAAGACAGGCACATTCAGGCTTTGGGAAAAGTGAAGTACAGCCACACTGTAGCTAACTCTGTGGATTGTTACTGCAACAACTAGGCACCATCATGGATCATACAGCAGACCGTGAGTTTCCTAAAATCTTTACAACCTCTTTATCACAAATAGTACCCCAACCCAAAATGGGAAAATGACATGCAATTCAGTATCATTATATAAGAACTTTTTACAAAGGCCAAAAAGTCATAAATTGCTACTTGAATAAAAAGACGTATCTCAAAGATTTTGTGTCTCCTGTCCTCTGGCCCTCCATCTGCCGGCTAACCTGACATTCCAGAACTCACTCTAGTTTGGGATCTTCAGTTCAAATGATATACTCTATTCTGCTAACAATAGAATTATATCCATCAATCAATCATTTTTTCAAAAATGGCTTAAATGGTGGCATTTCTCCTATGCTAAAATAAAAATTTTAAAAAAGCCTTTCAATTTTTATGCTGCTATAAATGGGCCACAGCTAAGCTTAGTGAAAATTAAAAACGTAAATTAGGCCAGGCACGGTGGCTCACGCCTCTAGTCCCAGCACTTTGGGAGGCCAAGGCGGGTGGATCAGCTGAGGTCAGGAGTTGGAGACAAGCCTGGCCAACACGGCAAAAACCTGTCTCTAGTGAAAAATAGAAAAATTAGCCAGGCGTGGTGGCAGGTGCTTGTAATCCCAGCTACTCGGGAGGCTGGGGCAGGAGTATCACTTGAACCCAGGAGGCGGCAGTTGCAGTGAGCCAAGATCGCGCCACTGCACTCCAGCCTGGGCGACAAGAGGGAAACTCCATCTCGAACAAACAAACAAAAAAACACACCTAAAGTAAGCCGAACCCTGCAAATTATAATACTGTTTGAGCAGTTGGGTTACCACATAAATTCTGAGAGGTGATAGGCAGGGTCAGATTTATAATATTGCTTAATACAGGGCCTGGAAATGTAAGAACATGGACTCATTCAAGCCATATTTCCTCTCCCATCAACCTTCCTCTAGCAAAGTTCCTTTTCTCCCATGTCCAAAGTCAGGCTCCTCATCCTCGTTAGGGTCTGAGACCCACAGTTCCTGGTAAATTTTAAAAAGCACTCGAGTTAAAAACAAGAACAAAAATATTAACTATTGCTAACATGCATGGTGTGCTTAGTATGCTGGGCTAAGCATATGTAAGTGATCATTGACTATCCTTTCAGAAAAGTGCAATATTCTTCAACAGTTGAGTAACTCCCTTAAATCACAACTTGCAAGTGGCAGAAGTGGGATTTGAACTCAAAGCTTGGAACAAACATGAGACTCCTGCCTGAATCCATGTGTCTAAGAGATACCAGACTGTCTCCCTGGACCAGACCCTGTGCAGCACCCTGCAGGGAAAATAGATGAGTAGGCTATGATCACTCTTCCAAAAGCCCACAGTCTGGTTGGTGAGATAAAACATAAATACACAAAAGTTAATAATCCAAAAAAGTTAAGTTGTATTTCAAGAACTGTCACTTGCAATACAAAGGGGGTTGTCAAGTACATCTGACCTCTCCTATCCTAACTGCAGTAGGAGTTGGAGGTGGGGAATTTTCTCAGGTTCAGGGGCTTTTCAGGTGAGAGCAGAGCCTACACCAGGGGTCAGGGCAGGCAAGTGCTAGAGAGGCTGGAACACAGGGATTGAGGCTGGACTGTAAACTCTTGCATAGCAGTTTAAAGTTTACTGTCTTTCAGGCCAGGCGCAGTGGCTCACACCTGTAATCGCAGCACTTTGGGAAGCTGAAGCGAGTGGATCACCTGAAGTCAGGAGTTCAAGACCAGACTGACCAACATGGTGATACCCCGTCTCTACTAAAAGTACAAAAATTAGCCGGGTGTGGTGGCAGGCACCTGTAATTGCAGCTACTCAGGAGGCTGAGGCAGGAGAAGCTTGAACCCAGGATGTGGAGGTTGCAGTGAGCTGAGATCACGCCACTGCGCTCCTGGATAACAAGAGTGAGACTCCGTCTCAAAAAAAAAAAAAGTTTATTGTCCTTCAGAACAACTGAAGGTTTTGACCAGGGGATGGATGTGAACAAAATGATCCATTTGCTCAGTTACTTACCAGAGAGGATGACAACATGACAGTTGGTTATATTTATCATTTATGTAGCTTCCCAGAACATATTTTTCAGTAAACTCTTTAATTAAAATATGACACGCCTACAGAAAAGTACACACATCATAAGCACATAGCTCATTGAATTTATATACAGTGAAAACAACTGTGAACCTAGATCACTATCTAGAAAACTGCCAACACCCTAGAAGGCTCTCTAGAACACCCTTGCAGATAGTAATTCCACAAGGCTAACTGCTATTCTGAATTCTGTCACCATATATTAGTTTTGCCTACTCTTTAGTCTTATTTAAATGGAATCATATACTGCAGACACTTTGGTGTTGGGCTTTTACTCTCAGCATAATGTTTGTGAGATCCATCCATCCTGTTTCCTGTAGTTGGACTTCATTCATTTCATTGGTGAATGTTATTCCATTGTGTTAAAATATGCCAGAATTGATTGATATATCTGTTCTAATGTTGACGGGCATTTGGGTAGTTTCCAATTTGCAGATAGCACAAATAATGCTGGTATGAACACTCCTTTGCCCAGTAGGTTTTGTAAATCCTTCCACATTGAGTCCCAGGTTATGAGTACTTCCTTCCTAAAGTAAAAACCAGAACTCAGTAGCCTGCTTCCTGAGTAACGTTGGCATCTGACCTAGATTCTGCTTTTAAACATACCTGCTCATGACTTCAATTTGTGGAGAAAACCATGAGGAAGCAGCTGGAAATAGTAGTGGAGAGTGGCCAAGACACACTGAGCTTCCAGGAGCAGAGAACTGCAGTGGTGTCCCATGGACACCAGTGCCAGAAGCAAGAGCACCTCTAGGAGGCAGTCCTGGGAAGTTACAGAGTATTGTCAAAGACAGGCATGTAAACAGGTAATTCCTAAATAGTGAGATGAATGCTAACCTAGAGATAATGCAATTGTAGCCCTGGAGAGGACACTAAATTCAGGCGGGGAGCTCAGGAAAGCCTCTATGGAGGAGAAGATGACCAAGCTGAGTCTAGCAGGGTAAGCATACATTTGCCAAGTGAAGGCAGCAGGCTATTCTTACTGAAATAGCTGAGTGGGTGGCTCAAACCTGTAATCTCAGCACTTTGGGAGGCTGAGGCGGGCGGATCACCTGAGGTTGGAAGTTCAAGACCAGCCTGGCCAACATGGTGAAACCCTGTCTCTATTAAAAATACAAAAATTAGCCAGTCATGGTGGTGTGTGCCTGTAATCCCAGCTACTTGGGAGGCTGAGGCAGGAGAATTGCTTGAACCCGGGAGGCAGAGGTTGCAATGAGCTGAGATCGTGCCATTGCACTCCAGCCTGGCTGACAGAGCGAGACTCCATCTCAAAAATAAATAAATAAATAAATAAAAATAAAATAAATTGGGGAACTCTCAGAGGCTCTTGAATCTTAGCCACCTTTGTTTCTACCGTCACCACCATAACTGGTGGGAATTCAATGAATTGACCTCTTAATGGTCTGGATCACAGAGACCATAAACTTATTTCTAGTTTGGGAAAACAGAGTTGGGAGTGTAAGATTGTATTTTGAAGTCTAGAGCTGGAGCACTCCAGCGCTCAGAGCATGCTGCTGGCAAGGCAGTCAGCCCTTGAATAAGTCGTGAAGCAGTGAAATAGCTGTGTGTGGTGTCTGCCAGTCTTGGGCTTGCTTGCTCTCAGATCCACTTTTTGCCAACTCCCTATTCTGCATCTGTCTCCCCAGCTCTGCCTGGGTCCAGCCAATGAGAGGCATGGTTGAGTTTGCAAGGCAGGAGAGTGAGGCCAGTTCTTTCCCTCTCTTCCCCCATCTCAGCTTTGGCTGATGTCTGTAGCTGTGACTCAGTCTCCTATGCGGCTTTGGCTCCTGCCAGACAAGCCCACCACAATTCCAGCTTCTGTCAGGGGCTCCAGGTGCCCAGGTGTTCACCCTTTGTCTCTCCAGCCAAGAAGGTCTATGGCTTCCTGCAGTTCCTGATTTCTGAGTTTCCACCTCAAATTCTGTTTGGCTCCTTTGATCTTCCATTCCTGAATTAAGTTCTCTCTGTTTAAAATTCTTAATTTTTCCAGACTGGACCCTGAATGATATAATATATCCCAATCAATATCTTCTCTCCCAAGTCTTTCAACTATATATTTTGCCCTTAATTTAATATCATGCTGTACCTCTTTCCCCTCCCTCCCTATAATTTTCCCTCTTTTAGATCCAGAGCTTTCACGCTGCTTATTTCTCTTGTTAAGAGGCACATGAGCTGATAATCCCATTCATACAAAGATGCATATCCCTATGGGGAGTATATGCATTTATAAAAAAATGTCCAGGGACACAGTAATAAAAAGTGATGACTCACAGATGGTGGAATTTCTCTTTCCTAGTGTCCTTCAGAGGCCTACGCTGCCTGCATGCTGCCACTTCTAGACTTGTGTGAATCCGTGAGCATCGCTCTGCGCCCCCACCCCAGCATTCTCTGCTCCAGATTCCTTTCCTTGGCCCCACGTGGGGCTTGATGGGGGAATGTGGATGGGGCATCAAGTCTGTTGCCAGCACTGCAAAATCAGCTCAGAGTGTGTGCTTTGCTAGTTGTGGGTGAATAACGTTTTTCAAATGTAAAGTGTACACACATTGTTATTCTTTATATATTTCTTTATGATTTGTACCAAATCCTGCACAAAAAAGAATAGTCCTCATTTTAAAAGTATGCTTCCCATACTAAGACTAACAGTTACAAAATCTCATTTTATTTGCCTCAGGCAAACATATGCTACTCTATGTGTGTATTTGATTCTGACACGTTTACTGCCTCAGAACATGAACATTTTACCATTTAAAATAAACCATGGAAATTTAGATTTGGAATGGAATAAAGATTTGATAATGAGCATGGCAAATCTTAGGTCATCTGGGAAACTGCCACTTCCATGCTCAAGTACTCAGATGGACTTACACCTTGAATGCGCTCAAAGACAGCTATTGGAACGAAAGAAGTTATACGTTGACAGCCAGGGTGATATGGTTTGGCTCCGTGTCCCCACCCAAATCTCATCTTGAACTGTAATCCCCATATGTCAGGGGAGTGACCTGGTGGGAGGTGATTGGATCATGACGATGGCTTCCCCCATGCTCTCATGATAGTGACAGAGATCTCGTGAGAGTTGATGGTTTTAAGTATGGCACTTCCTCGCTCTTTTGCTCTCTCTTTCCTGGTGCATTATGAAGAAGGTTCCTGCTTCCCCTTTGAGTTCCGCCATGAATGGAAGTTTCCTGAGGCCTCTCCAGCCATGCAGAACTGTGAGTCAATTAAACCTCTTTTGTTTATAAATTACCTAGTCTCAGGTAGTGTCTTTATAGCAGTGTGAAAATGGACTAATACACAGGGTTAGGGAGACCAAACATCCCATTTGCCGGGAAATGGGGGATGGGGGAGTGGGGTGTGAGGGAGTTTGCAGGATACAGGACTTTTAATACTGAACCAGGAAAGTCCTGGGCAACCTGGAATAAGGTGGTTACCTTCTGAAGACCAGCTGGCAGGGGTAAGGCTCTGAATTTCACAGCCAACGTGTTGTGGTTGGCCAGGCTACCAACTAGAAGGAAAGCAGCTCTCTGATTGGCCATCCTTGGCTATGTAGGGTTAGTCTTTTAGCCCATAGAGCTAAAAGGTGAAATAGTCTAATAGAAGAGATAAATGAGAACAAATAGGAAAGGGGAGGAGAGAGGGTTTGCGTGAGAGGAGCAGTGGTCACCAGGCAGCCTGCAATGGACCCTGGAAGAGGAAGAGAGGAAATGAAGAGGAAGGAGACCAGCAGTTCCACTATCCACAGCCAGATGACATGGATGGCTTTGCACAGCTCAGCAGCACCTGCCTCAAAGGCCTAGAGCAGTGGTTCTTCATCCTACTTGGCCATTAGAATTACTTGAAAACTTCTGAAAATGCAGATATCTGAGCTATCCACCAGGCCAATTTGAAGTAGAGTTTCTGGGGGTGGGCACAATCATTGGTCTTTAAAAAAAAAAACAAAAAAACAAAAAAACTCCCAGGCTGGGCACGGTGGCTCACACCTGTAATCCCAACACTTTGGGAGGCCAAGGTGGGTGGATCACCTGAGGTCAGGAGTTCAAGACCAGCCTGGGCAACATGGTGAAACCCCGTCTCTACAAAAATACAAAAAATTAGCTGGGCATTGTGGCTGGTGCCTGTAACCCCAGCTACTTGGGAGGCTGAGGAGAATTACTTGAAACTGGGAGGCGGAGGTTGCAGTGAGCCGAGATCCAAGATCGCACCATTGCACTCCAGCCTGGGTGACAAAGCGAGACTCAGTCAAACGAACAAACACACACACACACTTCCCAGGTGTTCCTAATATGCAGCTACGGATGAAAACCATTGTCTTCGCACATCTCTGTGTGTGTTGTGAATTGAGAGAAGCATTTTAGGTGTTTTTGTTTTTTATTTTATTATTTTTAAAATAGAGATAGGGTCTCGCTATGCTGCCCAGGCTGGTCTAGAACTCCTGGCCTCAAGTGATCCTCCTGCCTTGGCCTCCCATTATGCTAGAATTACAGGAATGAGCCACTGCACTTGGCCCTGGCGGGGAGGTATTCTGATCTTAACCTAAAGGATATCAGTGTGTACTCCCAGTAGTATCTGGACCAGGATACTTAATTGTGTGTATGTGTATAACAATATGTCTAGGAACCATTATCCAGGGATGATAAATAAGGAAACACATCTATTAATAGCTAGACTAATTACCACACTTCCATATCCCATCCAGTTGAGTCTAGGAACTTCGCCATCTCAAAGCGTTTCCATGTTACTGCTAAATGGCCCCTGGGGTGCTTCCTTATGAGGGCTCATGAAAATGTCTGCACAAGGTCTCCGGCTTCAGCCTCTTCATTGAATTTCCAGACCCAGGGGCCTTCCTCTGTTGTCCCCTTGCAGCTGGAATTACCTGCATGCAATCCTCCTTCAGGGCCAGTGGGAATAGAGACTGGCAAGGAAAGCACCACTGACTTTACCAGGGAATGAGTTCTTTCTTTAATTTTCCTCAGAACCATAGAGAACTGAGAGTTCAGGTAGAACAGAGAATGCAGGTGTTAAACATGGAGACTAACTCAGCAGTTTCCTGCTATTGTAAAATGCTTCTGTCTCCCTTCAATCCAAGACTTTTTTCTCTAGTTCTTTTTTATCTTTTCTTTTCTTTTTTTGAGATGGAGTCTTGCTCTGTCACCCAGGCTGGAGTGCAGTGGCATGATCTCGGCTCACTGCAACCTCTGCCTCCCGGGTTCAAGCAATTCTCCTGCCTCTGCCTCTTGAGTAGCTGGGATTACAGGTGCCTGCCACCACATCTGGCTAATTTTTGTATTTTGTGTAGAGATGGGGTTTCACCATGTTGACCAGGCTGGTCTCAAACTCCTGACCTCGGGTGATCCACCCACCTCCGCCTCCCAAACTGCTGGAATTACAGGCGTGAGTTACCACGCCGTCTTCTCTCTAGTTCTTTTTTTTTTTTTTTTTTGAGACGGAGTCTCGCTCTGGGCCCAGGCTGGAGTGCAATGGTGCGATCTCGGCTCACTGCAACCTCTGCCTCCCAGGTTCAAGTGATTCTCCTGCCTCAGTCTCCTGAGTAGCTGGGATTACAGGTGCATGCCACCACGCCCAGCTAATTTTGTATTTTTTTTTTTTTTTTATGGAGTCTCATCCTGTCGCCCAGGCTGGAGTGCAATGGCATGATCTTGGCTCACTGCAACCTCCACTTCCCGGGTTCAAGTGATTCTCCTGCCCCAGCCTCCCGAGGATCTGTGGTTACAGGCACCTGCCACCATGCCCGGCTAATTTTTTTGTATCTTTTAGTAGAGACGGGGTTTCACCATGTTGGTCCGGCTGGTCTCGAACTCCTGACCTCATGATCTGCCCGCCTCAGCCTCCCAAAGTGCTGGGATTACAGGCATGGGCCTCCACGCCTGACCTCTAGTTCTTACTTCTTGCTTTGGAATCAACTTCCTTCAGGATGACTTTATGAAAGGAAGATTCACTTTCATTAGGAGAAAACACACGCCCTAGCCCTGGAGCTTGTTTTAAGGCTCCAATGGGATTTAATAGTCCAACATGAGCCCTCTGTGCTTTTCAGTGTTTAGAAGACATCTCTGGTAGGTAAGACATCAATAGTACAGTTCATGGTGAATGCCTGCCAAGCTTAGTGCAGCTCCTTTCCAGTCTCCCCTACATGTGGGTTAAGGTAAATGTTGTTTACTCTGTAGATATCCTAGCAACACTAACTCTTCACCTTCTATGAGTAATTGTCAAATACCTTCTCAAGAACAAAGACAGGCTGGGCATAGTGGTTCATGCCTGTAATCCTAACACTTTGGGAGGCTGAGGTGGGAGGATTGCTTGAGGCAGGAGTTTAAGACCAGCCTGGGCAGCATAGCGAGATTCTATCTCTCCAAAAAAAAAAAAAAAAAAAAAATAGCCAGGTGTGGTGGCACACCTGTAGTCCAAGCTACAGATGTGAGATAGAGGCTGAGACGAAAGGATTCCTTGAGCCCAGGAGAGTGAGACTGTAATGAGCCATGATTGCACCACTGCATTCCAGTTTAGGTGATAGAGTGAAACCCTGTCTCTAAAAGCAAAACAAAACAAAACAGAAAAACAAGGACAGAACTTCCACTTCTTGCCTCAACCAAATAGAAACCAGGACAAAATATTCAAAGCAAGAGTTTCCAAACATGGGACCATAGGCAATAAAGGACCATGATCCTTGAGTGAAGGAAGCAGATGAGATGAGCCCTCCAAGTGCCCCGGTTCAAGGCTGGGCAGCCCTCCAAGTGCCCCAGGCTGCAGCCCTGGGCAGGAGAATCAAAGAGGTGCTGATGGCCTCTCTGGGTTGAAGAGACAAAGTGTAGAGTTTGGGGAGGCCAGTGGCTAGAACACACAGGACAGATTGCTGGAAAGGAGTCGGCTGAATAAAGTGAATGCTCTGACTCTGCAAGAGGTTCTCCCACAGTCTAGCTGAGTCTAAATCAGCTAATGCAAGTGAGAAAATTGCTATGGCCAGAAAAAGAACCTCCAGAAAGAAGCAGAGGGAACGATCTTCAGAGCTTACACCAGCTCTTAGTAGTCAGAATGGAAAGGTCTCCTAGCACATGGACTACAAAGTAGAGCCTTGAGATGGATGGGCCAAACCAAACTAGACTGTTCTGGACTCACCTGGGAAAGCTGAAAAACAAGCCTCAAATGGACAAAACCATTTCCAACTTGTTTAGCTGAGTCTCAGAACAAAGTTGAAAATATTTAAAGGACTGTATTATGGCAAACAAACAAACAACAACAGAACCCAAAAGGTAAAGTTCACAATGTCTGTCTCCTAACCAAAAATGGCAAAGAAGCAGAAAATGTGGCTTATGGCCGGGAGGAAATGCAGCCAATAAGAGCAGACCCAGGAATGACAAAAATGACTAAATTAGTAGACAAAGACATTAATGGCCTTTATAAGTATCCCCTATATGCTATAGAAGGGAGAGGAAAGCATGAGCATGATGAAGAGGGAAATGGAAGACAAAAGACCCAAATCAAAATTTTGGTGATGAAAGAATAATGTTTCAGATGAAAAATACACTGAATGGGGATTAGCAGCAGATAAGACATCATAATGAAATAGAGTTTATCCCCAAGAATGCAAGGTTTAACACTGAAAAATCAATTATTACTTTACCACACTAAAATATTAAAAAAGGAAAACCATATGAACATCAAAAAACCTTCTGTCAAAATTAAACATCCAATCATGATCAACCCCCCCCCCCCCCGCAAAACCAGGAATAGTAGGGACTTTTTCTTTTTTTTTTTTTTTTTTCCTTTTTATCTTTGTCTTCTCTTTATTTCCTAGTTGTTTCTAGTCAGAGGAAGGATAGCTTTATACAGAAATAGGATTTTTTTTTTAAATTTTTTTTTTTTTTAAATTGATCATTCTTGGGTGTTTCTCGCAGAGGGGGATTTGGCAGGGTCATAGGACAATAGTGGAGGGAAGGTCAGCAGATAAACAAGTGAACAAAGGTCTCTGGTTTTCCTAGGCAGAGGACCCTGCGGCCTTCCGCAGTGTTTGTGTCCCTGGGTACTTGAGATTAGGGAGTGGTGATGACTCTTAAGGAGCATGCTGCCTTCAAGCATCTGTTTAACAAAGCACATCTTGCACCGCCCTTAATCCATTCAACCCTGAGTGGATACAGCACATGTTTCAGATAGCACAGTGTTGGGGGTAAGGTCACAGATCAACAGGATCCCAAGGCAGAAGAATTTTTCTTAGTACAGAACAAAATGAAAAGTCTCCCACGTCTACCTCTTTCTACACAGACACGGCAACCATCCGATTTCTCAATCTTTTCCCCACCTTTCCCCTCTTTCTATTCCACAAAACCGCCATTGTCATCCCGTCCCGTTCTCAATGAGCTGTTGGGCACAACTCCCAGACGGGGTGGTGGCCGGGCAGAGGGGCTTCTCACTTCCCAGTAGGGGCGGCCGGGCAGAGGCGCTAGTGGGGACTTTTTCAATGTGACTAAGGGCATCTATGAAAAACATCCAGCTAACATCATAATCATGAAAAGACTGAATTCTTTTCTACTAAGATTAGAAACGAGCAGGATATGCACACTCACTACTTCCACTTAACTTTTTTTTTCTGGAGGTCCTAGCAAAAGGGAAGAAATACAAATAAAAGGTATACTGATATAAAAGGAAGAAATAAAACTATCTTTAATGGCAAACAACATGATTGCCTGTGAGAAAATCTTAATCTACAAAAAAGTTATAAGAATTTATAAAAGTGAATTTAGCAAGGTTATATAATACAAGATCAATATATCAAAATCAATGTCATTTCTAAATACTGTCAATGAACAACCATGAAATGACTTAAAACATACCATTTACTGTTGCATCAAAAAATATGAATTATGTAGAGATAAGTCTAGTGAAAGTCATGCAAGATATGTACAGTGAAAACTACAAAATACAGCTGAGAGAACTTAAAAGAAAACCTAAACAAATGAAGAGATAAGCCATGCTTATGGATCAGAGGATTCAATATCATTAAAATGTCAGTTCTTCTAAAATTGACCGATGGTTCAACCCAGTCCTAATTTAAAGCCCAGCAAAATTTTTAATTCTTATTTTATTTATTCATTTATAATTTATTTATTTATTTAGAGACTAGGTCTATGCTAGCCAGGCCAGTCTTGAACTGCTAGCCTCAAGCGTTCCTTCCACCTCAGACTCTTGAGTAGCTGGGACTACAGGTGCTCACCACTGTGTCTAGCTAAGATTTTTTTTTGTTGTTGTTAGAAATTTACAAACTGAAACTAAAATGTATATGAAAATACAAAAGACTTAGTATAGCCAAAATAATTTTGAAAATGAACTAAGTTGAAAGTCTTAAGCTACTTGATTTTAAGGCTTTTCAGAAAGTTAATATGATCAAAACAGTGTGATGTTGGTGTAAAGATGTATTATCAATGTGGATTGGTACATATGTAAAGCTATACATCAGCTGGGCGTGGTGGGAGGCCGAGGTGGGTGGATCATTAGAGGCCAGGAGTTTGAGGCCAGCCTAGCCAACATGCTGAAACCTCGTCTCTACTAAAAATACAAAAATTAGCTGGGCATTTTTTTGGCACATGCCTGTAGTCCCAGTTACTCAGGTGGCTGAGGCATGAGAATCGCTTGACCCTGGAGGCAGAGGTTGCAGTGAGCTGAGATCAAGCCACTGCACTTCAGCCTGGGTGATAGAGCGAGATTCTGTCTCAAAAAAAAAAAAAAAAAAAAAAAAAAAAATATATATATATATATATATATATATACACACACACACACACACACATATATATATATAAATATATATACACATATATACATATATATATATAAAAAAATCAAAGGAATAGAATAGAGTCCAAAAATACACCCATACATGTACAGCCAATTGATTTTTTGACAAAGATGCCAAGGCAATTAGGGAAAAAATGTTATTTTCAAAAAATGGTGCTGAAATGGTTGGATAGCCTTATGCAAAAACGTGAACTTCAGCTCATACCTTACGCCACTGAATCATAGGACTGAAATGTAAGAGCTAACATCAGAAAACTTCTAAAAAAAATAAGGAAAATCTTAGCATCCTTGGGATAACCCAAAGGATAACCCAAATGTCCATCAGCAGGTGAATGGATACACAAATGTGGTGTGTCCACCCAATAGAATACAATACAATAGAATATGATTCAGCAATGAAAATGAACAAACTAATGCTACACTCATCAAAATGGATGAATCTCAAAATCATTATGCTGAATGAAATAAGCCAGTCAAAAAGAGTGCATGGTGTATGAGTCCATTTATATAAAATTTTAGAAAATGCTAACTAACTCACAGTGACAAAGTAGACCAATTGTTTGCATGGGGTGATGGGGGGGAAAAGGTGGGAAGGAGAGATTTCTTTATTTTATTTTAAGTTCTGGGGTACATGTGCAGGATGTGCAGGTTTGTTACATAGATAAACGTGTGCCATGGTGGTTTGCTGCACCTATCAACCCATCACCTAGGTATTAAGCCCTGCATGCATTAGCTATTTATCCTGATGCTCTCCCTCCCTCTGCCTCCCCGACAGGCCCCAATGTGTGTTGTTCTCCTCCCTGTATCCGTGTGTTCTCATTGTTCAGTTCACACTTATAATGAGAACATGTGGTGTTTGATTTTCTGTTCCTGTGTTAGTTTGCTGAGGATAATGGCTTCTAGCTCCACCTATATCCCTGCTAAGGCCATGATCTCACTCCTTTTTATGGTTGCATAGTATTCTATGGTGTACATGTACCACATTTTCTTTATCCAGTCTATCATTGATGGGCATTTGGGTTGATTCCATGTCTTTGCTATTGTGAATAGTGCTGCAATGAACATACGCGTGCATGTACCTTTATAACAGAATGACTGATATTTTGGGGGGTGTATACCCAGTAATGGGACTGCTGGGTCAAATGGTATTTCTGGTTCTAGATCTTTGAGGAATTGCCACACTGTCTTCCACAGTGGTTGAACTAATTTACATTCCCACAAACAGTGTAAAAGTGTTCCTATTTCTCCACAGCCTTGGCAGCATCTATTTCTTGACTTTTTAATAATTGCCATTCTGACTCGTATGAGATGGTATCTCATTGTGGTTTTGATTTGCATTTCTCTAATGATCAGTGATGTTGAGCCTTTTTTCCATGTTTGTTGGCCACATACATGTCTTCTTTTGAGATGTGTCTGTTCATATCCTTTACTCACGTTTTAATGGGGTTGTGTGTTTTTTCTTGTAAATTTCTTTAAGTTTCTTGTAGATTCTGGGTATTAGACCTTTGACAGACGGATAGATGGCAAAAATTTCCTCCCATTCTGTAGGGTTGTCTGTTCACTCTGATGATAGTTTCTTTCAGAAGCTCTATAGTTTAATTAGATCCCATTTGTCAATTTTTGCTTTTGTTGCAATTGCTTTTGATGTAGTCATGAAATCTTTGCCCATGCCTATGTCCTGAATGGCATTGCCTAGATTTTCTTCTAGGATTTTTATGGTTTGGAGTTTTACGTTTAAGTGTTTAATCCATCTTGAGTTAATTTTTGTATAAGGTGTAAGAAAGGGGTCCAGTTTCAATTTTCTGCCTATGGCTAGCCAGGTTTACCAGCACCATTTATTAAATAGGAAATCCTTTCCCCATTGCTTGTTTTTATCAGGTTTGTTGAAGATCAGATCGTTGTAGATGTGTGGTCTTATTTCTGAGATCTCTATTCTGTTCCATTGGTCTATGTGTCTGTTTTTGTACCAGTACCATGTTGTTTTGGTTACTGTAGCCTTGTAGTATAGTTTGAAGTTGGGTAGTGTGATGCCTCCAGCTTTGCTCTTTTTGCTTAGGATTGTCTTGGCTATATGGGCTCTTTTTTGATTCTATATGAATTTTAAAGTAGTTTTTTTCTAATTCTGTGAAGAACATGTATGGTAGTTTGATGGGAATAGCATTGAATCTATAATGCCCGAAGCATTGAATCTTGGGGCAGCATGACCATTTTCATGATATTGATTCTTCCTATCCATGAGTATGGAATGTTTTTCCATTTGTGTCCTCTCTTATTTCCTTGAGCAGTGGTTTGTAGTTGTGGAAGAAGAGATTTCAAAGGAGAATGAGGAGACTTTTTCAGTTGATGGAAATGTGTCTTATTTTGATTGTGGTGATGGTTTCATGGATATATGAATATGTTGAACTTATTAAATAGTACTCTTTAAATATATGAAGTTTATTGTAAGTCAGTTATACCACAATTTTGAAAATACAACAAACAGTTGTAGTACAGTGCACTCTAAATCCATAATGTATCAGTCAGGGCAATTTATACTAGTTGCTATAACAAGAAGCCCAATATCTCATTGATTTAATAAAACAATAGTTACTTTGTTTCTTATGTCATAATGCCATGTGGGTTAGGCTGCCCCTGGCAGCTTGAAGCAGGGAGCGATGATACTGGGACCCTGGTTCTTCCATCTTGTGACCCTGCTGCCTTCAACATGTGGCCTCCTGTCTTTTCAAGAAAAAGAAGAGACGGCAGAGATGATTATGACCGGATCTTTAATAAGGAGTTGCCCACCATGTCTGCCTACATCCCTTAGGCCAAATGGCAGGGAGGTTGGCAAATATAGTCCTCTCCATGCCAAGAAACAAGAGTAGTATTTTCATTTATATATTTCACCAGTCCCTGCCAGGAGAAAAATAAATTGCTCTCCATCAAGGAGCTATGCACATAATAACGTGTATTACAAAACAGAAACATGTTTCTGAGCCAAAATACCTACATTTGGATTCCTTCACAGTTTTTTCCTACAGGGCATTTGCTTTATATCTCTTATATCTCTTACCTAAAGAGCCTATTTAAGGACTTCTTCTCATGAAGGAATAGTTTCTGCACCAAAGGGGATTCCAAGTCTCCAACTCCTAGGAGAGAGAAAATTGGTTATAGTTTTCAAATCATTGCCACTGCCTCCCCAACTCCTTTCCACCTCTCTGCCTAAGGTTCCAAATCTTTCAGAGTCCAGTCTGAGCAAGGTCTGCAGCTATGTGCCCTATGCCATCTGCAGTTTCACCTGCTTGAGGGGAAACTGAGTTCAGCATAATGACACAGAGCCACCAAGAAAATTATAGCAGGATAAAGGGACTTCTTACCAGCCAGATAGCCTCAATTTGTGACCATTTGGACAGGCAGTGACAGTGACAAGATGTGAATTCAAGGGCTTTCACTCCCAGTTGTGTGACCTTGGGCAAGATAAATCCTTCTGAAAGCCTCAGTTTCTTCATTGATCACAAATATGGGGGCAATTATAATACTATCAAAGTCAATTAAACAAAGAGTTACTGAGCACTGTGATGAAACAGTGAAAAATATATCGAAAAGCTATAATCCTTGTGGAACTTGCAGTCTAGAGTTAGATGCAGAGAAGCAAAGACAGTTAATATTATGCATTAAAGTCTATGATAGGAACAATATCCATCTTACCTCATAAAGTTACTGTGAGGATCAAATGAGGTCTAATAAATGTATTTAAGCTCTACATAAACTGTGAAATGCCCTACAAATGCTCATTACTGCCATAAAGCAAACAGGCCCTGATGTCATCTGAGTGCCACTACATCCCTGCCACTACTCCAAATGCGTGAAATGCAGAGAATTCAGAGAATTACCCAAGTGTATAACATATTTGTACAAATATGGAATTAAATGAGATAGTAACACATGTGGAAGCATTCTATAAAATCACATGCTACACACATGTAATTTATTCAAATGGTTATTTCTGATGTTTATTACCAGGGACATAGCCTTTGTGGTTCAAAATGCCCTTTCTATGATGGGATAGAGAAGGCTGCTGTTTTTCAGCCTTAAGTACATGATCCATGATGATGATTATCAGCCTGTTGACTGCAACACAAAAATACATCTCCCTGAGCTCATCTTGGAAGGGCATGGGGGTACACTGGTAGGATTTTAATGCCCCAAAGAGCACATTTCCACACACACAAGAGAGAAAAGATACTTTGTTGCAATATTTATTCCCACCTCCCCTGCCCACTTTCCCCATTACAAACCCCATAAGGTCTTCTACAATATCGTCTATCTTCATGCTGACATAACATATCACATCTTCATGGTTACCCAGGGGGCTTTCCCTGTAGCAAATTCTCTTGAGGCAGCGGGTCTCTCCCAGACCAAACCCAGCAGAGCTTCTAACCAGGTGGATGTGGTCCTGGGGCACCTGTTGACCTTTCCTGTGTCAGAATGTCACTGACACTCACCTATGGGGGCCAACAGCTGGCTCTGCTCAGAGAGAGATGATCTAAGTGTCGGGCTTCCAAGTCTAGAGCATGGCTTGATTTTTCTAATATTTTGATTTGCAACTTGGATTTTTAGCATCAGTTTCCTCAGGCAACTCCTGAGGTCGAGACTAGGCTCATGGTTCTCACACTTTCGTGGATTGGACTACCTGTTCCATGTAAACACAGACACGTAATTAGATAATCCATTCTCTGAGGAACTGAATACACAGTTTTCTAAACCGAGTGGTATTATTTATGGTGAACTTCAAAATACCCAGGGAACAAATATTGTTGGTTTCTTCAGGTAGCCAAAAATAGGAAAAATAAGAATGAACAGATTTAGGTCCAATTCTAGAAATCTGTTTCTCCCTGTGACTCCAAGGGTTTTAATGGGAGGTCATTGTTTCAACTCCCGAAGCTTAAGGCCTCACTCCAAGAGCTGGGTCTCCTTTAATGTTCTCTCCTCAATGTAGCATTGTTCACTCCTGCTCAGGCCAGACCTCCATGCTCACGTCCTTTTTCTGTTTAAAGTCCCACCCTGGGCCAGATGTGGTGGCTCACTCCTGTAATCCCAACACTTTGGGAGGCCGAGGTGGGCAGATTGCTTGAGCCCAGGAGCTTGAGACCAGCCTGGACAACATGGCAAAACCCTGTGTTTACAAAAAGTACAAAAATTAGCCAGGCATGGTGGTGCTTGCCTGTAGTCCCAGCTACTCAGGAGGCTGAGGTGGGAGGATCACTTGAGCCTGGGGAAGGTCGAGGCTGCAGTGAGCCAAGACTGTGCCACTGTACTCCAGCGTGGGCAACAGAGTGAGACCTTGTCTCACAAATTAAATAAATAAATAAATAAGGCTCCATCCTGTCCCATTTAATGATGTCATTAGTATGTGATAGACCATGTTCTATGCACTCTGGACATATTAACTATTAAATTTTCATGAACTCCTAGGAAGAAAGTCCTATTATTACCTCCACTTCTAACATCAAAACTGAGGCATAAATAAGTAATTTGTCCAATATAATAAATGACAAGAGTTAGGGCTGGAGCACGTGGCACATGCTCTCAGCTTTAACTCACACTTCCAGGCAACACAGGAGAAACACTCTATAATAAAGAGGATGGGTCTCCGGTCAGACAGGCCCGGGTTCAAATCCTGCCTCTGAGACTCACAAGCTCTACCATTTGGGAATGTTACTTACCTTCTCTGAACCTGTTTTTCTTCTATAAAATGGGCATGATAATAATACCTGCTTTGTGAGGTGGATGTGACAATCAAATGTACATAAATCACCAAGTAAAGGATTTGTCCCCATTTCCAGGCAGGTGACTTTTAAAAGATATTACATATGTATTTTATTTTAGAAATTCCAAGATGCCACTGTACCTCTCTCCATCTAGATGGCCCACAGTTGCCTTCAAGTCAAACCCAAATACCAACTGTTGTCAGTTCTCTTGCTCAGGCCAGATACCTAGAGCCATCTTGGCTTCACCTCCATCCTCCATCTTCCGACCTCTATATCTAATCAGTAGACAAGACTCGTTGATTCCTCCAATTTGGCTGGAAACATCCAAATGTTTCCTCCATCAGCATTGTTAAAACTTACCACGTGTCAGGTACTGTGGAAGTATTTAAAAATACCTCCAGGGGTAGATATTACTATTACCTGTATCTCCAGTTCAGTGATGAGAAAGCTGAGCCTGTAAGAGATTAAGTGGTTTGTTCAGTGTTTCATAATGGATATGTAATAGAGCAGGGATTGGAATTCACACTGTCTGATTCCAGAGCCCATGATCTCGTACAATCTCGGCAGTTCCTATGGTTACACTGGACAACATGCAGCTTTGAGACGAACTGAGACTAGATCTTGCAGGTCTTTAGTTCAAATGTCCCAGGAAACAGCTCATTTTGATCGAGCCAAATCAGGCACCCACTCCCAGGCCAATCACTGTGACCAGGAAGGTGGGGCCTGTAAAAAGGTGGCAGCTCCATTTTGAACCAGACAGTCTGAAGGGCAGGACTGTGGCCAGAAGGGGAAAAAGGAAGGGGTGCAAGACGATACAAGGCCACTATGCTTCCCTACTCAAAAACCTGTCGTGCCCTTTTGACTACTTGTATATAGGACCTTGCAGGCCACCGTGATCTGACCTCTACCTCCATTTATGCCTTCGTCTCTCATCATACCCCATCATACTTTCTTCTCTCAAACCACGATAAACTCCCACATTTCCTCTACCCTGTACTTTTCTGTTATTGGTCTTTCATTCTCATAGCTTCCTTAGTTAAAAATCCTTCATTCCCCAAATAGGAACGCTTTTACACTGTTGGTGGGAGTGTAAATTAGTTCAACCATTGTGGAAGACAGTGTGGCGATTCCTCAAGGATCTAGAACTAGAATTACCATTTGACCCAGCTATCCCATTACTGGGTATATACCCAAAGGATTATAAATCATGCTACTACAAAGACACATGCACACGTATGTTCACTGCAGCACTGTTCACAATAGCAAAGACTTGGAACCAATGCAAATGTCCATCAATGACAGACTGGATTAAGAAAATATGGCACATATACACCATAGAATACTATGCAGCCATAAAAAAGGATGAGTTCATGTCCTTTGCAGGGACGTGGATGAAGCTGGAAACCATCATTCTCAGCAAACTATCACAAGGACAGAAAACCAAACGCTGCATGTTCTCACTCATAGGTGGGAATTGAACAATGAGATCACTTGGACACAAGGCAGGGAACATCACACATTGGGGGCCGTTAGGGGGTGGGGGCCTGGGGGAGGGATAGCATTAGGAGAAATACCTAATGTAAATGATGAGTTGATGGGTGCAGCAAACCAACATGGCACATGTATACATATGTAACAAACCTGCACATTGTGCGCGTGTATCCTAGAACTTAAAGTATTAAAAAAAAAAATCCTTCATTCTCCAGCTCTGCGTATTTGCCACTTAACCAACCACCCTTCAGGACTCAGACCAAATGCTCCCTTGATTGGGAAGTGGGTCTTCCCAGCAGAAAGTAATGTCCCACTCTGTGCTGCACTGGACCCCATAGTCCTTCAGAGATGCCCGAGTCGGAGTTCCCCTGAGGGGGTTGTGCGTTTTATATCCATATGGCCAGTCATCAGCTCTGGGCTTCCTCAGAAAGGGGAGACACGATCTTGGCGAGGTGGCTGTCTTCTGCGGAGAACAATCACAGAGAGGGCTGACTGCCAGTAGAACTTCTAGTAGTAGAGCGTGGAATAATGAGGTGAGGAGGGTGAATAAGTGTCTCATTCTGAAGGAGGAGACCGTAGCAGCACTTCACAGTCTCCATCACACTCTAGAATCACAAGGAGCTCTGAGGGAAGCTCTAAATTCCTCCAGAGGCTGAACTTGGGGAGGGGGCGGATTGTAAAATTCCATGAGAAAAAGGGATAAAAGAAAGTCAAGGAGCAGGTTAGAAAGTATAAGGGCTGGTCCGGGAAAGTATTTAAGGTTCAAATGTTTGATGTGGAAAAGAAGTTTCTTGAATTGGCCAGGCACAGTGGCTCACGCCTATAATCCCAGCACTTTGAGAGGCAGAGGCAGGCGGATCACGAGGTCAGGAGTTTGATACCAGCCTGACCAATGTGGTGAAGCCCTGTCTGTACTAAAAATACAAAAATTATGGCACACACCTGTAATCCCAGCTACTCAGGAGGCTGAGGCAGGAGAATCACTTGAACCCAGGAGGTAGAGGTTGTGGTGAGCCAAGGTCGTGCCAGTGCACTCCAGCCTGGGCGACAGGACAAGACTCTCTCAAAAAAAAAAAAAAAAAAAAGGAAGTTTCTTGAATTGACAGGGTGTCATTGTTTTCTAGCATTTATTCAACAGATGATGTTCATGGAGTCTTACTATGAGTAATATTCAGGAATGTTCTAGGTGCTGAGGATATAACAGTGAGGGAGACAGAAGCTATCAAGCAATTAAGCGTACATACTAGAATGTCAGGGAGCAACAGGTGCTACAGAGGAAAAGGAGGATAGGGTCACGCAGAAAAAGGGATAGGGTTTTACTCCAGTACAATGGGAAGATGTCGGAAGGTGTTGAGCAGAGAAGAGGCACGATAGTGATTTATGTTTTCAAGGTACTCATTGGCTGCTCAATGGGGAACAGGCAGTAGGAGAGTAAGAGTGAATGCAGGGAGACGGCTGGGAGATTACTCCAGTAGTCCAGGTGAGAAGTGGCGATGGGCTGGATGGGGGTAGCAATGGGGCTTGTCAGAAATTGTTTAATTTACTATATGCTTTGAAGGTAGAGCTGACTGGGGTGAGAGAAGATTAAAAGATTCATAGATGACTTCAAATTTTTGACTTAAGGAAGGATGGGGTTGCCATATACTGAGATGAGGAAGACTATGGGATGAACGGTTGTTTTTTTGCAGGGAAATTCAGTCTTGAACACGTTGAGTTTGAGATGCCTACTAGATAGTCAAGAGGAGATGTTGAGTAGGCAGCACACAGGTCTGCATTTCAGAAAAGGAGAGGGGTGGAGAGACTTATTTAAAGCCACGGAGTGGATAAAATGATGTAGATAAAGAAGAGAAGACGTCCCAGGAGAGGGCCCCGGGGTGAAATACTATTCAGAGGCTGCGAAGAGGAGGGGGACAGCCATGAGAAAATGAAGACACAGCAGGAGAATCAGGAAGGGGCTGGAGAGTGTGGTGTCCCAGAAGCTAAGTGAGAAGACTGTTTCAAGAAAGAGGGAGTGTTCAGCTGTATCAAACGCTGCTGCGATGTCAATGTGCAGACTGGAAACTGACCACCGAGCTTGGCATTGTGGGGACTGCAGGTGACCGTGACTGTGGGGATTGTTTCAGTGGGGTGGTGGGGATGAAAAGACTGAATGAAGTAGCTCAGGAGAAAATGGGGAGAAGGAAGTAGACCCAGTGTGTAGAGAGATGTTATAAAGGGCAAGTTTTGCTATAAAGGGAAGCAGGGGAATAGAAAGGGGTTTTTGCTACCACTAAATCATGAGTATTTTCTTGGGTCTCTAAAATTCTTTGTATATCATAACCTATACTTTTTGTGGTGACACTACAGTATAAAAGTAATGCATGCATAATTTATACTACTGTATATAATGTGAATAATTACATTCGTGTAGTCAGACCTTACATGTTCAGAGCATTGCTGAGAAGCCAAAAGGAAATCATCTCTAGCGGTCAAAACAATTCCCGTGTATTCCTAGCTAGATTACACACTTCACTCTCTACAGGACTCTCCAAGATCTTCTCATTTTTATGTTTAATAAAGTTATATTTTGTTTCACAAAGTTCTTAAAAGCTTCACAGCCTAAGTCTTCAAGAAACCAGAAGATGACAATTAGAAGGTTAGGATGGAGAAAGGGTGAAGGATGCGGTTGGGTTTGTGGAACAGCTATAGAAACTCTAAAGGCACAGCTGTTCGTGGCCACCCATGGAGAGGCACACAGCACAAGCTGTTGTGTTCAGTTGCACAGGTTGGTCACTGCACAGGGCTCCCTGCACAGAGCTGTAGCCATCCAGGGGGAGGGGCACCTTTTAGTCACATGAAGGTGTCATGTCATCCACTCATCAGGATCATGTTCTCAAGGCTGTGTGCACCTCAAGGCTCTCTCTAATTCATCCTCCCAGAGGGTGTGCCTTTTTCTAATTTGCATAAAAGAGTAGAGGCTAGCAATAGCTGTGGTCTAGCTCCTAGACACATTGTATTTAGAATAGTGACCTTAAATCAAGAAGATGCTAACTTTTCTTCACTGTTTAGACTGTAGAGATGTAGAGCTCATTTATCTTCGGTGTTTGAAGGACAAGCTTTAGGTATCTCGAACATTAAGTTAGTTGAAATATCATAAGGACACCAGATAAATGGTTTTATTAGCTCTAAGTAGTTCATTCTAGTATTTCGTAAATAAGGAATTCTTTTTGGTCAAAATAATACTGGAAACAAGGAAGGAATAATCCTTTTGGGTTTTACCTACTTGGGGAAGAACCTGGCTTTACTAATTAAGTATCAAGAGATGATACAGAATCACATATGTGCCAGAACTGGTAGCACTCTATCCTGTAGAAACAGTCTGGGATTCTTGGTGAGTCTGCATTATTAAATATATTATTCTCCACATCTACAAGCCATCAAAATGACAATTCCCCAAGTGATCTTCTGTCAGGCTAAGAAAAGGATCTTGGCAATACTGTGGCTTTGTTACAGGAAAGCGGTCCCAATCCAGACCCCAAGAAAGGATTCTTGGATCTCTCACAAGAAAGAATTCAGGGCGAGTCCGAAGTGCAAAGTGAAAGCAAGTTTAAGAAAATAAAGGAATAAAAGAATGGCTACTCCATAGACGGAGCAGTCCCGAGGGCTGCTAGTTGCCCATTTTTATGGTTATTTTTTGATGACACGCTAAACAAGGGGTGGATTATTTATGCCTCCCCTTTTTAGACCACACTGGGTAACTTCCTGACATTGCCATGGCATTTGTAAACTGTCATGGTGCTGGTGGGAGCGTAGCAGTGAGGACGACCAAAGTCACTCTCGTTGCCATTTTGGTTTTGGTGGCTCCTTTACTGCAAGCTGTTTTACCAGCAAGGTCTTTGTGACCTGTATTTTGTGCTGACCTCCTATCTCATCCCGTGACTTAGAATGCCTTAACCGTCTGGGAATGCAGCCCAGTAGGTTTCAGCCTCATTTTACCCGGCTCCTATTTAAGATGGAGTTGCTTTGGTTCAAATGCCTCTGACAGCTTTGCTTGACATAATCTTCCTCCAAGAACCCAGTGCGGATGCATTTCTGAATTATAGAAACCACAGGGAAAAGTCCTTGCAGAAACTCATGCAGCCCATGTACATTTTACTAACAAAACAGAGTTTAGGAGAAAGAAAAAAAAAATTAAAACCTACCTTGTGCATCTGAATACTAAGGCATGAGTTAGGGATTTTGAAAAGCTGTAGGTTAGGTTGTGCACTCCCCACTCCCCTAAACTTCAAAGCTTTAGACAATTCAGATAAAATTTCCCCTCCCACCTTTCCTTCCTCCCTCCTTCCGTCCTTTCTTTCCTCTTTCCCTCCTTCCCTCCCTTCCTTCCTTTTCTCATCAAATTATCTGAATAATGTCTCCCTCTCTATTTAGTAGAGTTTCCAGGTATGACAGCTCATTGCTATTTTTCCCCTCTTAACTTATCTAGAAAAGGGGAAAGAGGCCACTTGCACTGTGATCATATGCTTTGTTGCCCATAAAAAATTTTTTTAAACTGGCCCGCTCAAGAAAGAATCCACGCAATGCAAGAAGGAAAAACAATGAATTCAGAGAAGCTTGTTCCCATCCACTTGGAACGCAGTCTCTTTTTGGCAATCTATTTGATCAGCTGGGGGAAAGCATTCTTATTTACATAAACTCCTGATCCTTTGTGTTTCAGGATGGCACCATTCCAGGGATGTGGTTTCCATATGAATGGAGACTAAAGGCCCCCAGGTGCCCATCAGACACCTAATAGAGATAGCTTCTCTAGGCTGTCCAGGAATGTCTGGTTGTTTTCATCTCTTACAATCTTGCAGAATGATCTAATATTTGCAAATGCTTATGCCCTCTTTAACAATTCAATGACCAAATAAGAAATTAATTTAGAAAATAATTGTCTGAAAAACTTGTATGCCTACTGCATATAAACTCTCCTACTGGGTGCTACAGGGATTACAGAGATAGCTCGGCACTTGAGAAACAGACAGGTGAGAAGAAGCACCTAAACATTAATCTTCTTCCTGGCTGGGTGGTGTCGTACTTACAATCCCAGGACTTTGGGAGGCCAAGGCAGGAGGGTTACTTGAGACCAGGAGTTTGAGACCAGCCTGGGTAACATGGTGAGACCTCTGTCTCTACAAAAAGTAAACAAAACCTAACCAGGTGTGGTAGTGCACACCCATAGTCTTAGCTACGCTGGAGGCTGAGGCAGGAGGATTGCTGGAGCCCAGGAGTTTGAGGCTGCAGTGAGCTATGACTTCAGCCTGGGCAACAGAGGAAGAACCTCTCTCTAAAGAAAAAAAGAAAGAAAGAGAGAGAGAAAGAGACAGAGAGAGAGAGAGAGAGAGAGAGAGAGAGAGAGAGGGAGGGAGGAAGGGAAAGAAAAGAAGAAAGAAAGAAATTCTCTTCCTCTTACACTGAGCACACCAGGAACACAGGCAATGCTTTTTCTCTATATGCTCTACATCACCTAAATATAGTGTTGAGGACATAAACTAGTGATCAATAAATGGTTCTTGCAGTGAATTTCCATAATCAAAACCCACGGTAATCACCAGCCAAATTTTGCAGGAAACAAGCACTCCTTTCTCTCATTGTCCAGGGGCAGAGCAGATGGGGTGGCATATAAGGGCCACATAACCTTCCGTGGTAGGAAGTGATGTCAGACAAGAGGTTGTGAATATTTCATGTGGTTCAAATGAAAAGCACATTTAAGGAGACAGAGATGGTAACTGAGACATTGCTTATTGAAGAAGAGAATCTTTCACATCTGAAAAAACTCAAGTGCGTTAGAAGGTTTGACTACTCATGGCAAAATAGTTTTTGTGCTGATTTCACACTCTTACTGGTTTCTACTAAAAAAATGGAGCTTATCAACCACACAGGTGTCTACTCACTTACGGTTCTCACAGCTGGGATTGGACCACAGAGAAAGAAATAAAAGGCCTCCTGAGGCAATCACCAGCTCCTCTGCATCTAGAATCTGGCTCCAAAATGTTGCCTGCATTTACTTACTGTCTCTGTACTTGTGTCTTCTCTGAAGAACAATGCAAACTTCCAGCTGGGTTAAACCCAATTTAGCACAGCACTGTCCTTTAGATATTTTTAAAAACGTAAAGAGAAATGACCACTGTTCTCACGCTGTAATTTCAAAATGGCAATTTCCCTACTATATACTTGTTAAAAGTGAAAATTTTTTAAAAAGGTAAAAGGAAAAAAAAACCCCACTCAGCTGCTCAGTGAGGCAGAGTTAAAATATTCTGCAGAAACAGCACTTATGAAACAGGCAGAACCCCTGGGGCTACCAATTCATGAACACACAACTGGCAGTACAAGACAGGTGTATTGTCGTAGACTCATCACCCAGAAAAGCATTATTATTTACTTTTAACAATAAACATTTTATGATGGCACTCCGTTTTAGTGATAAATGACTGGGGAAAATAAAAAATGTGTATAGCAGAATCAAATATAGGCCCTCCCCGGGGGTTTCACTGGCTTTCTCTCACAGCTGCTGGCTACATTATTTCTTTTCCACTTACATTTTTACAGCATGGGGTTGGGGCGGGGGGGTGGCTCTTGGTTTTCTGGTTGTACCTGTCAGATTTGTTAATCAAATGAATCCAGTCCTACAAACGATGAGCCTGTGACAGCTGGCCTTTGGGGTTGGATTCTGCCCTGGGCAGCAAAGTGTCCCTTATTTGGGTATTTTTTTCCAGGTTGAAAACTCGGCACTTAAAATTTAGCATCTTACCACTGTGAAATAACAGGCATTCCGAAAGAACTTCGGCATCTGATGCCTTTCCGGGAACACTTGGGCCACTCTCCTTAACCTTTACCGGCAGTTTTAAATACTACAATGCAGGTACAAGCAGAAAAGCCAAGGATGCGGGCTATGCAAAGCCACTCTGTGACTCTACCTACTGCCATGGGAACGTACTTATGGATGTGGCATGTGAGTGTGTGTGTATGTGTGAGTGGGTTTGTGAAAGTGTGTGGATTCGTGCGAATACGTGTGTGAGTGCTTTGTGTGTATTTTTGGATGAATTTGTGAATGTACATGTGTGTTCATCTGTGTGTGTGTTTGATTATCTGCTTATGAGTCTGTATGATTGTGAACGTGTGAGTATATGTGTGCTGTTTGTGTGACTGTATGAGTGTAATGTGTGTATGAATGTATGTTTGAATGTGGGTTTGAGTGAATGTGTGGGTTGTGTGTGAATGTGTGTGTAAGTGAGCATATCACTGCGTGCATGTGTGTAGCTCCTTAAGTGTGTATCTGAATGTGGGTTTTATTTTTGTGCGCGGGAACGCACATTGTGGGTGTATTTGTCTATATGCATTTGTGCGTTGTGACTGTGTGTTGAGTGTGAGCGTTGTGAGAATGTGTATTTGTGTGTCATGAGTGTGTGCGCGTGTGTTTTTGTGCATATGTGCGCGCATTGTGTTTGTGTGCATTTGTGAGTGTATTTTTGTGCGTCTGAGTGTGTGCATTGTGGATCTGGGTGAATGTACTGGTCTGCGTGTGTGTGGGTGTGCGTGTGTGTGTGCGCGCGTTGTGCGCGAGTGTGCGAGCGCGTGTGAGCGGGTGTGTGGTGCGGCCGGGCGCCTCCACCTCCCTGATCCGCCCCATCCCGGCGGGCGCCCGAGCAGAGGCAGCGGCCCGGGCCGGGGCGGGCGAGGGAGGGACGCGAGCCGGGGCAAGCGGGCTGCGCCACCGCCGGCGCCGCGCCGACTTTGCCCTTTAAATCGGTCTCCAAGCCGATTACAGCTGAGCTCCCACGTGACGTTTTACCTTCTGTCTCCCGGAGCGCGTTGCCCGAGGACAGTCCTTCCCCGGCTGCCGCCCCAGCCCGCCGCGGGGGCTCGGCTCCCGCAACTTTGGGCGAAGCGGCGGCCGGCTCGGGCGCCCTCGCGGGGCCGCGCTCCACGCGGGCGTTGGGGGCTTGGGGGGCTCCGGGGGCTCGGCCGGGAGGGTGGTGGTTAGGGCGGAGAGCGTGCCTCGGCCCCAGCCCGCGCCCCTGCCACCGCGCGCCGCGGCCTCCCGAAAGCGGGCGGGGTGCCCTGCGCGCGGCGTGGGGAAAGGGGGCGCCCTTCGCCGGCCGGGACCTGAGCGGTCGCGCCCTCGAGGGAGCCAGCTGGGCCATGGCCGCGAGGCAGGGGTGAGACCGGCGGCCACCCGTGAGCCCTCCGCACCCGCACCATGCAGAAGAGCGTGCGCTACAACGAGGGGCACGCCCTGTACCTGGCCTTTCTGGCGCGCAAGGAGGGCACCAAGCGCGGCTTCCTGAGTAAGAAGACGGCCGAGGCGAGCCGCTGGCACGAGAAGTGGTTCGCCCTCTACCAGAATGTGCTCTTCTACTTCGAGGGCGAGCAGAGCTGCCGCCCGGCGGGCATGTACCTCCTGGAGGGCTGCAGCTGCGAACGAACGCCCGCGCCACCCAGGGCCGGCGCCGGGCAGGGAGGCGTCCGAGACGCGCTGGACAAGCAGGTACCGCGCGCCTTCTCTCCGCGGTCTCCCAGCCTTGATCGCCGCACTCCCTTGCCGTCCTAATCCGGGGATCAGGGGTCGGGGGTCGTGAAAGAGTGCGGGGACTATGCTCCGAAATCCCCCCGCGTCACCAGTGGCGGGACATCTCCACGCTCCTTCCGATCTTCATCCAGGGATTCTCCCATCTCCATACCCCTCCACCCCACTGCCAAGTGATCAGTCAGAATAGTGGCCCGACTTGCTTTCATTACCCTGGTAGAGGTCGAGTCGTTTCAGCTTCTCTGCCAACCATCTATTGCTTCTCTAGACCTGGCTCGCCAGATTTTTGTCTGGTGACATGTATTGACACCTGTTGGGTGTAGATTGGCAAGACGGAACTAACTTATTTGGAAAAGTTTGATTTCTGCCATACCCGGCTGGCGCGTGTAGATTTCTTTGCCTGCAGATGTTTGACCACTGGTTGGGCTGGGAACAAGCGGGGCTCCCAAGCCGGACAGACACTTTCTGTTGGTCATTTTCAATCAGTCTTTGTGATTTCGGTCAGTTGGCCTTGCTAACATTTGACCTGCTGGGTGTAATTATGAAGGTAAATGTGTATTCATATTCCTCAGGATTAATATTTGGTAGCCACATTCTTGCTATGTTTAAAAATGTGGGCATTTTTAAAGAACGCTTCTGTACTTTTAAATGAATGCTTTGAAAATGAATGCGACCTTTTAATTCTGGGTCATAATTTTATTAGTTTTGCTGTGTGCTCATGGTCGCGGGGTGGGGGAGAAAAACCCTTTAAGTCTTAGTGATCCCAGCCCCTCATTCCTGCAAACACAAAGTTTGTATGTTTCCAATCACCGTTTGGTTATTAAAGTTAAAGCAGACTAATTTTATGCCCCTAATGTTCTCATTTAGCTTCTCAATCCCCACCTTGATATGAAAAAGGCTGATTGTTTTTGCTGTTGCGTAAAAATATTCGCAGCTGAATTTTCCATGTGAGTTCAGATCAGACAGCATCTACCGCACACCACAGAGGCTGTGGGAGGTGCTAGCAATGGAGTGATCCGTAAGATGCCTACCTAACCCTTTGGGGCTCATAAAACAATGTGTAAAATTAAGAGGAGTTAAAACTAGACCGACCGGAAGTTTGAGTTGTTTTCACTATAAATCATTAACAGACTTAAGTGATTAAACTTGTTATAACACTTATAAATCTGAAAGTTTAAATATGCTCTTTAGTTTCTGAGGGCTTGTTCAGAGTCATTTGAAAAACTGATTTCCAACTTTATAGATATAGATACTAGAAATATAAACATAAATTTCAAGTCATGCATTTTAGAATTTAAATTGGGAGAAGAGTTTTGAGGAAACATTTTTTTTCAGGAATATATATAAGTAACATTCTATTGGTGGGATTTTTTTTAAGGTATGTGTTCCAAGGCCCCGCAGGAACCAAAATGAATAGGTTTCTAAATGTTATTATGTCTAAAGTAGAATAGGGTATTTTAAATTACTCAGGATATATATCATTTACTTAATCTCAAATTATTTGTTTTCTTCATATTTATATTAATATAAGATAACCACTTTTGATTTTTTTTTTTTCAGTTAGGGGTGGGGAGTTGTTACCTGTTACAATTCATATGGCTCTCTGACTTGCTAATGTTATATGGAAACCAACATTTTTCTACTTGGAAAATATCTGGACTGTAATCTTCAAGACTGTTTTCTTTCTTGCACTTTAATAAGGAAACATAACTTCCAAATAGTTTGACTTTCATGCCACTTTCTAATGGTTGTCCTAAATAGGCCATCTAATGAAAAAATTGTTTTCCCTTTTTATGACCATGCAAATGATGAGTATTTCTCAGTCATTTTATTCATCTTCAAGAGGTTAGAAATTAGAATCTTTGGTGTTTGTAGATAAATCTGAGATGTAGAGAAGCAAGCATTCCAGAATGGATTAGGAGTTGGGCTGGGAAACCTTCCACATTTTGTCTTGCATTAGATGTGCTGCTGTGAGTTGGGTTAGCTTAGCCCACTGATGCTTTTCTCTGGCACTGCCAACTGGGTGTGTTTGAATAATTAAGAAGAAACTGTGAAAATAAGAAACAAGGAGAAACATTCTACCTTAAATCTACAGTTTATCCAGTTGGTTACCTCTCAGCTAATTTATGTTGCTGAGGTGCTTAGATCATCCAGACACTGAGACACGAAGGATCTGTGGAGGATGTGAGGAGATGAGCACATCCCAAGGTTTGCTTCTTTCTCCTTATATGCTTCTGGAGCTTTCCATATCAATATCTCCCTCAACACTATCAACACAGTTGAAGGTTAGGGCTTGAAACAGGACTTAGTGAGGCAGAGTCATTTTTCTTCACCAAGTTTCCGTGTTATTTCTTTAAGCACATCTCTTAATCTTTTCTCTTTTTTTCTGTTAATGAAATCTCTGTTTCCTAATATGTAAAAATTAAGAATTTGGCTAAGTTGGTTTCCAATTACCTTTCAATAATGGCATCTTCTATTTCTAAGGTTATGACAGACAGGGTGAGCTTTTTGCAGTGTGGAGAATGTGAAAGACCATTTCACAAGATTCAGAGATTACCAGTGTTTGTAATAAATACTGCATCTGAAAAGCCGAGGACAAGCAGGTGATTGAAGTGGACATTCTGATAAATTAGTTAGGTCAGCAGATGTGCAAACCTATAGTAACATCATTGCCTGAGGCAGAGACATTCTTATTACTCACATTGGAGGGCGACATATTTATTGTAATCCCCTTGACAGTTACAATAGTTGATGTAATTATTGCTATAAACTGCCTCTAAGCATTCTTGGGAGCTTAAAGTCCACATATCCTTCAATGATTTTTATGCTTATTAGTTGTGTTTTTAGGTAAGTTACAAGAAGAAAACACCCATTGGTTTGCTTCCTGTAAATAACAATTCAAAATAAGTTGGTTGACAACAACAAAAAAATCCGTTTTTTTTTTTTTTTTACACTTGGACTTAAATTGTTTCCAGTTAAGCAGAAAAAAGAAAGTCACTTTCCAAATATGCTTAGATTGTAGGAATATTTGCATTGCTCTATTTTTTTCATAGTGTTCTCAGATTTCACTTTGATGAGTCTTTGGAGGATTGCAAGGCTCTCTTATCAGCCTTCCATAGTGACTACTTCTTTGGGATAGCAATGGTGATATAATCAAAATGAGATCAGTTAAAAACAATTTTAAGTGGTTTATTTTCTCCAAAAGTGTTGTTCCTTTTCTTAAAAAGGTGTCCGATGGCACTTCTTTCTAGTTAAGCTCCATTTGTGGAAAATGAAAACCTCCCGTTTTGTTCCAGGTGAAGGAGAAAGGGAAGTTGTATTTAGCAAGTACCTTCTACATGGTAGGCTCTGTGCTCTTGGTGGCTGTTATCCTCTCTTACCTCATCTAATTTGAACTTCAGCTTTTGGAGATGATGAGTATTAACATCATCGTTATTATTACCTATTGCTAACACTGAAACTCAAAGACTTCTGGGGAGATGATCAAAGTCCAGTTGAAGATATAAAGACTAAATTATGTTGAAGAGTTCCTTACTAAGACTGTTTTTAAATCCACTGAGCAAATCTAGATGGATGGGGGCTTGGGGTATAGGATGTGAATCACTGTTTTGTTTATTCTTATTTCCTTTTCAAAACTATTTAAATGGCAGTTGTAATTCTTGAGAAATACGATTGCAGACCATTACATGTTCAAAGAAAAACGGGATTTATTTTTAAACAAGCAGTTTTACATGACATTACTTCAGGAATTCATTTACTTCAGGAATGGGGTACCTTTAAAAATATTTGCATTTAGGGTGAAAGTACACATCCCAGTTAGTCTGCTCTGTTTCAGTGGCAGTATCTGTCTTGCCTACTAGCAGGAGAAGACACATAGCAAAAAAGCCACCTTGATTCTTATTTTTCTGGTGGTGGTAAATGTTCTCTTCAGCCTGATTTCACTTGTTTTGGGGGGTAAAATATCTCTTTCGCTCTGGAGGTTTAAAGAAGTAGACATTTGCATTTGTGCTGAATTAAACATGTTGGTTTAATTTTAAAGGGATTAAAGGCTATGTGATTTCCTGTCACTTCATTACTAGTCATTTTAGCCTTCCTAAATTGACCACAAGCAGAGGATTTTAATCATCGAATGAATTAGGCAGAGCTGCGTGCGAACTCTGAAATATTTGTGGGAGATGGAGAGTGTGGATGGTGGATTTTCATACTACTTCACGTTGTCTAATTATAACCAACTCAACTTTTGTTTACTGAACACAAAGGGAAAATGGAATAATGATATTTGCTAAATCTTATACAATGTTAAAAAATATAATTTAGGGAACAAAATAATTTATTACTTAAACTTTGTAATTATCCTTCTCTTTAAAGTTAAATGAAAAAAAAATCTCATGGATTAGCAAAATTGAGTTATTTTAATTTTGGCTACACTAAGCCTTACTATTTAGATTGTTGTGTAAGAATTCAACACAGAAAAGTCCATCCCTGATGTGACAGATGTATTAATACATAAAAATGCATTATTGTTGTGAACAACTATTTTTCTGTGGGTTTCATTAAGTGACAACTAAGCGCATTGTCGAGGGGTAGAAAATACTTGTAGTGTTATAACAATTTTTCCCTTCTTTTGACAATTAAAAAATAGAGAAATTTTTCTCCCACTGGATGATGACAAGACCTAAAGCATGTGTGATAACCAAATGTTTCTGGTTTTAGCAAGCAAATGTCAGTGGTTCATTAAAACAATTGCTGATATTGCTGTCTGTTTAATGCAGATTATATTTTTAAATGGATTTTTTTCTGCAGTTTTCAATACTACTTAAATATGCATGCCACAGTCAGTATAATTTTAATTTTTTGGAATGAAATTACTTAGTCTTTATGATTATTTTGTAATGAAATAAGTCAGATTGACCAACCATATGGATTTGCTCAAGTCTTAAATTCTACTTTTCACAGGTTTAAAGTGGCTTTCTATTTTTATACCTATTTATTTGTTCTACAAGAAAGGGATATATGTTTGTGTGTGTGTGTGTGTGTGTGTGTATGTGTGTGTGTGGTGTTTATTCAGTTTGTTACCCTTCTACTATTTTCTACCGTTGAATATTAAACCTTTGTTAGGCGGTTATATATTGGAGTTTGCAGATTTTGATTTGTACATTAACATTTCAAGACCTGAGTTATAAATCCCATCTATCTATAATTTGGGGAGCTTTATTTTTCAGGACTAAGGATATGGAATGATTCTGTTAAATTACTCACAATATAAATTCCTCTCTGAAATTAGTTTACCTTAAACAAAGACTGTAAATAGTAAAATTTTATTGATATTTAAATGAAACTAGAAATGATATTTGTTAAATATCAACATAGCACTGTGATAAATGTTTGATTATTTTATAACATTTGGCCTTTATTCTAAAATCTAACCATTATTCTAAAATTATCCATTACATTTTTATTGGTGCAACTTTTAAATTTTAGCTGATTGAGAAGTTATAAATACATGAATTTGGTTCCGCCAAAGGGAATATGTTAGCATTTTTGCCCAAGGAGTTAAAAATGTAATTGTGTATATATTTAGAAAAAAACAGTAGCAGGTTTGTTGTTGTTGTTGTTGTTGCAGAAAATATTGGCATCAGTAGGTGGAACAGAGATGCAAAAAGCACATGGACTCACAGTTTTATTTTTTTACTGGCACTTGAAAAACTAATGATTTAATGAAAAATAAGGATTCAAATCATTTTTCCTAAAACTTATTACAGTGACTACAAAATGCTTCAAATATACTTTTAGGGAGAAAGCAGGAAAAAAATAACAAGTTTGAGTTGGTCTGTGTTTATTTAACTAATATACTACAGTGTTTCTTTTCTTTGTTAAAAAACTGTAAAGCAAGAAATGAGACAGAAAGTTGGGGAGGCCTATATAAGAATAATTTACAGCTTTAGATTAAATAAGTTAATCAGAATTTTAATTCTCATAAGATCTGAGAAGATAAAGATAAAATGATGTAAAAAAAGCAATCCTTAAAAATAAAATTTGTTGGCCGGGTGTAGTGGCTCACGCCTATAATCCCAGCACTTTGGGAGGTCGAGGCAGGTGGATCACCTGAGGTCAGGAGTTAGAGACCAGCCTGACCAACATGGCGAAACCCTGTCTGTACTAAAAATACAAAATTAGCCAGGCGTGGTGGAGCATGCCTGTAATCCCAGCTACTCAGGAGGCTGAGGCAGGAGAATCACTTGAACCTGGGAGGTGGAGGTTGCAGTTAGTCGAGATCACGCCATTACACTCCAGCCTGGGCAAAATAAATAAATAAACACATAACATCTCTTGGTAAAGAAATAAATAAAAATAAAATAAAATTTATTGATCCTTTAGTGCTTAATTAAAAAAAAATTCAGGTCACAATATCTGTTTTTAGCTCTTATGATACTTACCAGTATGACATTGTGAAGACCTGTGGTGATGGAAACAGCAGGGATATGAGTGGTACTTTTTATTATTTTCAGGGTACTGAAGTGTTTCATTTTGTCATTGTCTGATTTAATTTAGACATGCCTGATTCATTTCCTGGACTGTATTTATAAGCCCATGCCATTTGTGTGACTAATGTAAACAGTGGGGTCAGTTCTTTCAAATAGAGGGACTGTTGAAAAGCTAGGAGGTTTCCTGCATTTAGCAATGTGGAAATAGGGAGGTGATAACTTGGTCTAAGGCTCAGTAGATAACATTATAACTGATCACAAAAGAAGTCATGACGAGATAATGTCAGTGATTCATAGGAATAGGAGGCCACTCATATTAATATGAATTTGCTTTCTTTTAAGAATGTAAGAATATCAGTTTCTAGGTGAAGTGCTGGTGTTGTGTATGGTTCAGTTCAGGATTTAAACTGCATAGGATTCAGTCTTGGCTCTGCTACTTACCAGACACATGATCTTGAGCAATTTCTCTTTCTAAGCCTGGCTCCCTGCCTGGAATATGGAGATCCGGATAGTACCTGCTCCATCAGGTTGTTGTGAGGCTCACAGGCCAAGCTCTTGGCATAGGCCTGGCACATGGTGAATGGTCAGCACATTTGCCAGCTAGCATTTTTATTACTCTCTTTGATATTCCTCTTTTTATTTTCATTATTAGGATGACTTAGAAAGTATTTTCCTTTCCTTTCCCTTTCAAAAATACTTTAACACACACAAAATAGAATATTTCAGGGAATGCCAACCTACTCATCCTCCAGCTTCAACATCTTCATCTTTCTGCCATTCTTGTTTTATCTGTCTCCATGTGTACATTTTTTTTTTTGTTAGACCACTTTAAAGCAAGTTCCAGACATTGTATTATTTCACTTGTAAATAAGGAACTTTTTTCCTTTTTGGCATAGCACTTTTTTGGCACTGGAGATTGCACTGGATATAGCTCTGAAAAGGACTATCTTGGAAAGAGTTCATAATGAGTTTCTGTTAATAATGTGTGCTATTATAAAGGTAGCCCTCTTTTTTGTTTCTTTCATGTTATAATAAAGGAAAAAACTTAAGACAATAGTTGTGAAGACATAAAGGAGATGGAATTGGCTTTTAAATAAGTCCTAGTATGTTAAATCTTAAAGGGAAGGAAGTTTGAATCAATTTTAAAAATTGAGACGGAGTCTTGCTCTGTCACCTGGGCTGGAGTGAAGTGGCGCAGTCATAGCTTACTGAAGCCTTGAACTCCTGAGCTCTAGCGATCCTCCTTCCTCAGCCTCCCAAGTAGTTGGGACTACAAATGTGTGCCACCACACCCAGCTAATTATTTATTTTTTTTTGGAGATGGGGTCTCCCTGTGTTGCCCAGGCTCGTCTTGAACTCCTGGCCTCAAGCAATTCTCCTACCTTGGCCTCCCAAAGTGCTGAGATTACCAGCATGAGCCACTCTCCCTGGCCAAAATGAATTGCATAACCATGATCATGGTGTAAAGTGTTTTCATGATTTGATCCCACTCTAAGGGGCAATTAAATCATTGGTGATCCTCTTACTGAGATCTTCTTTCCATTTACCCAGCTCCTCCAGCTGTGCAGGACTCTTTTTTTTTTTTTTTTTTTTTTTTTAAGTTGGAGTCTCGCTCTGTCACCCAGGCTGGAGTGCAGTGGCGCCATCTCAGCTCACGGCAATCTCTGCCTCCCAGGTTCAAGTGATTCTCCTGTGTAAGCCTCCTGAGTACCTGGGATTACAGGTGTGCACCACCACACCCGGCTAACTTTTGCATTCTTTTTTTAGTAGAGACAGGGTTTCACCATGTTGGTCAGGCTGGTCTCGAACTCCTGACCTTGTGATCTGCCCCCCTTGGCCTCCCAAAGTGTTGGGTTTACAGGCGTGAGCCACCACGACTGGCCAGCACTCTTTTTTCTTTTTTCTTTTTTTTTTTTGAGACAGAGTCTCACTCTGTCACCCACGCTGGAGTGCAGTGGCGCGATCTTGGCTCACTGCAAGCTCCGCCTCCAGGGTTCACACCATTCTCCTGCCTCAGCCTCCCAAGTAGCTGGGACTACAGGCACCCGCCACCACGCCCGGCTAATTTTTTTTTGTATTTTTAGTAGAGACGGGGTTTCACCGTGTTAGCCAGGATGATCTCGATCTCCTGACCTCGTGATCCGCCCGTCTCGGCCTCCCAAAGTGCTGGGATTACAGGCGTGAGCCACTGCGCCTGGCTAAGCACTCTTATTTAGAATCAAGGATAAGAGTTTCCTACACAGATGCCAATAATACTTCTTCTTCTTTTTTTTTTTTTTTTTTTTTTTTTTTTGAGACAGAGTTTTGCTCTTGTTGCCCAGGCTGGAGTGCAATGGTGCGATCTTGGCTCACTGCAACCTCCGCGACCTGGGTTCAAGCGATTCTCCTGCCTCAGCCTCTCGAGTAGCTGGGATTACAGGCATGCACCACCACCCCGACTAATTTTGTATTTTTAGTAGAGACAGGATTTCTCCATGTTGGTCAGGCTGGTCTTGAACTCCTAACCTCAGGTGATCTGCCCGCCTTGGCCTCCCAAAGTGCTGGGATTACAGGCATGAGCCACCGCGCCCTTTGCACAGTTTTTCAACAGTGAGAATGTCATCCATGAGCTAATGTCTCATCCAACTTTCACAATCAATTCTGAGACCCAACAGCTGGTCAATATTATTTTAGGGCAGTTACTAAGGCTTCATTAATCAAGTGTGTAGTTGGCTTTTTCTAGTATTGTTAAACTTTTATCTAGGGTTAGTTGGTTTCTGTCCTATGACTGATTGTTTTAGGCCCTTTTGATTGCAAGGGAGAGGTATGAACTAGAGTTGTCTTGAATAATGATCACCTCTGAGTGTTGAGGGGAACAGTGGGAATATTACAAGACAATATACAGGTGAGTAGTGCTCTTTATGGGGACTTAGCTCTTCTTTGGATATTGCTGCTGGCCAACCTTTCAGTGTGTTTATCCCCGTTTGCCTTCTCACTGAGTCTTTCCTCATAGGTTTTTTTCCCCTAACTTCAGGTTGTCATAACCCTCATGATACTAACTCAGTGTTGTGGTCCCTTTTCTCCTGCTTCAGTTTTCACTGCAGCATCTCTCATATCCAGGGTCATATTCTTGTGAGATAGAATCTGATTGTCTCAGTTCAAATTTGGGGGCCAGACAAAATCATCAGTCTCTGACCAGCCCGTGGCTTAACTGCGAAACAGCAGGGGCTATGGACGAGGGTGTTTCACAGAACGTTTAATGAGCATGATAGTAATTATTAACACATCTAGTGCATTCATCAAGCTAGTTAAGATTACTTTTACCAAACCAATGTTCATTCACTGTGATAGGCCACATTCTCTTCCTTCAGTAGCAGTTTTACATCCTCACCTTATCAACAAGATCTTACAATAATACACCATTTCTGTCCTCTGGTCCTGCGCTGTCACCTGTACCGCCCAGAGTCCATGTTCAAAATTTTTCTTTACTTTTTTATATTTTAAAAATTATTTACAATTGTTCTTGTAACAATAAATTAAAAATAAACCTATTTTTCAAAATGTAGCGTACATCAGAAAAGTACACACATCATAGGTGTGCAACTTGATGAGTTTTCACAAAGTGAATATTTTTGTAATCAGCACCCATATCAAGACATTGACACGATCAGCCCTCCAGAGCTAACCTCATGCCTATTCCTCTCCACCACCCCAACCGTGGGTAGCCACCATCCTTAATTTGTGACACCATAGAATGCTTTTGCCAGTTTTTGAACTTCCTATTCACAGACTCATGAAGTAAGTACTCTTTCATGTTGGATTTCTCTTCCTCAACATCATATTTGTGAGATTCATCCACGTTGTTGTTTGTTCCTTTTCATTTCTTTCTTTCTCTCTTTTTTGAGACAGGGTCTTGCTGGAGTGCAATAATGTGATCATGGCTCACTGCAGCCTCGACACCTCCTCAGGCTTAAGTGATCCTCCCACCTCAGCCTCCTGACTAGCTGGGACTACAGGCACATGCCACCACACCTGGTATTTTTTTTTTTTTTTTGAGATAGTTTCTTACTCTGTCATCCAGGCTGGAATGCAGTGGCATGATCATGGCTCACTGCAGCCTTGACGTCCTGGGCTCAAGTGATTCTCCCATCTCAGCCCCCCAAGTAGCTGGGACTATAGGCATGCACCACCATGCCTGGCTAATTTTTTTTTTGTATTTTTTTAGAGACAGGCTTTCGCCATATTGCCCAGGCTGGTCTCAACCGCCTGGGCTCAAGCAATCTGCTCCCCCTTGGCCTCCCAAAGTGCTGGGATTACAGGCATGAGCCACCGCACTCCACCCCAGCTAATTTTTATTTTATTTTATTTTATTTTTTATTTTTTTATTTTTTAGAGACAGTGTCTCCTTATGTTACCAAAGCTGGCAAACTGTTGGGCTTAAGTGATCCTCCCACCTTGGCCTCCCAAAGTGCTGGGATTACAGGCATGAGCCACTGTGCCTGGCCCCTTTTCATTTATAGGTAGTATTCCTCTGAATGAGTATACAAAGATTTCTTTATTCTGCATTTGGGCTGGTTCCAATTTGGAGCTGTTATAAATAATCCTGCTTTGAAAAGTCTTGTACAAGCCTTTTGGTGTACATACATGTGCATATTTCTGTTGGGTATATATACTCAGGAATGGAGTTGTTTCAAAGGGCATGCATATATTCAGCTTCAATAATTTTTGCTAAATAGTTTTCCAAGATAGTTCTATCAATTTATACTTCCACCAGCAATGTTTAAGAATTCCAGTTACTTTCCAACCTTGCCAACCCTTGGTCTTATCAGGATTTTAGTTGTAAGCATTCTAATAGGTGTGTAGTAACATGTCATTTTGATTTGGATTTTCATTTCTCTGATAAAAATGAGGTTGAGCACCTTTTCAAGTACTTATCAATCATTTGATTGGTCTCTGTTTTTTTCTTCTGAGCCAGAGTCTTGCTCTGTCACCCAGGCTGGAGTGCAGTGGTATGAGCTCAGCTCACTGCAGTCTTTGCCTCCTGGGTTCAAGCAGTTCTCCCACCTCAGCCTTCCGAGTAGCTGGGATTATAGGTGTGTGCCACCACACCCAGCTAATTTTTATGTTTTTAGTAAAGACAGGGTTTCATCATGTTGGCCAGGCTGGTCTTGAACTCCTGACTTCAAGTGATCCGCCCACCTCGGCCTCCCAAAGTGCTGGGATTACAGGCGTGAGCCACCGCACCAGCCTGTTCTCTGTTTCGAAGTGCTTGTTCAACCTTTACCCATCTTTTATTGAATTGTCTAATTGATTTGTAGGACTTAGAAATATTAAGTTAAACTATATGACCTACCATTTCTGTACATCAAAAATGGTTAAATATCATAATTTCATATTGTTTATCCTAATATATATGATGAGTCCTTTGTCAGTTATATGTATTGCAAGTATTTTCTCCTGCTGTGGTTTGCCTTTCTACTCTCTTAACGGTGTCTTTAATGAACAGAAGTTCTAAACTTTATGTAGTATAAGTTATCTCTTTTTCTTTATGGCATTTATCTGTCCATGAAATGAATGGAGATGAGGACAACATCTGAAGTTGTTTTATGTAGAAAGTGCAGGAACTGGGCCTCTCCCCTGCTGCTCTGATAGATCAAATTGTGGTTAAATCAAGCAGACAGATCACAGAAGACCCAACCATAGGTGGAATAGAATGTGCTTACAGTAGGTTGCGGTTGCCACCCCAGGATGTCTTCCTTTTAGAGGAAGTCTCCAAGGACAATTCTGAAAGACAAAAGTCATGATGTTCTTCCCTCCCTCATCCTCCTGTGATCTGAGGTCTTCCCTCCTCGGGTGCTGGGTTGTTGCTCTTCCTGCGCCTCCACGTATTCTGGGTATCTCATTCCAGTAGCACTAACTTCATGTTTTCCCAATAATTCCTTAGTCACACCTAGATGTTTTGTCTGGAAGGGACAAGGGCACTTAATAAAACTTATGCAGAATTAAGTTTGAATCCTGGAGGTCCCTTTAAGCTTTGCTGCTACTTGGAGGGCGAGCCAACCAGGCTGGCCTGGGGGTGCTATGAGGGAAAGAAAAATGCATCATGGGCAGCAATGGTCAGGACGGTATCCTGAATTTTCAAAACAGGTCTCTATGATACTCCATAATCACCTCGCTCCCATTTTGTCCTGACCATTATCCAGGAAGTGGCCAAGAAGTGATGATCCCTTTTTGGGGATAGTACATTCAATGATCAAAGTACCTTACTAAAGTGTATGGACCAGGAGGAGATGAGGGAGAGAGGGAGCTGGACAGCCAGTTCATTGTTGAGTATATAGATTCGTTCAAGAGCTACAATGGTGTGGCTGGAAACAGCTGACCAGTAATAATCCGAAAAGGTATCAACAGTGGTAAGGCAGCATTGATAGCCCTGAGAGGGGTTTGAAGGCCTGATGTAGCCAATCTGCCAGGAGCAGTAGTGGGTAATGCTCCTTGCAATATGACCTTTCTCATTGCAAGACTAATGGGTCAGCTTTTGGCAGGAGTCACAAGTCTGTCATTCATTGGTAGCCTCTGCATCAGAAACAGCCAGACTTGATGAATGGTGGGTTCCATCAGAAAACCAGTCCTTATTTGAGAGTATCTATGCAATTGTTCCAGACAGTTCGATCAGCAGCCATGATTTGTTTCCAGATTCACATCCACAAAGAAGGGTATCTTTAATCTGCCAGTCTGTAGTTTTCCAAGTGGTAGCACAAACAGCTATGCTGTTGGCAACAACCGAAAAGTCAGTTCTACCCCCGAATGAAGCAAGAACATCTGTCTGCAAGAACATCTATCTGCTTTTGCTTCAGCACAGCTGACACTGAAGCTGAGTAGCTACAGCGCCCTAGTGAACACCACTGGGTTTCAGCTTAGCCAAACCATCGGTGAACTAGGCCCAGGCATTTAGGAAATCTGTGCCAGGGCCTCATTGAGCCAGTGTCTTTGGTTCAGATATTAGAGTTGGGGATAAATTTTCCCCCAGAGGGACACTAGCTACTTTTTTAATAATGTAAAGCTAAGATACAGCTGAGGCCGCCAGACCAGCTCTATTCTTCAGTATGCCATTTCCATTCGACAAGCAAGGAGGTGTCCCTTCCCACCTTGTGAGTTCTTGATCTGACTTCATCTATCTTCAGATGGGAATTTAGGCCGGAGAGTCACAAAGTCTTTATGAATCGGTTTTGACAAAGACTCTGTGGCAGCAAACTAATAGTTGCCTGTATGCCTTGTAATTTTGATGAATGCTGGACATTGGGTGTGAAAAATCGTAGTGGTAATTTGAGGCCCTGTTATTTTTTTTTCAGAGAGGATTTACTTTTGCTTTCTTGCAGGCATTAGTGTGGGGGCACATTCTATTAATCCATTTTGGGATTGAGCTGGTCAGCTAGGTTTCAGGTTTTCTGAGAGCTTGTCTACTTCCAGTTTGCCCTAATTTCTAAAGTATAGCCTTCCCAGAGTCTTCTCTGGAATTTTGGGATATTTACACAACTCTTCCTCTTTTGGCTCCTCAGTCCCATGAGATTGTCAGGAACTCAGTGCTGGTCTCCTGCCTTTTAGCTGCTGCTTTCTGCTTGGTTTCTTAGCCTCCTGGCTCTGCACGCCAATAAAGTGGCAAACGCCTCTTTATCGAAAAGCTTCCCTGAGTGTCAGACTCACTGCCAGTGAACCTCCCTCCTCTCAGGCATCCTTGCTGCTCATGTCTTGGCTGTCTTGTTTGCTTAATGATGAGTTCAAACAGATTTTTTTTTTTCTTTTTGGCATTGTGTCCAGCTTTGAAAATTCTTCTTAGTGCGTGTGTCGTTGAGGGGTGGGTCTGCAACAAGCTACTTGGCCATTACTACTTAGCCAGGAGTTTTAATCTTGAGTTTAAAAGCATATGAAACTCTTTTTAAAACAGTGGAAAAGTTAACCCCCTTATTTTCTGGAAACTTACCTGTTAATTACTTCTAGCTCAATAATGATAAGCTAGTAATTAGTCAAATTACAACTAATCCTTATTTTATCAATTTAATTCTGAACATTGCTGAACATTGTACATTTGAACAAAAGAAAAGAAAAATATCATTTTGTAGTCATAAGACATTTTACAGCTATTTATCCTTATTTACTAATGAGTGGTGAGGTATATATTTTGAGGGTACCAAGCTGTGAGTCCCATTTATTCCTTACATAGTGGGTTTAGTTTAAACTTGGCTTTTAGGTATTTTCTCATACCTGATATCTGTCTGTTGATCTATTGTATATTTTAGTTGATGAACATTTAATTTAAAGCAATCATCTTTTTTTTTTTTTTTTTGAGACGGAGTTTTGTTCTCATTGCCCAGGCTGGAGTGCAATGGCACGATCTCCAACCTCCGCCTCCCAGGTTCAAGCGATTCTCCTGCCTCAGCTTTCTGAGTAGCTGGGATTACAGGCATGTGCCACCACACCCGACTAATTTTGTATTTTTAGTAGAGATGGGGTTTCTCCATGTTGGTCAGGCTGGTCTCAAACTCCTGACCTCAGGTGATCCACCCGCCTTGGCCTCCCAAAGTGCTGGGATTACAGGTGTAACCACCACGCCCGGCTAAAGCAATCATCTTTCTGTAGGCCTGTAGTATACTAACTTGTTAATTTTTATGAACATTGTTTTGTGTTATACGACTGTAAGAGCCACTCTTTGTTTAATGCTAATTTGGGGTTAACACTGAGGCATGCACTTTCCATATATTATCCCATTTAATCCTCACAACCACCTTGAGATATCAGTATCTTGTTTTGCAGGAGGCTTAGAACGGTTTAGTAATTCACTTGGGGCAAACCTTTACGAAATGGCAAACCTGGTTAATAGAACCAAAATTAATAACAGCATTTGGTGAGCATGGCCCTTAGCTAGGAGCTGGAAGTATATAACTAGGAAGGAAATGTTTTTGTCTTCAGTCTCATTCTCCTCCATCGGAACTAGTATACATAACCTCTATAATCTCTATGTGCTGGGTTCTGTGCTGAGGGCCTGAGAACTTAGACATGATAGAAAGTCGGGTGTTGGGGAACAGCAGTCTGTGTCTGAAGAACCCACTGTCTTCCTCCTGAACCTCTTGACTTGCAGCTCAGGCTTCCTTCTTGGTGTCTGCCCAGCTCCACAAGGTGCCTGGCACTGAGGATGTAGAAAACACAGCTCTTTGCCGTTTCAGACCTTGCCTATGGTACAGCTCTTGACTCCGTGAGGACATTTCTTACATTTTAAGGTGGGTCCACATCCTCTGTGCCTTGATTTATGCTACCACTTTCTGGCCACTAGAAAGTTCTAAGTTTCAATCTCCCCAGGCCCAGAGCAGTGAATACCATGTTGCCACACATTGGCAAACTGCAACCTGTGCCATTCACTGTGTGCGTAATTAAATGAGAAGGGGTCCTTAGATGTACATGGTCTTTCTGTTTTGGTCCATAGCGTCCTCTTGTATTTGTTTTGTTGGCAAGGTTCACCTATTTGGAATTGTGACATCAAATGGCTGAATAGTAGCATCCTGTGATTGTAGAGCCCCAACTGTCGTTTCCTCCCATGAACATGAGTATAGAAATTTATTTTCAGCATGGTGGTTTGAGCAGAGTCCATCCTCCTTCCTGTTTACCTGGCCTGTCCTTTGTTATAGCACGGAAGGAGCCATGGCATTCCATTTGGATGAATGGTACCAAACGTCCAGTATATTGAGGCCAAATTCCCAAGTTCAAGTTCTAGATCCATCTTTGACAAACTCTGGATCCTCAAGCTTACTCATGTCTTCATCTGGAAAATAGGCATGATAATTTCTACCTAATAAAGAAAGTGGAATATTAAATTAACTGAGATAATCTTATGTGAAAGGTGTTTGTAAACTATAAAATGCTACCAAAATTTTATTTATTTATTTATTTATTTATTTATTGAGATGGAATTTTGCTCTTGTCCCCCAGGCTGGAGTGCAATGACACAATCTCAGCTCACTGCGACCTCCATCTCCTGGGTTCAAGCGATTCTCCAGCCTCTAGAGTAGCTGGGATTACAGGAACCCACCACCACACCCGGCTAATTTTTCTATTTTTAGTAGAGATGGGGTTTCGCCGTGTTGGTGAGGCTGGTCTCGAACTACTGACCTCAGGTGATCCGCCTGCTTCGGCCTCCCAAAGTGCTGGGATTATAGGCGTAAGCCACTGCACCTGGCCCAAAATGTTATTTTAAATTCTTCACAATTACATTTTTTCATTTAAGTGAGGGCAATTTAAAGAGCAAATCATTTGAAAGTTTGGATGCTACAGATGTGTATTCTGTTCATTTTATGGTCCATTTTGAGAACCAGATAGCTTATCAGCCTAGTTTGTAAGCATGTTTATGAGTCTGGGGTTTTTAAGCTCTTCAGAGAATGTTTAGTGGATGGTAAATTCCTTAAGAAATAGTTGGGTGATTACTTTTACTAACTGCAGGAAACTATTCCCTTAGAGGATAGGTGAGTGAAAGAGTTTCTTTGTCATGTGATTTCTTTCTGGTACGTAAATCCTTCTGACTGTGATAATTATATTAAATATATTAAAGTAAAAATAATAGGGTTTTCTTCAGAGGAAATACATAGCTAAATTGATATTTATGCTTTAAAAATGCAGTTTTTTAAAAAGAGAGTGTCTAAAATGTATACTAAAAGGAAAATAATGCAAGTCCACAGCTTACTCTTTTTTCTTCCTTTTAGTATAAAGTACCGTGTTAATAGAACATTTTTAAAAAGCAGTTTTTTATTTATAAAAGTAATGTCTATCATGTAAAATTTGGAAATCACAGAGAACTATATGAGAAAACTAAAATATTCTGAAATCCCATTCTTACCAGAAAACTATGTATTCAATTGTTGGAGAATTTTCTTCAAGGACTTTTTTCTATGTCTGTATATAATAAATAGACATTTTAAAGGGGGACAAGGCCAGGCACAGTGGCTCATGCCTATAATCAATTCCTGCACTTTGGGAGGCTGAGGTGGGCAGATCACCTGAGGTCAGGTGTTCGTGACCAGCCTGGCCAACATAGTGAAACCCTGTTTCTACTGAAAATATAAAAATTAGCTGGGCGCGATGGCGGGTGCCTGTAATCCCAGCTACTCAGGAGGCTGAGGTGGGAGAATCACGTGAACCCAGGAGGCGGAGGCTGCAGTGAGCCAAGATCGTGCCATTGCACTCCAGCCTGGGTGACAAGAGTGAAACTCCATCTCAAAAAAAGAAAAAAAAAGGGGGGGAAACAAAACTGGGATCATATTGTATATAGACTTTAGGATTCTGATACTTTACTGAATATTACATTGTGAACATTTTGCTTGCCAGTAATTATTTTTTGAAAACATTATTTTTAAGGACTGTACAGCATTCTATCACACAGATGTACAATAAACATTCCCCTACTGTTGGATATTTAGCCTGTTTTAATATTGAAAAGCTTTGTTTTGCTATTGTGATTCTGTAGTGAACATCAGGATGGCATTTGTGAATAAATTTGCAGGGTCGGTGGAGCACATGCAAAGAAATGAAGAAACAAAAAAGTGGGAAGTGAGAGTCTCCTTTTAGCTACTATGATTAGGGTAGTTCCCAATTTCTCCACCTTACTCAAGAACTATTTTATTTAATAAACACTCTACTTGCATTTCAAGGTAGCTTTGTAACTAATTGAAAAAATTCAACATAAGATGTAAATTTCTGGAATGAAAGTACAATCTGTGAATTAAAATATAGAAATGAAAGACCAAATATAGTAGTCTAATTTCTTGAAATAAAACTAAGTTTAAGTGCATTTTGGTGATATTGGGGGTGATATTCATTGTAATTAAAGTGCCTAGGGTTGTTATTAATGAGCTCCATATGAAGGCACAAAGTAGGAATGCCTCAAATTACCCTATTTAATTGGTTCTAAGAATACCTTCATTTTAATATTTTGCATTTTCTGAAATTAAGTTGTGTTTTCAATTATTGTGTACGTATGATTGATGTACTAATTATTTCCCTAAAATCTTCACTAACTTATGTTGCACTTTACAACACCATCTTAGAAACAAAGGAATGTGGCAGTTTCCAGATGAGAGATACTTGGCATTTATTTGTGTTTCAAAGATCTTTGCTGCATGTGTATTTGGAACAGCATACAGGTACTGTATAAAGGATGTCTATATTGCATCCTGTACTGTAAGCTTTGGCCTTTTATAATAATTAAATTTAAGGCTAGAGAATATCATGGCTATGTGAGAAAGAGGAAAATTTGGTGCTTGGCGTTTGAGGAGTATGCTCTGAAAACCTGCTTGGAAAGATGGCCGATGTTAGTACCAGCTAACCTTTACCCTGGTTGATTTTTATCTTTTTTTGTAACCCCATAGGACCACAAGATCTTTGCTCACTAAAAATCAAGATGCTGTTGCTGATTCTTTATACAGCTACAGCATTACCTACTCATTTGGCAGTGGGTTTTCATTTTTTCATATTCTTCCATTTGGCTTAGAGAATGGCTTATTTGACAGTTTGGTAATTTTAGCCCATCGTTAAATCTGATTTGTTACCTTTGTGATTTGAAAAAACCAAAACAAAACCATTCAGCACTCATGGATAAGGAAACTCATTCTTTCCTACTTTACTTTACTGTTGGTAAGGGCTGTCTTGCCTCCTCGGACTGACTGTTATCCTTTGCACCAAGAACATTGTGTCCCCAGGGCCCACCAGCCCTTCTCCATCATGGCTTTCCATGTGGCTTTTGGAAATGAGGGTGATTTTGGCCCCAGACAGTACTCTTGAAAGAATACTGGCTGGGTGCAGTGGTTCATGCCTGTAATCCCAGCATTTTGGGAGGCTGAGGTGGGTGGATCACTTGAGGTCAGGAGTTTGAGGCCAGCCTGGCCAACACGGTGAAACCCCATTGCTACTAAAAGAATATGAAAATTAGCCAGGCATGGTGGTGCACGCCTATAATCCCAGCTACTCGGGAGGCTGAAGCAAGAGAATAGCTTGAATCCAGGAAGCAAAGGTTGCAGTGAACCGAGATCGTGCCACTGCACTCTAGCCTGGGCGACTGAGCCAGACTCCATCTCAAAAAATAAAGAGAAAGAAAAAGAAAAAAGAGGATACCACTGATTTCTTAGTCCCCTCTCCCTTACCATTTTAAAACTTACACCCTTTGTGAATTGTAATAAATGAGTGTTCTAACTGTGATGTTTAGATGAAACATTTTATTTGAAAATTATTTGGGGGTCTTAGAAGGCAGGTTTGTAGGGAGCGTCTCTGTAATTTTGAGGAGGGGAAGACAGCCTGTTGGCTTTTTACCTGGTAGCCTTGTTGGCTAGAGAAATGGGATTCTTCCAGAGCCCACTTACCACACCCCTGCCTGCCGGTTCTCAGACTCTTTAGGGTTCCTGCCAATAACATCATGGTAAAATCCAGGCAGGCAAGCAAGCATTTTCTAGATACTTCGTAATGTCTTCTCCACATTTGTCTAAAAGCCACTTAAAGTTTTAGAGCTGCGTATGTATTGATTATGTTACTATACTCCCAATACAGCAATACTACTTGTTTATAGTCACTGTTAAGAAGTGAAAACCTTCCATTTCATTAAGACTTTTGTTGTTGTTCTTGTTAATATGATTTGGCTTTTCATTGCCTAATTGATACCACAGCACGGGTTCCAAGTTTTCCAGGACACTCTTGATTGGAAATATTCTACCTCTACAATTCCATAAATGCTTTTGGGTTTTCAGGTCATGGTATCATGGTTTTGCTTTAAAAATTGTGGTACCTGTACTTTCTGATAGCTTAAAAAAAGTTTACAAATCCGTGGTTAGAACCTTAAAGAGTGTTCTCAGTGGTCCATGTGCTACAACTGAGAGGCAATGAGGCTTTCTTACGACAAGGATTGCCATTTGTTGTTGCTGAGCTCTGAGCACACTGGCGTGTACTTGTGTGAGTACGTGTGTGTGTGTGTATGTGCGTGTTTGTGTGTGTATGTTTGTAGCAGTGCTCTAGAGAGTGCTTTTTTTGAGACAGAGTCTCACTCTGTCGCCCAGGTCGGAGTGCAGTGGCATGATCTTGGCTCACTGCGACCTCTGCCTCCCAGGTTCAAGTGATTCTCATGCCTCAGCCCCCTCAGTAGCTGGGATTACAGGCCTGCACCATCACACGTGGCTAATTTTTGTACTTTTAGTAGAAAAGGGATTTCGCCATGTTGGCCAGGCTGATTGCAAACTCCTGGCCTCGAGTGATCCACCTGCCTCGGCCTCCAAAGTATTCTTTAGGAGGTGTCCCAGACATTTCCTTTCTCATACTAAAAATTGCTTTTTAAAAAGCAAAGCATCTAGTTTCAATGGAAAAATTACAGTGTCATATTTACCTTTAAAGAAAAATTTTGTAAAGGATAAATTATATTATAAAGGGAAATACAGTTTTAACAATGAATTAATTCACTAGCAGTGGAGCACTAGAGTGATATGGCTTATGCCCTAAAATGATAGATCAGGACAGGCATTAGTGGGGCTTTTCTGCCTGTGAAGGTCTGGAGGTATATTCTCAACTCTGGTGGCTCTTAGGAGCCTTTGTCAGAGTCTCAGGACTTCATTCCTTCATTTACTCACTAAGCAGGTTTTGAGCACTTGCTGAGTATTGAGGGCTCTACTCAGGCCTATGAAAGAAGTTTAAGGTCTCATCTCTGCCGTCCTGAAAGCCCGTATCTATGGAGGAGATGAGACGGTGTATTTGAAGGCATTCTCTGATGACTTGGGCGGGGGTTAGTAAAGGCTATACATATTCTTGGAAGGGGAAGACCTTTCTGGCTTTGTGGTCAGGGAGGGTTACAGGAACATCTGAAATCACCCTTGATGAAAGAGCCATGTTTAACCTGTAGGAAGAAGGAAGAACTAGGCTCATTTTGGCTTAAGTTGAAAGTGTTTAGGTTCAAGTTGGTAATAATGGTTGGGCAAGACTGGAAAGGAAGATAGAGCTGTGTGGCTGGGGGCTGGAAGTGGGATAGAAATTTGGTTCTATTATTATTATTATTATTATTATTATTATTATTATTTGAGACAGAGTCTCGCTCTGTTGCCCAGGCTGGAGTGCAGTGGCACAATCTTGGCTCACTGCAAGCTCTGCCTCCCGGGTTCATGCCATTCTCCTGCCTCAGTCTCCCGAGTAGCTGGGACTACAAGTGCCTGCCACCACCCCCGGCTCATTTTTTGTATTTTTAGTAGAGACGGGGTTTCACCGTGTTAGCCAGGATGGTCTCGATCTCCTGACCTCATGATCTGCCCGCCTGGGCCTCCCAAAGTGCTGGGATTACAGGTGTGAGCCACCGCGCCCAGCCAGGAATTTGGTTCTATTATTAATCAAGTTTACTGTGGGGAATTTTTCTTGATGTCAAATAGGTCTCCACAAAAATTTGCAGTAGCTTGGAGCCATGTCTCTCAATGTTAGCCATGAGGAATATCCACTTGTATGCTTCGGTACCACTTTTTGAAACGGGTTAGGACAGGATTTCCAGAACTTTTACTTTGCAAATGTCTTTGTTAATCCTCCCTTACTTGATAACCTGTTCTCTAAGCAGCGTCTGCCCTCTGAATGTCGACGGACTGGCGTCAGCAATGACAGAGACCAAGCTGGGGGCATCCCCTTTGCCCCTGTTTCCTCTGCTCCCAGCATCTGCTCAAGTCAATACCAACATGTTGGGATCTCTGCTGTGGCAACTGCAGGACACTGAATGGTGGACTCTCCATCTGGGAGTCTCAGTTGCTAGGTCTCGTCCCTTGCAGCCACCTGCTCTCATTGCGATGACTTGGGCTCTCTGCATGGTTGTGGGGCTCACTGGGATCTGGTGAAACTGATGGCAGCAGCCCTGCCCACCCTAAGGGCAGCTGCTCTTCATCCTGAGGATGTCTCTATCTGAGGGCATTTGGGTGCAAAGCCACAACCCTGGGCAGCCCGCCCTAGGCAAACAGTGCTATTTAAGTACCTACAGAATATCTTTGATTTTGCCTCTGGGTCTGCAGGGCCTAAAATATTTACTATCTTGCCCTTTACGGAAAACATTTGCCAACCTCTGCTTTACATCTGCACTGTTCATTATGGTAGCCACTAGCCACGTGTGGCTTTTGAGCACTTGAAATGTGACTAGTCCAAAATGAGATGTGCTTTGTGTATACTTACACATGCTGGAATTCGAAGGCTTGGTACCAAAAACCCATAAAAGAGCTCAATAAATTTTTTATTTGATTACATGTTGAATGAATATTTTGGATATACTGGGTGAAATAAAATGTATTATTAAAGTTAATTTTACTTATTTCTCTTTACTTCTTTTTCATGTGGCCACTAGCAAATTCAAAATTACGTGCATGGCTTACATTTGTGGTGCGTATTATATTTCTGTTGTCCAGTGCTGATCTATAATATAGCATCCAAGTTTATTGTCTACAGACTTCTGTTTTCATGGAGCCTCTTGAATAAACTGAGCTCGTTTTTCCTTCTTCTTCATCTTTTTTGTTTTTAAACAGAGTCTTGTGCTGTTGGGCAGGCTGGAGTGTAGTGGCGTGACCTTGGCTCACTGCAACCTCTGCCTCCCAGATTCAAGTGATTCTCCTGCCTCAGTCTCCCGAGTAGCTGGGATTACAGGCACCACACCAGGCTAATTTTTGTATTTTTAGTAGAGATGGGGTTTTGCCATGTTGGCTCAGCTGGTCACGAGCTCCTGGCCTCAAGTGATCCACCCGCCTCGGCCTCCCAGGTGCTGGGATTATAGGCATGAGCCACTGCACCTGGCCTCGTGTTTCTTGTGGTACAAGTTTAGCAAACATGACTGATCCCCAACATGTTTTAGGTTAGGGTTTGTGTTTTGTTGACACCTAAGCTATAATTTAATTGATGTAAACTCTTACTTTTAAATAAAGATTATACTTTCCTTTGTGTTTTCTAGATCCAGATGTTTATTATGCTCTGTTTTATTTTAAATCAGGTATTCCTTTGTTATTCTTCTATCATATGTGTTCTTAAAAATCTATGAGGTATACATTTTCTGTGATGTAAAAATTATGATCTTATCATGTCTAATCTTTGATCCAGCAACTCTACTTCTAGGATTATGACCTAAGGAAACACTTGTATTAATGTGCCAAGGTGTGTGTATAATAAGTAGGCTCATTAGAATGTTGTCATTAATAATGAAAAATTGAATACAACCTCAATGCCCGACTATAAAGATTGAGTACTTAAACTATGGATTATCCACATAATTGTATTTTCAATGTAAATGATGGTAATGAGTTATTAGAGAGTCTCTATAGAGGATCAATATTTTAAAGATAAATGTATGAATTTGTACTTTTAAGAGTTCTGAAAGAGGCCTGTGTAGTGGCTTATGCCTGTAATTCCAGCACTTTGGGAGGCGAAGGCGAGTGGATCACTTGAGTTCTGGAGTTCGAGACCAGCCTGGGCAACATAGTGAGACCCCATCTCTACAAAAAATATGAAAATATTAGCCAGATGTGGTGGCAAGTGCTTGTAGTCCCAGCTACTTGGGAGGCTGAGGTGAGAGGATAACTTGAGCCTGGGATGCGGAGATTGCAGTGAGCAGAGATTGTGCCACTGCACTCCAGCCTGGGCAACAGAGTGAGACCCTGTCTCAAAAACAATAACAACAACAAAAACAACAACAACAGAAGTTCTGAATGAAACAGATTCTGACCGTTCATACTGATTCTCTTTGATGGGGAAGATTGGGGTTAATTTTCTTCATGCTTATTTATATGGTCTATTTTTCTGTAGTAGACTTGTGTATCTTATATAATCAAAATAATTATTTAGCCATTTAGTAATTGATATACGATGTAGCTACATAACAAGTTCAAAATTCTAAGTGAAAATATTTTTGTGGCATGAGAATTTATAAAAGTCTATTTTATTGTCACATAATGAAGGATGTTAGATAAAGAGCATTAGCCCCAGAGATTAGTCACGTGTTGCAAACAAATTGTTTTGGTAGTAAAGTAAGGAGTAAAGAAATGTGTACTCTCTAAAAAATAAAGTTCTTATTTAAGCACCTTCTGAGGTCTACCCTGGATTCTCTGTTTTGCTACAATTGTGATCGCCAGTGACTTTCCCACTAAAATAATTTCCTGAATATTTAAGTGTTTCATGGCTAGTTATTTTTAAGTGACCCAGCACAGGAAGGATGTGGAGGGGGTGGAGTATTATGGGAACTCCTGCCAGTTTGTGGAAAAATTGAAAGTGAACTAAGGCCACCAAAAGGAGTCTGAAGAGAGTGTTAGGTATGAAGCAAAGATTTTTGTTGTGGAAGATAAATATAGAGTGTGTGCTTGACTCCAATAGGTCTTTAGGTGTGTGTGTGTGTGTGTGTATGTGTGTGTAAGCGTTTTATTTGTTTCCATGGTGAAATTCAATACAAAGAGTCAGTTTAACAGTTGAAACTTCAAAAGGTAAGAAACTGGTTTTTATTATAGTAGTTAACAGGTGAGCCCTAGCTAGCAAGCAGAGCTCTACTATTGGGATTTACCTTTCACATTCACAATATTAAATAAAACTTTATAGATGCCATCACATAGTCTATATCTGAAATTATATGTTTTGGGAAATTTAGGTATAGCTTCAGCTAAGTTAATGGGAAATGTCACTGGCAATATGCACATCATTTAAAAAATTGGTCATAAATCTTTTAGATCATTAAGACATTCATGGAGTTAAATGCTACCTTCTCAGTCCCAACCAAGCACTCTGGAAGTCTCCTTTGCACACCCACTGCCCCATACACAGCTCTTATAGCACTGGGATATTGTTGGTTATTATCTGTGTATCTGTCTGTCTTTTATTCAACTCTGAACTCCTTAGAACTGTATCTTATTTGCTTTTGCATTTCTAACTACCAGTACAGGTATGTAGTTAGTTTCACATAGTCAATGTTTACTGAAAGAAGGAAAGTAGGAGAGGGGCATTCTGTATGGTAAAATTTTTAGTCTCCATATTCAAAAGGCAGTAGTCTGAATAGTCTGAATTGCTCCATAGTGGATGCCTTGGGGACATAAGGAAACGCAACAGTCTCTAACTTGGAGTTTAAGCTACGTGTTGCAAGGAGAAATCTACCATTTGTATCTGTTAAGGTTCATCTTTTCATCTTGCTCATCACTGCTTGATTTCAAACCTTTATATTACCTCAGTTGAACCGCTAGGTGACCTCCACACCTCCTTTCCAATTCATTCTCCACATTGCCATGGCACCTGTTTCTCTAAATTGGTCAGATCATGTTATTTTCCTGCTTAATATTTGCTGTTGGCTCATTGTAACTGCTAGATAATCCACCCTCTTTCCAGAACCTTGAAGCCCTCGGAGGTCTGGCCCCTTTACTCACACTGCCCCCATATCTGGGCCCCAGTCACACCATACAAAGCTAGTCATCACTGCTTAACAGGCTGTGTGCATTGCTGTTTTCTTTGCTTGAAATGCTCTCCAGCTTTCTCCTTCTGCCAGATGAGCTCCTTTTCTACAGAAGACCAACTCTCTGACCCTCTGGGAAGTTTGCCACACCTTGCCAGTGGTCTCTGCATAGTACTTACTAACTCTTTGATTTACAGTGACCTTATGGGTCTGTCCTTTGCTTCTGGACTTTTTCTTTAAATTCCCATTGTTCAGCTACAGTGCTCAAGAGGTAGGAGCTCCCATTTGTTGAGCACTGACTGTGTGCCAGGCATTGTGAGAGACTTGGTTCTCACTGGATTAAAAAGTCCTTGCGGGCAGGAACCACAGTTTACCCTAGGCTAAGCATTCGGTCGAGTGAGAGCTCTTTAAATAAAACACATTGGTTGAATGTAGACCTCCCCATCATCGTTTTAAAATAGACAAGTAGTTCAGTCGTTTGAATTCAACACTAATTTTATTTCAGCTTCATGAAAAGACAATTTTTGGAAATAAGTGCTGGGTGATTTGTAGTGACGTCACTTATTTACTCTGCTAGTTTGTTTTTGAGCACATGATGCATGCTTGTGGGAGAGCAGACAAGGGAGGGAGCACAGGGAGCTGGCTTCCACTTAATACTCAGAAGGTTGCTCTGGAACACTGGGGAAAGAGGGGATAAAGTCAGAATAGTGATGAGCATACAATGTAGATTCTTCGTTAAAGAAAACCACTGTGAAATAGCTCATCACAGTTTCATATAACTTGAAATACTTCATGACATACATTCTATTCTCCAGCTGCCACCTCCATCTCTCCTGTTCCTTTTTGCCTCTGTTTTTGATCACGGTGTGAAATTCTCTTCTCCCATCACTTTCTAATCCAAGCATTATTTTCTTAGAAAGCTACTTAGAGATCACCTCCACAACACTTCCTGTTATATCTGTCATCTTTCTCTGTGTTTCATTTGTACCACATTATCATCTCTACTCATGTGTAGTTTTGAAATAAATGTGCGTGTGTGTGTGTGTGTGTGTGTGTGTGTGTGTGTGTGTGTGTGTAGTCTTCTTCTTCTTTAAGACAGAGTCTTGCTGTCACACCCAGGCTGGAGTGCAGTGGCATGATCTTGGCTCATTGCAACCTCCACCTCCTGGGCTCAATCAATCTTCCAACCTCAGTCTCCCAAGCAGTTGGGACTGCAGGCTCATGCCACCACAGCCGGCTGATTTTTGTATTTTTTGTAGAGACGAGGTTTCACCATGTTGCCTAGGCTGGTCTCAAACTCCTGGGCTGAAGTGATCCCCATGCCTCGGCCTCCCAAAGTGCTGGGATTACAGTGATGAGCCACCACACCCGGCCTATCATCTCTTTAATTAGTCTGCAAAGTCCTTTTAGCCAAGGACCATGTCTTATTTTTCTTATAAGTTACCTAGAGTTCTTAGTACCATTCTATGAAGGTTGTTAATAAATGTTAGAGTCTTGCTGAATTAAGTCATTGTTATGTGTTTAAAGTCTTAATTGATGTATATAGTCCAGGCCCTGGTGGATACTTTCTGCACTTCTCTGTCAATTGCTACTTAATAGCAATTGAGAGAGCCACTGTCTGCTTTCAGATGCTGACTTTGCCAGGTATTAGCAGTCTAACCTTTCTGTGCTTCTGCTTTCATCTCTTAATGAGGCAGAAGTAACATCTCCTCATAGAGTTGAGTCAGGGATAATGTAAGAAGGCATTTGTAAATATGGCTTAACAAACATTCCTTAAAAATGTTGTAATGTTGCTTAATAACGTCTGGCACATAACGAATGCTTGATAAATAATAGCCATTATGTATAGTTTGTACATACAAACAAAAATAAAGCATAACAAAATAGGCATAGTTTGGACATACATAATTTGCCCTAATGATTGTAAATTTTACTTTTTAAATTGCAGACATTAAAAAATTAAGGTGACATCCATTGAGCATCAGAAAGTTGAGCATCATAATTGATTTTTTTTTTTTTTAGACAGAGTCTCGCTCTGTCGCCCAGGTTGGTGTGCAGTGGTGCAATCTTGGCTCACTGCAACCTCCACCTCCGGGATTCAAATGATTCTCATGCCTCAGCCTCCTGAGTAGCTGGAATTACAGGCATCACGCCTGGCTAATTTTTATATTTTTAGTAGAGATGGGGTTTCTCCATGTTGGCCAGGCTGGTCTCGAACTCCTGGCCTCAAGTGATCCCCCCGCGTCTGTCTCCCAAAGTGCTGGGATTACAGGCATGAGCCACTGTGCCTGGCCATATAATTGGTATTTTTTTTTAAAAGAAAGAACTCCTTTACTTTGTGTTGATATTCAAAATCAGATTAAGTTACTCTAAATCAGATGAAGTCAGTTGTATAAAGCCTTACCTAAGGGTACCAGATGTTAAAAGAATTGATCCAAACATACTTATGGAAATGTTACTGATGATTTTGCTCATTTCTGTTTGGCTATTGTTTTTTGTTTAGACATTCTACTGTAATGGGGGATGCTTAAAGACTCCTTTGTGTGGAATTCTGTATTGGAGCAACCTTTATCATCAGAACAACTAATAATGTTGTTGCAGACTTTGGCGCTACTACTGTAGAGTGAAAAAATGTTTTCATAAAGTGCCACATCGTGTTAGTAAATGAGATCTGGAAGATGGAGATGGACTGTGAACAGAGAGGGAGCTAGCCTGCTCTCCTCACGTGCTGAAATAAAAGGTTCCATTTTGAAGCCTGGGCTTCACTATATTCTTGGATTTTGAAACATATACTATGATGGTCATTGTAACACAGTGTAGTTATACTGTAGTTAATCATGCTACCAGTCAACTTGTTAAACTTAGTATAATTATTTGGTGGTAAAATACAATTACAATAAGAGTTATAATGAGGTGAGAGGGATGGTGAGCCCTTGGAGAGCTATTTCCTCACTTCAGACCACTATTGTTTGTCTGGATTGCTTATTGGACTCGAGAATTCCTCTGCTCATGTACTCTGTGTTCCCCTTCTCCCCACCACCTACCTTAGAGGCTGCCAAGGTGGAGAGGGCAGATGGCTTTGTGTATAAAGGCTGCATACATGTTTTTGCTGGGGACAAGCGGGAGCTGTGTCCCCTGGAGAAAGTAGGGTCATTTTCTTAGAACACAGGTGCCTTCTATTTGCTTAGCCCAGTGCTCTGTCGCCTAAAGGAAAGACCTCTTACTAATTTGACTGCCAGATGTTTTTTTTTTTTTTATTTTCTTTTTCTGCTCACTGGAGCATCATTGATTAAACTGCACAAAGGCACCAATGTGTTGTTTAGTGGTGGCTTGATTTCCACGTTCTGTAGGAGGTAGGTGAGCTTCCCTCGTGCCCAATTTCATGTCCAACCCAGAGCCAATACTTGGAATCCTGAGAATTTTCCAAATACTCTTGTCATCCTCTTGCCAGTGAAAGGAGTCGGGAGGGGGCTCCAGGAAGAAGTCGTCTAGACCCCCATTGCTAAGCCAAAAAATTTCTGCTGTTAGGGCTTCCTATCTGCCGGGGGCATTTTCCCTTCTCTAGCTGGCTTCTGTTAGGAGCTCTTTGTGGCAGGAGCCCTGTTATGTTGAGCAGGGCTGTCGGTCCACACCTTTGCTGCCTCACCCCAGTGCCCCACTGGGCTCCTGTTTGGTGTTGTCCTTTTGTACTTCCAGGCTAGGTTTTTCCTTCCCATGGGTTGAATTGCTGGCTGGCTGGCGTCTTTCACATTCTTGTGGTTTCTAAACTCCAGTGGGAATTCCTTGGTGTAAATCTGGGAATGAGCACAGGTAAGGACAGTGACTTCAAATGTCCATTGTACACTAGAAGTGCTGACTGTTCTAGTACATGAAGGTTCACAAAAGGTGAGCTGCATAGCTCAGGTTAGTGATAGTGCTTTTGTGGGTCATAGGAGTTTGTCAGTTTGTAGGTCATAGGAGTTTGTCAATTAGACTAGAGCAGGAAAGTTATTTACCTTGAGAAATGGCATAATCTCATTTTTCATATCACTGTAGATGTCTGGGACCCATTATTTTTGTCAGCACTTCTTAATTTTATAAGTTCACTGACAGAATATCTGAACTTCAGGTACCTTAGAGCCAGGCCTCTCAAACCTTACAAAGATCTGCAAATCCCCTGGAGGCCTTGTAAAATGCAAACTTGGGGCCAGGTGTGGTGACTCATGTCTGTAATCCCAGCACTTTGTAATGCCAGCAATTTGGGAGGCCAAGGCAGGCAGATTGCTTAAGCCCAGGAGGTTGAGACCAGCCTGGGCAACATGGTGAAACTGCATCTCTACAGAAAAGTGTGTGTGTGTGTTGGGGGGCCTGAGGTGGGAGGATCATTTGAGCCCAGGCGGTGGATGTTGCAGTGAGCTGAGATGGTGCCACTGCACTCCAACCTAAGTGACAGATGAGACCTTGTCTTTCAATAAATAAATAAATAGCAGAATCTCAGGCAGGACCTGAGAGTCTGCATTGCTAACAAGGTCCAGGAAGACCTTATCAGCCTTTTCTCACTCAACAGGACTTTGACCTTTTTCACCTTTTTCCAGTTTTACCCCAAAGTCCCACCTTACATATCCATTTTTATTTTGTTTTATTTTATTACTAGAGCCATCTCTAGTGTGCCTGTTTGCTTTAATATCAATGAGATGTATATTGATGTACATTTTTAAAAAACCTTCTGAACTATTGAATGCATTTCCAAGATAATATATACAAAAAAGTAGTTGCTCTTATTTTTAAAATATTTTTCTCTTTAAGTTATGTAGCCATGTTCAAATTGTACAGAAATGCTTTTTTGAGCACCTGTAGCTTACGTAAACCCTTTGCCAGGGACAGTGGCTTTTAACCTGACTAACAACACATGTGAATTCTGGAGGCAAAAGGCCCTTAGGTAAGAAAGTGCTGCCATGGCAGGTGAATTTAAAATGTAGGGAGACTGCATGGACAAGGGAATAATGACTCTTTGGATGAGATGTCCTGGGAAGAAATTCCCATTAGGAAGGTCATAATGCATACGGGCTTCATATCGATGCCTGCTGTGTCTGTTCCCACCCTCTCCTGGCACCATGATGTCTCCACCTCCTCCCCTATCCTGGACCAGAGAAGGCCCAGTGCCCCAGCTGAATTTCCTTTTAACATGCAGAATATCACTCTTCTTTCTGTTACATGCACACACAGATACACACACACACACAGAGACAAGAGAGAGGAGAGAGACTCTAAGAGACCAAGACTCTCAGTAAAGCCAGTACTGTCCTTGGTAGGTCCCTGCCTCTTAAGGTCTGAATGCTTCCCTTAGTGTTGAGACTGCAGGAGAAAATTGTCTCCCCAATCCCACTCAGGGGCATCAGTGGCCTTCACATCCCCATGCCTGTAGGGAATTGACTTTTTTGAGGGTTTCTGCAAGTTTACTCAATGTAGTGTAGTATTTGCTCCACCTTTATTTCTGGTTAATAAAGTGAAAAATGAGTGTTCTAATTTGCAGAAGAGAATAGGAGGGAGATACAATCAGGTTCTTACTTGTGAAAGAGGGAAGAAACTCTCTGACAAACAGAAAACAGTTGGTTCCAGGATAAGCCTCAGGGTAAGTTATAAAAGTTCTCATTCCAATTTGAGCTTGTTTATTGTTTTAATGGAGTAAATATAGATTAAGCTTCATGAGGAAAGATACATGTCACTATTTTCAGTCTTTTTTGAAAGTTCATTCTGAATTTATCCCTGCCTCATTTCAAATGGATTTGATACAGCCCACAAAGATACACCTACAAAGATTAAAAAATAAAACAAAATACACAAGGAGATGAGGTGGAAAGAAAAGAAGCAGGGAGTATGGTCAGCACATGAAACATTTTCTAGAAGATGCTATTTACTTGTTAGAAGTGAGGTACAAATTTGGCCAAGAGCTTCCAGGCTCCTTGAGTCAGTGATTGATAGATTCATAATGTTGAAAAGATTAAGGTAAAACCATTTTTTCCTGGGCTGAGACTCGAAAGAAACACCTCATAAAAGGAATCCTGTGTGTGTTTTGAACTGTGTTCTCAGCAACATTACTGAAATAAATAGCATAGTGTTTTGTGGGGCCATTTTTCAATCTGTCCTTTGCTAGAGGTTGATGGCATAATGTCTATGCATAATTTAGTGAAGGCTTTTCTATAGGGGCCCAAATGACAGAGTCTAAGCCTGCACCTCCCTGGCTGCCTCCAGGGATGAAATGACAGTGTCTGGAAATGGATGGACACCATATCCATGATACATTCTTCCGTGAATATTATTTTGCTCAACCAAACCATATTTTTAGAATATGTTAAGTTAAATGGAAATATTTTAAATTAATCAGTGGAACATTTGTGCCTAAAGCTTTTGATAGTAGAAAGTCAACAACTTTAATTTCAGGGCAAGTATATACAAAATAGAGTAAATCCAGTGGTTTCTACTCATCACTCCGTTTCCTAATTTATGTAGTGAGAGCATTTAAATGTTTCATCAAGGTCCTTTTTGTCTCAAAGCCCTCTGTAGTAGCCAGGATCTTGGCAAGAAAGAGCTGACATTCTCAAACTGGGCAATTGAGGCACATTCAATAAAGAGATGATTTACCAAGGGAGGGCAGGGCTTTGGGAACCAATAAGGCCTAGTGCAGTGCCCAGGGCTGGCTAGAGCAGGGAACCATTCTCACCTGTAGGCCTGAAGGCAAGAGGGAAGGGAGTGGTTATAGAAATTAGAGATTAGCTTTAGGGAATTATTTGACAAAAGCCATAGAGGGTTGCAACCAATCGTGGTAGGGAGTTGAGCTGGAGAGATGGCTACCTCAGTTTCACCCCTTTCCCCTCTCATCTCTTGATGGTGGCCGCTGTGGGTCAAACCCAGCAGGAAGCCAGAGGGTTTCCATGTACCTTGGCCTCCAGGGGCACAGATGGGGTGAAGAAGGTTGGAGAGGGTGGAGGGGCAAGTGGAAGACCCCTAGCACTTTCCATAACTTCATATTTCTAAACAAATGCTTTGAGTCTTTCCTCAAGGTAAGGAAATTCTGCCTTCCTGTCAGCTTCAGGAGGGCCCTTATCTCTGTGGTTACCAATGTGGCTCCAGGGCCCCCTGCGAAGTACACTTTAAGAAGGGGTAGTCTGGGAGGCCAGGGCGGGCGGATCACGAGGTCAGGAGATCGAGACCATCCTGGCTAACACGGTGAAACCCCGTCTCTAATAAAAATACAAAAAAATTAGCCAGGCGTGGTGGTAGGCGCCTGTAGTCCCAGCTACTCAGGAGGCTGAGGCAGGAGAATGGCGTGAACCTGGGGGGCCGAGCTTGCAGTGAGCCGAGATTGCACCACTGCACTCCAGCCTGGGCGACAGAGCGACACTCTGTCTCAAAAAAAAAAAAAAAAAAGAGGTAGTAGGTCAAAGCAACGATCGAACTCTACAATGCTGAAGAAATCAAACAGAAATGACGAGCTGATGGCTTTGTCAGATTTCTTCAAGTCTTTGTTGTCCTAGTCCTAATCTGTAAGAAGATAGTTTTCAGGCTGGAGGGTAAAAATAAAACCTTCATAAAATTTCATTTGCTGCTTTCTAGTGTTGGAGAAAGATCCCCATTTTCTGATCCATACATCTCACAGATACGTGATAATATGGTATTGTGGACTCTCCTGTGTGACTGCCTCTCCTGTGAAGAACCCCCTCTGAGCTTGTATTCACTGATGTGAGAGCTTGAAACAACATTGCCTATGCCACAAAAGCATTATGATTTGAAATCAAGCATGGGTATGTACTCTCGAGGGAATTACAGTGGATTTTCCCCAGGCTTTTCAAACCATTAGTGCAATTTTCAAAAAGTTTGGTTGGGGTATAGATTATAGACAAGAAAATTTATCCATTTTAAGTGCTCATCTCCCTGAATTTGGGCACACATATACAGTTGTGTAATTACCACCACGATTAACATATGGAATATTTTTTTCACCTCCAAAAGTTTACTTAGGGCCGGGCATGGTGGCTCACACCTGTAATCCCAGCACTTTGGGAGGCTGAGGTGGATGGATCACGAGGTCAGGAGATCGAGACCATCCTGCCTAACACGGTGAAACCCCGTCTCTACTGAAAATACAAAAAATCACCCAGGCGCAGTGGCGGGTGCCTGTAGTCCCAGCTACTTAGGAGGCTGAGGCAGGAGAATGGCGTAAACCTGGGAGGCGGAGTTTGCAGTGAGCCGAGATCGCGCCACTGCCCTCCAGCCTGGGCGATAGAGCCAGACTCCGTCTCAAAAAAAAAAAAAAAAAAGTTTACTTAGGCCCCTTTGTGGTCATTCCTTCCCTAACTCCAGCTCTAAGCAACCTCTGATCTGACTTTTGTCACTTTAGTTAGAATTTCATATAAATGGAATTTCATATATATATATATATATATACACACACACACACACACAGGCAGGCACACATATATGAGATACATGATATTCATATTTTAGAACCAGCTTTTATACGTGGTAACAATATTTATTCAAATATATACACATGGTAAAAATGACCTGGGTAGTATAAGAGGGTTTAAAATAAAAAGATGAGTCTGCCATACCCCACTCTTTCTCATTTCTAATCCCACTTCTCAGAGCCAACAGCATGTAGCTGTCTCTGCTTTAGTTCCTCTGGAGGTTTTAATTAATATACAAATCATTGTTTCTTTCCTTTCCTTCCCCCCCCCTTTTTTTTTTTTTTTTTGAGATGGAGTCTCCGTCTGTCGCCCAGGCTGGAGTGCAGTGGGGTGATCTCATGTCACTGCAACCTGCGCCTCCCGGGTTCAAGCGATTCTCCCACCTCAGCTTCCTGAGTAGCTGTGATGACAGGCATGTACCATCAAGCCTGGCTAATTTTTGTATTTTTACTAGAGATGGTGTTTCATCGTGTTGGCCAGGCTGGTCTCGAACTCCTGACCTCAGGTGATCTGCCCGCCCTGGCCTTGCAAAGTGCTGGGATTACAGGTGTGAGACACTGCACCCAGCCCCAAACCATTGTTTCTTGACAGTAACTAGTGATGATTTTGCTCATTGCATTACCCCCTCCACTCTTCCACCTTATCTCTTCCTCCTCCTCCTCCTCCCTATAGTTATTAGTTAAATCACTATTTTTTATTGCCTCTTTTGCTTACCTTTGAACCTTAAATGTTTATTCTTGATTTTACAACTTAAACTTGCACTTTGAGGAGGAAAGTAATTACAATTTTTGCACTTTGTAGAATATTCTTTATGTAAAATAACCACATAAACTGTAAAATTCAGGAGTGGAGATCAGGCATGACCAGTTAAGTTATTTTGCTATTCTCTCTCTCTCTCTGTGTGTGTGATAATTTATACGACTCACTTTTGTTTCCGTTCTGTATACATATTACAAAATAGCTCAAATAGACCTCTGATATTAATTTTTGTAAACATAACAAAGAAAATTCAGAAGAAACTGCAGGATACTTGGAAAATGTGTAAAGTTTCTTCTTCTTCTTCTTCTTCTTCTTCTTCTTCCTCCTCCTCCTCCTCCCCCTCCTCCTCCTCCCCCTCCTCCTCCTCCCCCTCCTCCTCCTCCCCCTCCTCCTCCTCCCCCTCCTCTTTCTTTTTTTTTTTTTGACACTGTCAAAAAAGTCTCACTTTGTCCTGTCGCCCAGGCTGAAGTGCAGTGGCGCAATCTTGGCTCACTGCAATCTCCACCTCCTGGGTTCAAGTGATTCTCATGCCTCAGGCTCCCAAGTAGCTGGGACCACAGGCACGTGCCACCACACCTGGCTAATTTTTGTCTTTTTAGTGGAGATGGGGTTTCACCATGTTGGCCAGGCTGGTCTCAAACTCCTGGCCTCAAGTGATCCACCTGCCTCAGCCTCTCAAAGTTGTTTTACTTCTTTGGTGTATGTATTTATAGGCTTAGTAAAGCAAAGTCAGGAAATTTCCTTTTTCCAGCAAAAACATGAAATTTAAAAGCTTGAGGCACATGATAAAAATTAGCTGGCAATAAAGATTTTATAACTAAAGTCTCCTTATTTGGCAATTAACTGAGTCAACATTTTCAGCCAATATTACAAAAACAAAACTTTCAGAGGACTATTTATGAACTTGAGGCTACTTTCTTCACATTTTTATAAACAATCATCTTTTAGATGACTGTGGTTTTCCCTCTAGGTAAGGAGTTGCAGGTGCAAACAGGATGTCTTAGCAATTTACCTTCTTGAAATCTTGGAAGTTGTAGGATTTGACTTCATCATCTAGCATCTGGCTTCCAGTTTGCAGGTCCACCTTCTCCATGGATGCTGCAAATTAGAATGTCTTCACTAAGCAGAGGGTCTCTTTGGTGCTCAAAGATACTACTAACTGATTTGCCAATGCTTGAGGACCTCACTTAAGGTGAGTACAAGGAGACTTCTTAATACAGAAACAGACCCCTCTTACAGCAACCACAGTTAAAAGAAATTTGTTTAATTCAATCTAACAACAACAAAGTGTGATCTTAATGAAGCCCAAACAACTATTTGTCTTTCTTGGTGTATTTATCCAGGCAAGTTGGCTAAAATGGGAATTCACTGAAACAGCAATAGCTTCACAGTTCACATCAGGAAACTTACTGTTTTGTCACAAAATGAAATAGTTTCAGTAGTTCATATAAAAGTGAGATGTAAAACATGGAAGAAAATCAGTGAATATTTATTTTTAAAGTTGTTGCCGGGCGTGGTGGCTCAAGCCTGTAATCCCAGCACTTTGGGAGGCCGAGGCAGACGGATCACAAGGTCAGGAGATCGAGACCATCCTGGCTAACACGGTGAAACCCCGTCTCTACTAAACATACAAAAAATTAGCCGGGCGTGGTGGCGGGCGCCTGTAGTCCCAGCTGCTCGGAAGGCTGAGGCAAGAGAATGGTGTGAACCTGGGACGTGGAGCTTGCAGTGAGCCGAGATCGCGCCACTGCACTCCAGCCTGGGAGACAGAGCAAGACTCCGTCTCAAAAAAAAAAAAAAAAAAATTAAAGTTGTTAAGACTTTGAGCTCTCTCCATTGGCAACAGCTGCATCTTTAAAATAGGAAGATGAGTGACATTAGGAACACAGGGTAGGAACTGGTGCCAAAGGAGGGCTTTGAGTGACCAGAACCTGAGGACATTGTGTTTGCTGAACACACTTCCTTCCAGAAGCGGAAATGCCTGGGTGTTCACATGTTGTGTGCATAGGGCTGGAGTAACCTTCTCCCATTGGTTACCATCTTCCCAATTTTATAACTTTTAATAATACTGGTAAATTTCTATTTCCTGTTTCATCTACTTTCAACAGTACCTTTTGATTCTCTACTTTCTGCCCTACCTCTTCCTTTCTTCCTCCCACCTTTACTGTGAGGCTATTATGTTTGATACCGTACATTCTGAGATTTAAATGATCATCTGGGCTTTACATGTAGGTTGATTCTTGAAAGACAAAAGCCGAAAATAGGTTTTGTTGCAGCATATAGGGGTATACTCTGATTGATTTCTTTCTCTGTGATTCCAACACCACAGCTTCTTTATCTTTAAGAAATGAGTTTAAATACATTCTCTTTCCAGTGTGCTCACTGCATCATGCCACATTTTAGCAGGCTTCCTATTTGCACTGTGACTTTCTTTTACATTTTCCCCTTCCTGGAGTTTCTTACTGACTTTCATTTTTCTCATTGGAAGACACATAAGTGCCTTCTGCTGTGCGTTCTACACCCACGCTCCACCCTTTTTCACCCTGCTCTGCCTGTATAAGTTGCATCAGCAGACAGCCAGGCTTGGGGGCTTCTGGCCTGGTTCAGCCAACAAGCAGCCCAGTAGGCGAAGAGCAGGAGTGGGGAGAGTGAGCTTGAGGTTCATTCTGCTGTGAGATTGCCTCCGTTTGGCTGTGTACATCTGCTGAAAATCACTTCCCCTCTCAAGATAACTTTTTTTCTTTTGGTAACGGACTCTTGGCCTTTTCCACTTGGGTAAAATACTCTCTTGGTCCCTGGGGCTTAGAGGAGTGACAGTTCCACTTTTGCTAGCCCCTCGTTATTGTACTATCTCTTTTTCTTTTTCTCACATTTTGGCAAATAGACCCCAAATTATCCTAATCTGAGGGTGCCACTGGCTTCCTGTTGGGATTTTGACTGATGCAATGGGGTTGGAGGAGGAAGCAAGGTATATTCAGAGATCAGAGTTTGTTCACCCATTCCTATTTAAGATGGAAGAACCAAGAGGGCTGACAGGTCTCTCTGTGTACCTGGCTGGGAGGATCTTCACTTTATGGGGATAAGATGGGGAGCCCTGTATCAGGCACTACATCTCACCCCCAGAGCCACCTCTCTCCTTAACCATTTTTTATTTTATTTTATTTTTTGTTTTTAGAGACAGGGTCTTGCTCTGTTGCCCAGGTTGGTTGGAGTGCAGTGCTGCGATCATAGCTCACTGTAGCCTCAACCTCCTGGGCTCAGGCGATCCTTCCACTTCAGCCTCCTGAGTAGCTAGGACTACAGGTGCGTGCCACCATGCCTGGAATATTTATTTTTATTTATTTATTTATTTATGTTGTAGAGATGGGGTTTTGCTGTGTTGCTGAGGCTGGTCTTGAACTTCTGGGCTCGAGCAATCCTCCTGCCTGGGTCTCCCAGAGTGTTGGGATTACAGGTGTAAGCCAACCATACCAGGCCAAAATGATAACAGTCTTCATTCTGGGCGTGGGTGGAAGTGGGTGTGGGTTTTATATCCATGACATCTGCCTCAGTTCTCCTTAGTTCGATTTCTTTAATGAAGAGCTTTCTGCGTTTTTTATTTTGTTTTGTTTTTTGTTTGAGCCTGCTGATAAACTGCTTAAGCTTTGTGCCCTGAGGTGGGAAAAGCAGAGAGGAGTTGGTTTCATAACAAACTAACCCACCTCCCCCACGGCATTTTAGCAGTTTAAAACATCAATCACTTTATTATGTTCACAGATTCTGTGGGTTAGGAATTCAGAAAGGGCATGATGGGGAGGTCTCTTCTGTGTTCCACGATATCTGGGACCTCTGCTGGGGCTGGAGTGGCTGGGGCTGGAGTAGCTCGACTGGGAATGGCCAGGATTGCAACAGCTGAGGCTGGAGGAACCACTTCCAAGGTGGCTTCTTGGTTCACATTCTGGTACCTGGGCTGGGGTGGCTGAAGGAAGGACTTGCATATGGAGCCCTGAGACTGTGTAAGCAGCCCACCTGCCCTGCAGATGCCAGGCTGGAGAGACCACATATCCATGCTTTCCTTTAAGTTCCAACCTCAGTCTGCAACAGGGTTTCGCTCTTGTCACCTAGGCTGGAGTGCAATGGTGCGATCTTGGCTCACTTCAACCTCCACCTCCTGGGTTCAAGCGATTCTTCTGCCTCAGCCTCCTGAGTAGTTAGGATTACAGGTGCCTACCACCATGCCTGGCTAATTTTTATATTTTTTAGTAGAGACGGGGTTTCACCATGTTGGCCAGGCAGGTCTCAAACTCCTGACCTCAGGTGATCCACCCACCTCGGCTTCCCAAAGTAATGGGATTACAGGTGAGAGCCACTATCTCCTGCTTTTGAACTTATTTAAAAACAATAATGTTAGTAAATGAGGCTCTCGTACTAAGTCATTAACAATAATTTATGTTTTTTTTTCCTTAGTAAAAGTTAATGTGTCAAGAGCATATCCGACTTTACCCAATGCTGGTGTTTGTCAAAGCATAAGACTGCTCTGATGGCATGGGACTGGTGTTTGAATACAGCGAGTTTCACAGGGTGCATTGCCTTGGTTTTGTCCTATGCATCTCTACACGTCAGCCACTTTAGCAAAGAAAGGCTCTGTTCAATCTGGATTTCTTCAGCATGATACTCAAAATACAGAACAACGTGCGTAACTGGACATAGCAGCTAGCTGCTGAATCTAGCCTCCGTCACTCTGAAGACATGTTCTTAAAAAATAAGAATCTATTAGGAGGATGATGAATTGTTGCATTGCCAAGTTATGCACCAGTGAATGCAGTCTCAAATGATTAATATATTTCCTCATTTACTGTTTAGATAGATTGGGCATGTCTACCAGACCCTAGGATGCATGCAGTCTTAGTTAAGAAGTTAAGAAGTACTGTTCTAAAAAGATGAAGCTGATATTTGGATCCTACAGAGATTTGTTTTCTGTTGTTCTTTGTGTCTTCACTCCTGGGAAATACAATTACTTCCCAGACAATAGCCTTCCAGCAGCAGTCTTTTTTATTAGATTTACGAATGAAGCTAGACTTGATTAGATGGGTCTTCTCTAAGATAATTTTAATCAAGGATAAGGTACTAGGAGCTAATGAGGCTTTTGAGCGGTGAGTTGCCTTTGTTAGGCTTCTTTGCTGTCTGAGTTTGAGTTCACAACAGGCCTGTGTTCCTGAAGGACCCCACAGACTTCAGGTGCACTATTTGGTATCCTCACACAATGCTTCTCTGCATTCTTGGTGTGCTTTATCCTTTTTACATGTAAGTATGTCTGTTTTCACTGCCATTCTGGGCCTCAGATCTTGTTATTTTTCCCTTGGGAACATGAAGATGCTTCTTGACACTCTTGAGAGTCAAGTGTTGCCCCCATTTTGAGCATGGACCCTATTCCTGGGCTATTGAAAGGATATAATGTGAATGCTTGATGCCCAAAGAGCCTTCCCACAGTCATCTACACATACTGTTCTCCTCTTGTGAAAACCCAGAGCAACCTTTTCGAGACAATTGTACCCTGACTTGTATTTATTTACTTGTTTTCTTGCCTCTGTTCTGCTGTGGGATTGTAACCTCCTTGAGGGCTGCAAGGAGGAATTTCTCATCTTAATAGACAAACAGTGCCCAGCAGAGATTCTGCAATATGGTAGACACTTGGAAATCTATGTTAAATAGAAGGGAATTCTGGGTTTCTCCTCATCGACTGGTTTGAACAAGGTCTTTGTCTTCTATGTCCTATTGAGGGGTAACAGAATTGGTAGCTTCTAGGGGAACTGTTTATAATTTGGTCAGTTTATCTACGAAGAGACATGTATGTGTGATAATTTGGTTATCACTGTAGTTTTTTAGCAAATGGCTTTGCAGCAGTGGTCCAGTTGGTGAAATACTGTATATATTCAGTGGTAAATCTATTTTTGAAAAGGATATCAACCAACTTTTTTTCCTCCTAGTTTTGCTTTGCTGGAGGAAGTAAAGATAGCATATTTAGCATTTAACATCCATTCCCATTTATAGAGGGAGTAGTTATCTAAGCTGTCAACTTTCTTTTCAGGGCTTTTTTCTTGTCTGTAATACATCCAATTATTTAGTTGCATTTTCCCTCCTGCAGTTGTATGCTGGGTATTGGATTTAGTGCTTTGTTTTGATCGAAGTATTTACTAGAGTAAGTAGATGATGATTAAGATGCCATTCATTTGCTATCTGTTTTAAACGAATAATGATGAGGGATGAAAACAAAACTATAACTGAGGGATAGCCAAGGAACATCTGGACAATAATTTGTGGCAACCTGTCCATTTTTAATATTTTCTGTGACTCAGAAAACATGATATTATCATTGTAAACAAGGGAAGGGCCTTTAATTACTACTGGGTAAATGCATCTTTGGAAGAAGTAAAAAAGAAAAAGCCATTTTTGCTGTGCCTTTAGTAATGATCTAGATTTTTAAATGTTTGTATTTATTGAATATCAAGACTGTATAAATAAGATGATCTGTCGTGCCGATCTGGAAATTTTGTAATTAAGCCATAATCTTTCAGGATATTGCAAGGTATTATCTTACTAGGCGGAATGAAATAGAATATTTGATAATAGGGTTATTTTCCCTGACAATAAATTATTGGCATCATATTACATTTATTATGACAGGGTTGGCAGCTAGAATGGCAGAACTCACTTTGTTCATCGAGCTGCTTATGGGGAAAAAATGCCTTTTGGATATCTTCAAACCACATGGAAGCTGTCAGTGAGGGTTCCTTGAACTCTTTTGTTCAGTTGACATGAATTTGGTCAAAGTAATTAATTATTTGCCAGAAGAGGGTAGCTATGAAGTCTCAATATTTTTTAATATCACAAAGAGACTATTTTTTTTGAGAGAGAGAGAAAGTCTCGCTCTGTTGCCTAGGCTAGAGTGCAGTGGGTGATCTCAGCTCACTGCAACCTCCACCTACCAGGTTGAAGTGATTCTTGTGCCTCAGCCTCCCGAGTAGCGGGATTATGGATGCATGCCACCACACCTGGCTTTTTTTTTTTTTTTTTTTTTTGAGACGGAGTCTCACTCTGTCGCCCAGGCTGGAGTGCAATGGCGCGATCTCGGCTCACTGCAAGCTCCGCCTCCCGGGTTCACGCCATTGTCCTGCCTCAGCCTCCTGAGTAGCTGGGACTACAGGTGCCCACCACCACGCCCACCTAATTTTTTTGTATTTTTAGTAGAGACAGGGTTTCACCAGGTTAGCCAGGATGGTCTCGATCTACTGACCTCGTGATCTGCCCGCCTTGGCCTCCCAAAGTGCTGGGATTACAGGCGTGAGCCACTGCGCCCGGCATGCTAATTTTTGTATTTTTAGTAGAGATGGAGTTTTGCCATGTTGGCCAGGCTGGTCTTGAACTCCTGGCCTCAAGTGATCCTCCTGCCTTGGCCTCCTAAAATGCTGAGATTACAGGCATGAGCCATGATGCCTGGCCGAGACAATTTTTTAAATAATGGAAAAATAAGTTGGCTTGGATTTTAAGGTTTATTCATAAAAATATTAATAAAATGTTTACTTGCAGGTATCAAAATAGAAATCTGTGTAACACAGGGCCAGTGCTGAGGCTGAACTACAGACCTAAAGAAATAGAATGTCTGCTTTTTCTGCATTTTAGGAAATAGAAGCCTGTATGTTTTGCCCCAAACCATGGTGAGCTGAGCCTTCTGAAATGTTTACAGTTGTGTTAGATCTTTGGCGAGAGTCCTGGAGATCACAATTAGGAGACTTTAACTAGAGAGGGGATCATTTAACTTTACATCAGTGGTGCTAACAAGGGTGCTAGTCAGTTGCACATGGTCCCACCCTCCAGTTTAAAAATTTCCTCTTGAAAGCAGGGTCCCTGCCCCAGAGCTGTTGTTGATACGTGAACTGGGAGTTGACTTCTGTGCCTTGTGTTTGTGTTAATGTTGGCAGGCACCTCTGATCACAGCCTAAGAGCATGTAAGGTTCTCTGGAAGGATTTGAGGCCTGTAGTCAGAATAAAGTTCCCACTTGCTGCTAAACGGTAAGCACAATGAGCAGTTTCCTGTCATTTAACAGGGGAGACAATTATGCTCAGCTACTGTTTTTGATGTATTTGGATTATAGGTCTCCTCCTTTATCTGAAATGTAATAGGATGTGGCACGTTATTTGTTGCAGCCCTTTTTGTATCTGGGCAGTGGCTGACCTACTGATCACAGAGTGGTATTTACTTATCAATGAGTTCACGGACTTCGTGGGAGAGAAGTGGGCTTGCAAAGAGGCTGTGTTGGGTGTGGCAGGCCATGAGGCTGCATGTCCAATAGCAGCATTCCAACATTCCACCAATTTGGCTTGTGAGAGAATCACCAGACACATAATTACTTGGTCAAACCATTTGAAGCAGATTCATTTCTTGCATCTTAATAATGTACTTTTCCTTAAAGCACGTGGCTGTCTTGGCCAAGCCTGGCTTGTTCCTTGAGGTGGTATACACAGCAATTTAAGGTGGTCATTCCATCAGTTGAAATGGCTCTGGAGAATTTATCATTTTGGCAGATAGAGGCAAGAATCCAAACTTAGGTAACACAACCAAATGCAGTGCAGCAAATATGGAAAAGGTACAGATGCCCTGATTGAAATGATAATCTATGTAGCTGATTGTTCTTTCCTCAATGTGACGTTATCAGTATTGTTCTTTGCTTGGAACAGAGTGCAGTACACGTTGATATTAGCATTTGTTTTCAGCTGCACCTGTCACCATACTGAATTTCCAAACATTTTCATTACCTCAAAAAAGAAACCCCTCAGCCCTTAGCCATCATCTCCTAATTTTCCAAACCTACCCCCAGTCCTAGGCAACCCCTAACGTACTTGTTCTGTATAGATTTGCCTATTCTGGACATTTCATGTAAGTGGAATCATACATTATACCGTCCTTTGTGTCTGGTTTCATTTAACATTAGTGTATTATTCTATTCCCACGCTGCTAATAAAGACATACCTGAGACTGGGCAATTTAGAAGGGAAAGAGGTTTAGTTGACTCACAGTTCACCATGGCTGGGGAGGCCTCAGGAAACCGACAATCATGGCGGAAGGGGAAGCAAACATGTCCTTCTTCATGCTGGCAGGAAGAAGAAATGCGAGCGAAGGTGGGGAAAAGCCCCTTATAAAACCGTCGGATCTCGTGAGAACGCACTCACTATCACGAGGACAGCTTGAGGGTAATGGCTCCCATGATTCCATTACCTCCCACCAGGTTCTACCCACAACACATGGGGATTATGGGAACTGCAATTCAAGATACGATTTGGGTGGGGGGCACAGCCAAACCATATCAGTCAGTGTTTTTAAGATTTATTCATATTGTAGCATATTTGTATTTCACTCCTTTTCATGGAGAAAAAAAATCCCATTGTATGGATATACCACATTTTGTTTATCCATTCCTCAGCTGATGGACTTTTGGGTAGTTTCTGCTATTTGACTTCTATGAATAGTGCTGCTGTGAACATTCGTGTAGACATTTTTGAGTAGACATATATTTTATTTCTTTTGGGTACATACTGAAGAGTGGAGAGACATATTTTGCAGTACTTTTTTTCCTTTCTATCTGGAAGATTGAAGGGGAGTATTCCTTGGTGAGGTGGGCTCTGTCTGTGATAGAGAGGGCATTAAGTCAGAGGTAGGAATTGCTGATTAGAGTTCCAGGTCAGCGCCTGACTGGCCATGTGTTTGGAAGTTCACTCTGTTTCCTCAGCTGTAGAATGAAGTAGTTTTATCGGACAATCTTTAAGGTCGCTTCCAAGTTCAAATGTTCCAAGTTCAAACGTTTTCCTGAGTGAGATTGAAAGGCTTTCAAGATATGAAGGGAAATATTTCAAACAACTTGGACTTTAATATTTATTTATTTAATTAAGTTTTGTGTTTTTAATAAAAATAAATCTTTAAAAATTGTATGGCTATAGAACCAACCTTACTCAAATTTGTATTACCCAAGGACATCTACTTTAATATTTCGGTGTATTTCCTGTCGAATTTGCCCCTTTAGGTTGTTTAGTTGTTTATTGGGCTGTAGTCATGCTCAATGCACAGTTTTCTATGGGGATCCTGTTTTGATTGCCCTTCAGACTGGTCTTGATTTCACTTAATATGCTTCTAACTTTGGTTGAAGGACCTTTGAAAGTGAAAAGTCTTTTGAGTTAAGTGGTTTTGGTAAAGCCATGATAGTTTTGAAAGTGCAAAGGTGTTTCTGAAAGTATGTTACCTTCTAGAATAGTCAGTAGAAAGCTTCATATGTAGTAGGCAGAGATAAGGCTGTAAGTGTGTCAGAATCTAATAGTTCCATACCCCAGAGCAGCTAACCCACTTCTTCCTCCTGTGTTTTGGTGATTTAGAAGCCATCAAAATGCTTATTCCCTTTGCTGGGGTTCAGAAGCTGATGCCCCGAACTATGGTGCTTTGACATGCTGAACCGAGGAAGGAGCCTTGAGACCTCTCGGATCCCCCTTTCCCCACTTCTCCGTCTGCCCCAAAGCACAGGATAAAATTGTTCTCTGAAGTTCCCTTATCTGCCTAAAGTCCAGACCTGCTGAAGAAGAAAACAATTACTTCTGGTCACTTTCCTGAGTTTTCATTAACTGAACACATGTCTCAGAAAGAAAGATTCCAAGTCCATCAACACACTTTTATAGACTTGTCACAAACCATTGTCTGTTCTGCGGGCCCACGAGACATTGTCCCAGGCCATTGTATGTTCCTCGAGTCCATGGCATTCTCCTAAAAATGGTTTACTAACCCCCTAAAATAAGCCTCACTTCCCCATCTCCCTTTCTCCTCAGAAGGGTATATAACCATTAACCATCTGTACCTCATTGCGTGGTGGAGTAATCACTGTGTGATCCGCCTGCCTCCGTACACATTTATAAATGTGTATATGCCTCTTCTCCTGTTAACCTTCCTTTTGTTAGATGTGGCTTCTCATTCGGGAGGGGGTGTAGCTTTCAGGAAACCTGCAGAAGGTGAAGGGGAGGAGTTTTCCCTTGGCCTCTACACTTTCATAATGCTCAAAAAGTTTCTGATTGTGGTTTCAAATTATTTCCTGTGTTGGAGGAAGGTTGAACTTGTTTTTCTTTTTGCCTACTTTCTGGTTTTCAAGCTCAGCAACTTCATTAACTTTTCTAGCTCCTGAGAGACCACTCTGTGCAGTGAAGCAGGCTCTTCTGCCCTGAGGAAGGGGTTCATTCTTTCCCAGGGACCCTCTCCCTGGAGCTGCCTTGAGGCCAGAACACCTCCACACTGGCACCAAGTGTTTAGAGAGCCCTATTGTCAGCTGCCCCGGGATGTCATTTTTTCCTTCATGGTGAGGGTTAGTTGGCCATATACTCCCTCGCTTTCTTTTTTCCATTAAGAAAAATTCACGCCAACAAACTCAACTTTCTCAGGGTGGTCCTTGCATTTATGGTAAATATTGAAGGCTGATTTAGGACGAGGAAAGTGAACTATTCAGATCAGCTGCCCCTCCACGATAACTGCTTGACTTGCTCACCTAATCGCAGGTGCAACTGAGACAGAAGGATAACCATGTATTGTTCTTCAAAGGAGTGACCTCATCCATGGAGGAGTCACCTAGTAAATGCAAAATGCTGAGCAAGCAGATCCGATGCAGCTTCTCATTTGGGAGGGGGTGAACTGAAGAGAGAGACGTGAACAGGAAAAGCAATGGAAGCATCCTCATCCCTTGGCCATGGCAGTTATGGAAGGGTTCCAATACCCTCAGCTTCCCAGGACCATCCAGCAATAGTATTTATTGTCTTCATCTATGGTAAACACTTTCTGATAGGCCAAAATTGCACTGTCTCGTCTGATTTACAGAACCAGCTATCTCAAATGTGTAGTAATTGGAAAAAGTGGATGATGATGGTTTCAGTTTTCTTTTTCTTTCTTTCTTTCCTTTTTTTTTTTTTTTTTTTTTTTTTTTTTGAGACAGAGTCTCGCTTCTTCGCCCAGGCTGGAGTGCAGTGGCACAATCTCGGCTCACTGCAACCTCCTCCTCCCGGGTTCAAGCAATTCTCCTGCCTCAGCCTCCCCAGTAGCTGGGATTACAGGCATGTGTCACCACGCCCGGCTAATTTTTGTATTTTTAATAGAGACGAGGTTTCACCCTGTTGGTCAGGCTGGTCTCAAACTCGTGACCTCCAGTGATCCACCTGCTTCAGCCTCCCAAAGTGCTGGGATTACAGGCATGAGCCACCGTGCCTGGCTGGTTTCAGTTTTCATACAGCTTATTTTAGCACTTTGACACATCTTGCACTGTTACTTAATCTTATAATGTTATTTAATTGCTTTATGAGTGCCTAATTTAGCTTTTCAGCTAAACTGTAATCTTCTTAAGATCAGTATATGTGTGTCTATAAAATACATACCAGCATGACACTTTCAAAAATAAGATGGTTGATAAAATAATGGATAAAATGGATTCCTCCCCTCTTCCTTCTCTTCTTCCCTCCCTCCTTCCTCTCCCTTTTGTAGCACCTCCTGTCTCTTAGGCTGCTGATTTAATATTAGAAATGAGAACAGAAATGGCTAGGGTGGCATCTAGAACCATTATAAAATTCAAGGGCAGAATAGAATTTTGTAGACTTGATGATTTTTTGGAAATTTATTTTCTGGACATACTTCTTATCTATACAGGCTCCAGCCCATCTATTTCTTCCTTTCCGTGTGATCCATCCTTTTGTGGTTGATTGTCTCAGCAAGTAGAACTTCAAGTCAGAGTCCTGGGTTTTGGACTCATGATCTGGTTGGCTTTGCCACATAGATAGCTTTCACAACAGAGACTCACAACAGAGTGTGGCAGACCAGTGGGAGTCCACTACTACCCCTGGGCCTGCAGCTGAGAGCACATGCCCTGATGGGTTGTGGGTGATTGTCCTGCCTCTTTCAGCCTGTTTCCTCATCTGTAAAAGGGGAATAAATTATGGGCTCATGACGAGAACTCGATGAGAAAATGCAGGATGGATCTCAGAACAATGCCTGCCATATATTAAGCACTGAGTGGATATGTAACCATTTTCATGCCTAGATAGGCAGTTAATGAATATCATCATATACTGCCCAGGTTAGTGAACTTCCCTTATACCCTGAGAGCAGATGTAAGCTTCTAGAGGGTAGGAGCCATCAACTGCCTAGAATGTCCAGATATAGCATCACATATGGGGCCACTCAGTCGCTAAAATTGTGATGTGAGTGTTGTTCAGTAGCTTATTATCATGTCTGTCAGATGGAGCATCACATCAGACTTGGCAAACATGAGGAGCAAATATCCCTAAAGCAAGTCTAAAAACAAACTTCCATAAACCAAGTTATTCATGTCTTTCATCTGTTCTTGAGAATCTCCACCAATGGAGTAACCCAAAAGTCAAATAAAAAATTGTATATACCAAGATTTATAAGGAATAATTAAAAACCTTCCAAATGTTAAAATAGGCAAATGTAATTTAAGTAAATATTTAAGTAGTATATCATTTCTGTGTAACATTATGTACACTTTATAAACGTTTACTACAGTTTTAAGTAATATGGAAAAATTCTTAAGTTATCATGTGACCTGAAAACTATGCTGGAATAGCATTGCATATGCAGCATGAGCATGACTGTATTAAAATGGTTTTAGAAAATAGATTGGAGAGGCCGGGTGCGGTGGCTCACACCTGTAATCCCAGCACTTTGGGAGGCAGAGGCGGGCGGATCACAAGGTCAGGAGTTCGAGAGCAGCCTGGCCAATATGGTGAAACCTCGTTTCTATGAAAATGCAAAAATTAGCCGGGCATGGGGTTGGGTGCCTGTAGTTCCAGCTACTCGGGAAGCTGAGGCAGGAGAATTGCTTGAATCCTGGAGGTAGGTTGCAGTGAGCTGAGATCGTGCCACTGTACTCCAGCCTGAGTGACAGAGTGAGATTTCATCTCAAAAAAAAAAAAAGAAAAAGAAAATAGATTTGAGAGCTATACATCAAGATTTAACAGTGGTTGTCTTTGGATGATGGTAGGATTATGAATGAATTTTCCTCTCTAATTTTGCCTCTCTGTATTTTCCGTATTTATATATGTGTATTATTTTCACGGACGAAAAACTCAAACTTTTTCTTAAGAGGGAAATAATGTGCATAGATGGTGGACAGAAGCCATGGTATTTGGCTTGTATTTTTACAATGAAAAAAGGCCAAATGTGTAAGGCACAGAACTGAATTATTTGTTATGTATGAGAAGAGTGTGGTGTGAGCTCAATGAAAAACGCATTACTCTGGAGAGTTCGAGAGAAGTTTTGCTTTTTGAAGATTTTTGGAGAAGCAGCAAAAATGTAAAGTTCTAGGTAGTGCACATGAGCAAGTGCCAATTTTCTTTTCCAGCACCGAAGTTTGGTATTCTTAGCCATTCTGATTTTGGGTGATTTGAGACTGTCATTTTCTTCTAAAAGTCTGACAGCTGTAAGCTTTCAGCTATCAGCAAATGAGGTGAAAATGTATTTTTAATATTAAAAGTCTTCTTAGGGAAAGAGGCCCAGCAAAACCATCATTAGTAGTCACATTCAGGCAACATGGTAAGTGCCCTTCCTAATCCTGCGCCTGTGGTTTTTAATAGCCAGACATGTCCACCAGATGTGCTTCATGTTCTTTTATTTACATAAATGTTTCCAGTAACTCATTGTATATTTTTCTACTTCTAAATAAATGCATACCAAATAGCTCTCTTTTTCACATTGCTATGTTGCAGCATTGCGTTTGTATGTTTTAAAGCAGGAAAATGTTCAGTAAGCCCTGAATATTTTTCACATCTTTACTGCACATAGGACTGTTGACATATTTAAGATGTATGTGGTATACTCATTATGGCTAATTTGAAAAATGCACAAAATATATGGATAAGAAGATAAAAGTTACTCAGAGGTAACCACTAAATTCATTTTGGTATATTTACTTCCAGTTACTTTTATGAATACTTTTTCATAAATGTTACTGATTCTGTATTTTTTCTCTAGCTTACTATTTTTTTTTATTGCCTGTCCTATTTATGTTGGTACATGTAGATCTAACTCATTCTTTGAAACTATTTATTCATGATATGACTGTGTTATAGTTTATTTAGCTATCGCTTTATTGGTACACATTTAGGTTGTTGCTTCTTTTTTTACCATTAAACCAACATTACAGTGAATATTCCTGTATGTGCCCTTTGAGCATCTGAGTGAGTGTTTCACTAGAAAATAGTTACTTGGGGCCCGGCACGGTGGCTCATGCCTGTAATCCCAGCACTTTGGGAGGCTGAGGCAGGTGGATCACCTGAAGTTGGGAGTTTGAGACTAGCCTGACTAACATGGAGAAACCCCGTCTCTACTAAAAATACAAAATTAGCCTGGCATGGTGGCACATGCCTGTAATCCCAGCTACTCGGGAGACTGAGGCAGGAGAATTGCTTGAACCTGGGAGGCGGAGGTTGCCATGAGCTGAGATCGAGCCATTGCACTCCAGCCTGGGCAACAAGAGCGAAACTCCATCTCAACAAACAAACAAAAAAAAAAAAAGGAAAAGAAAATAGTTACTTGGAATTGGCATTTACATAACTTACATTTTCCTCATTTAGCATGTGCTTTCAGTATTTTTCTTTATCCATTTGCAAACATACACATTATATATACATAGACATTATATATATTTCTTTTTCTTTTAGAGTAAAGGGTCAGTTCAAAATTGCTCAAAATCTTGCTTTTTGTCACCTATTGACATAAATGCAGAAGCTCTACAACGTTGCTGGTGGCCTGAACTTTTATAGCAGATCCATGATGCCTGGAGCTATGACCGTGAACTTGTCTTCGAGCATCCCAGCTTTTAAAAGCTTTACATTTTGTTATTATTTCAAACATCAGGAAAACTGCAAGAGTAGTACAAAGAACTTGTTACGTCCTTAATCCAGATTTCCTAGTTATGAGCATTTTACCCCATTTGCCTTTATACTCTCTGTCTGTATAAACTTGTAATTTTTTTCTTGACCTTATTTACTTGGGTATGATGCTATCTGCCAGAGCTCTCCATGATAAAGTGATTTTTTTTTCTGTGGAATTAATAGTAATTTATGGGGAGATTCATTCATGTTGTTGTACGTATCAGTAGTTATTTTTCTTGCTGAACAGTTTTCCAGTGCATTAACATACCACATATCATTTATTTACCTGATGATAGATACTTGGGATTTTGCTAGACACGGAGACATTTACATCCAGCAGATCTCTGCCTCAGAGAAGGAGTTGCTCCCCAGCCGTAGCGTGTGGTCAGTAGACGGAATCTAGACGGCGTCTGTCGGCGCCTTCAGAGTCACTACAGCTGTAGAGAGCTACCTTGTCCAAGGTTATGCCCTTCCTGAGGCAGCCCACATTCAGTGCCTGAGTGAGGGGTGATGTAAAGGTCCAGCCACTTCAGACTGAGGTGGGACAACTCCGACGCAGTTTTTACTATTCACCTCCATAGCATCCACCACTGTTAGAACAGCACCCCTTTCTCAGCGAACACTTATTGCTGTCTAGGGGATCCTGTACAAGCAGAGGAGGCACAAGGAAAAAGCCCAAGCTTGGGTTATGGATGGCTCAGCTCAATATGGCCTTGAAAGACTGTGTGTGACAAGGTCGTGCACCTGGTCATCCACTTTGGGTGGGAAGAAAAGCTGCCTGATGTTCAAGTACATACAGAAGCAAGGCAGTGGTGAATAGCCTGGCTGGAATCAGGGGATTGGAAGGAAAGGGACTCAAAGTTTGGAGACAACAGATTTGGGAAGAAGCATATGAATGGACATATAGGAGCAGGCCCCAAATACGGTAATGGCTGCAACACCCCCACAGAGTTTTAAGACACTCTATATTCTGTTATTTTCCTCTGAAGAGTGTTCATTTTAACTCTAGCAGGCAGTTTACTTGGCTGACTCAGTCTCCAAACTCTGTCTTTCCTATAGTAGGTAGCAGCTGAAATCTTTGATCAGTTTTTCAGTCTTCCAGCTCTTGCTTTCTACTGGGTTCCTTGGAACTTCCCTTCACAATTCAGGGTCCAGCCAAAGATTTGAGCAAAGTTTCTAAGGCAGATTTTAGGACATCCTCTCTGCGATTCCCACCTTTTTCCATACTTTCTCCCTTAATTTCTGTTACTCGGACATATCTCAGTTCTGTCCTCAGTTATTCCTCAGACCAGTGAAACTGTGGCTTTCTGCTTGACTTGTGGCTGTGCCACACCACCTGGGCTGTGGTGTGCCCTCATGCGAAAAGCTATATAGACACGGAGCTCATGCACAATTCCCTTCTTTCAACAATCAAATCCTCTCTTGAATTTTGTTGTCAAATAGTTATATATGTTGTCCCAAATATATTTGTTATATATATATATATATGTTATGCTATGTATTATGTTGTGTATGTGTATATATATATGTTATTCTAAATATATGTATGTTGTATGTATTATCCCAGATTTCTAATTGTTTTCTACTAGAGAGTTAGTGAAAGCTACTATTACTGGAACTAGAAACTTATTTAAAATTCTAATAGATATTATCAAATGACTCTCTGCAGTTGGTGTTATCAGTGTTCTCTTACCAGTGTTGTATCGGTGTTCCCATTTCCCCATGTTCAATAATAATTTTGTAAAGCTGTTATCATAGTACCCTGTCTGATGGGTGACAATGTTTTGATTGGCTTTTCTCTAAATTCTAGTGAGAGTGAGAATGTTTTTATACTCATTAGAAAGTTCTATTTTTTATTTTGTAACTTGCCTACTTATAGTTTTGCCCATTTTCCTATGGATCGTCTTTTTTTTATTGATTATATATGTGGATAATAATCAGTTAACCCTTACATTGGAAATAACTTCTTGTGGTCTATTTTCAACTTTGTTCATGGTGTATTTTATCCTACAAAAGTTTTACATTTTTATGTAAAATTTCTCTTTTATGTCTTCTGCTTCCTTATGCTAGTGCTTTTCTAGACATATTATTATTTACAGAATTTGTTTCATACTTGTATTAGTCTGTTTTCACACTGCTGATGAAGACACACCCAAGACTGGGCAATTTACAAAAGAAAGAGGTTTAATGGACTCACAGTTCCACATGACTGGGAAAGCCTCACAATCATGGCAGAAGGCAAGGAGGAGCAAATCACATCTTATGTGGATGGTGGCAGGCAAAAGATGAGAGCTTGTGCAGAAGAATGCCTCCTTTTAAAACCATCAGATCTCGCGAAACTTATCCATTGTCACAAGAACAGCACAGGAAAGACTTGCCCCCATGATTCAGTTACCTCCCACTAGGTCCCTCCCACAACACGTGGGAATTCAAGATGAGATTTGGGTTGGGAAACAGCCAAACCACATCAACACCCAGTCACCAAACCCTGTATTCCCTGTGGTGGGCAGCAACTGAAATGTGCTAATATGATATTTTACAACTTGCTTTAAAACTTATTAAAATAAGGAATGTTCCTATGAAGAATCCTGAAAATATTCTTAGGGAGCATGATTATTAATTTAGTTGCTCAGGGTATTCCAGTATAAATATTCCACAGTTTATTTAACTTGTCTCCTATTGTTGGACATTTTTATTATTATTAATGATGCTAAGAACATTCTTGTACATAGTCATTATATATATTTCCAAATATTTTATTGGTATAGATTCCTCTATAAAAATGAGAATTATTTATTTATGTATTTATTTTTGAGACAGGGTCACATTCTGTTGCCCAGGTTGGAGTGCAGTGGCATAGTCACGACTCACTGTATCCTTGACCTCCCGGACTCAAGCAGTCCTCCAACATCAGCCTCCCAAAGTGTTGGATTACAGGTGTGAGCTACTGAGCTTAGCCTGGGGATCTTTTAAAGCCTGTCATACAGATTGCCAACCATCTTCACAAAGATGGTAGCCATTTTTATTTCAATCGGCACACTACACTTTCCAACTCTAGATTTTATTATTTTTAAAAAGTTGTAATTTGACTGTAATAAACATACGTGTGCATGTGTCTTTATAGTAGAATGATTTATAATCCTTTGGGTATATAGCCAGTAATGGGATTGCTGGGTCAAATGGTATTTCTGGTTCTAGATCCTTGAGGAATCGCCACACTGTCTTCTGCAGTGGTTGAACTAATTTAGAATCCCAGAACTTAAAGTAAAATTAAAAAACCAATAATAAATAAATAAATAATAAACAAAGGAATCAGCTCAAAGAGCTATTTATAAAAAAAGTTGTAATTTGGCAAAATTGTCTTAATGTACATTTCTTTGATTATCAGTGATTTTTTTTCACATTTTCTGGTGTTTTATAATTTTTTCGTTTTATTTGTGGGCATGTGAATATTCTGTTCCTTTGCCCACATTTCTATTGGTGTATTTAGCTTTTTCCTATTGATTTTGAAAACCTCTTCATATATTAAATACATTAATTAGTCCTTTTATATTGTTGTTGCTTCATGAGCATATGACATTTTGGATATATATGATAATTTGATTATTATATGATTATTATTAGGGCTTCCATCTCTGAGTGTTGGTCAATGAATTTGTGTTAGTTATTGCACTTAAATTCATTGAGTAGTTAGCACTTAAAATGCAAAAAATGAAACAATGTTTTTAAGTATTCTTTCTGGCACTTTGATAATGTAATTAACCCAATGCTTCCGATTAAAATTAATCAATGCAATGGTGTTTCCAAGCTAATTTGATAAGTGTAACTGATGATTACCAATATAAACCAGGCACAACCTTATAAAAGACTTAGTCATCACACTGTAAGAGAAGATGGTGACAATGGCGACTGAACTCATATGTGCGCTCAGTCAGTGGCTCTGAAGCTGACGAGAGTTGGCTATCTCTCTGTAAACAAGTAAATGAGAGAGCTGGGAGTGGGGTGAAGAGAATCATATAGATCAAATGTTATCTTCCACGTCAATCCCTAGCTGGAATGATAATACAAGAGAAAGACAAAAACTTGTATGAGAATTTAACAAAACAGAGAGGAATCATTGTCTTTCTCTGCAAACTGGGGATTATGACTTAAGCCCCCATGCAGCAAGCTTCCCTTTGCATAAATCTCAATAGGCCTGGTGATTTATGGCAGCTCAGATTCTCAGATTCCTTGGTTGATGAAAGTTTCTCTGTCCAGATTTTTATGATAGGCTCTCAGAGATTTGAAGAGCAACTTAATATATTAAATTCTCTTAGGCATTCTTAAAATGACAGGCTTTCTGACTCCTTATTGTCCTTGTCACTCTCCAGTGAGCACAGTTTAATTTGCTTCAGTTGTTTGTAAAATTTGGAAGCCAGACTGAATGTGTTTTTCCTGTTGTGGGAGAAAACCACAATAGGATGCAGCCAAACTCCATGAGCTGGATTCTAAGTGGAATTCTTGCCTATCAAAATGTATTTAATAGAATAATATATTCATTACTTCTTTGAGAATGTAAAAAATAGAAATAAAGGAAGAATATATTTTAAGACAGTGTATAAAAGCTGATCTAGTAGCACAGTGTGGATTTTATGAAGGCTAATGCTTTGCTTTATTCATAATTTCAAATTTCTACTCTATGTGTTGTCTTCTATTGGGATAAATGATGTAGAAAACTCTTGCATGTCATTCAAGCTTAAAAAATATAAACTCCTCTCTAAGCCTTTGGGAGAATCAGAACTGTTTTCAATATGACTATTAAACATCCACCTAAAAGTCCACAAAAACAAAACAACTAACAACCACCCCAACAAAGATAGTATGACCACACTGGGTCGTACTGTTTTTGTATGTGCTGGTTGATAATTGTCATACATCCCTTTCTTCTTTTCCTCATGCATGAACACATTTATCTGAGGCAAGAAGGGCAAAAAAAGGAGAGAAAGCTGAAATTACCCAGTTTCACAGCTCCGGCAGGAGTCCAGTGTCCTAGGCAGCCTGGAGGTGACTGGTTTCCAGGTGCACTCTGGCAGTTCCACTATTACAGCAATGACAGGATGCACTTCATGCTTTTCAAGGCATGTTGATGTGTGTTACTGCATTTGATCCTCACCTAGAGGTTAGTAGGAAAGGTGGGCTTGTTTCCAAGAACAAACTGAGCACAAAGTGGGACTTGCCAGAGTTCACACTGTTTCCCTGAGAGAATCCTGATGTCTGCTTTCTAGCCTCTGGCTCCTGCTGAACCACACTTGGCCTGCTCAATGCTGGTATGAATAAAAGTTGGCTTCTAGTGAAGCAAATGTGCCCATGGCAAGGCCTCTGAATTGAGGTTTAAAGGGAATTGAACCAATAGGGTGGAGGTGCTAAGAATTCAGCCTCTTAGATCTTTGTTCCTCAGAAGATGCGGAGGTGGCAGCTGGAAGATTTGACAATAAAGAATGAACTTTAACGTACTGTGTAACCATGATATGAAAAGATAGACTCTATAAATGAGTTGGAAAGTCAGTCTTCTTTAATTCACACAGAATATTCTTGAAGTTAAACCTGCCCATGGGATAGAGTTATGGTAAACACCAGTCACTGAGCCACGAGATGAAATATTTCTGCTCCTAGAGACAAGCTGGGACCAAGATAAGACTCTAGACTTTTCTGGACAAGGTGCAGTGGCTCACGCCTGTAATCCTAACACTTTGGGAGGCCGAGGCAGGTGGATCACTTCAGGTCAGGAGTTTGAGACCAGCCTGGCCAACATGGCAAAACCCCATCTCTAATAAAAATATAACAACAACAAAAAAATTAGCCGGACATGGTGACGGGCACCTGTAATCCCAGCTACTTGCGAGGCTGAGGTAGAAGAATCACTTGAACCTGGGAGGCAGCAGTTGCAGTGAGCCAAGATCGCGCCACTGCACTCCAGCCTGGATGACAGAGCGAGACTGTCTCAAAAAAAAAAGAAAGAAAGAAAGAAAGAAAAAACAGAAAAAAAGACTCTAGGCTTTTCTTCTTCAGTTGGTGCCCCACCAGCTGGCACAATGATCAGCTGGGATAGGTAGAGAAACCCCTTGCAAGTAACATTTTAGTAGTAAGAAGTATGAAGGAGTAGAAGTGTGAGGAGAAGGGGAGGGAATGGTATCAAGAAACAAAGTATTTCCCCCTGTTTTATGCCGACCTTACTGTTATTTTTGTTCTGCCTCGTCTTAGTTCTCTCTCTCCCATTTGCTATCCTACAGTGGCAGCAAGTCAGATTTAGAGTGAGTTCTCTGTGCCTCTACGGCTCAGGGATGGGATACTTTACCCTTCTGAAGGGCCAGACGTACCGGGAAAACATTAGTTGAAGCTCCCATGAGTGTTAAAGACAGCTCACTTGTCAGTTTGGGTTAAGTACTGAGATATGTGAAGATTAAATTCAGAGCAAACATTAGAATAAAGGAACATAAAACCCAGTTTCATCAATATATCCAATGTTTAAAATGCATTTCATTTCTACCTCACAAGCAGCTACAGAAAGAAGAAAGGGAAAAAACAAGAAAGAGGAGGAGGTAATGAATTATACGGTGAATAACATGACCACATACTTTTTTACTGCTTTTGAAATGTACCTAGACTGGAGAATTGCTGTCTGGTTTTGTCCATCTGCACTTTTTTTTTTTTTTTTTTGAGACAGAGTCTCACTGTGTCACCCAGGCTGGAGCACAGTGGCGCAATCTCGGCTCACTACAACCTCTGCCTCCCAG